>NW_013171814.1:0-300000 GCF_000001405.40 Homo sapiens | reverse complement strand
AGAAAAAAAAAAGAAACATAGGAAAAAAACCAGAAAGGAAGAATTATATCAGGAAATAAAACCACTAACATTCTATGGCCGATTAAATGAATAAAAAACAAATGACTTAGGTGATTTAAATAATATAGTTAATAAGATTAAATTGAAACAAGCTTCATAGTAAGCTGTGATCTCAGTATAAATTTCAAAACATAGAAATTGTACAGGTTACATACTGGGACTATGAATTAACAACAATTAAAAAATAGCCAATTGCTTGAATACTTAAAAGGTATTCTTCTAAAGAAAAATGAAATAAAGACATACTCAAATATACAATACCTGTATTAGATTATCTAGGAAATAACTATAAAAACTTGTGGGATGTGGTCAAAACTATAATGAAAGGTCAATTTATAGTCTTAACTATTTTGGCCACTAAATAATGGAAGAAAATATATCATCTAAACCAATGTTATCCAATATGGTAGCCACTATCCACATGTGACAATATATTGAGCCCTTGAAGTGTGGCTATCCCGACTGATATGGGCTGTAAGCGTAAAACAGATATTACTTTTCAAAGGCTTAGTATAAAAACTAGAATGTAAAATGTCTCATATTTTAAAAATATTACCTACCTATGAAATTTTATAACACATATTATTAAATTTAAAATTACATATGTAGATCACATTATACTTCTACCAGACAATGTTGATCTAAACATTTAACTAAAACAATTAGAAAACCAACAATAGCTAAGGAAATATAAGGACATAATACAGATAAAACCCCCAAATTAATTACTTAGGAAATAGAGAAAGGAAATCACATATAAAATCAAGAAAGAAGAAACAGAAATAAAATTAGATATGAAAACAGATATGATATAGAAAAAAAGTATAATAAAATTATTTATAACTCTATGTTGATAATTTTGAAAAAATGATGAAATAGGTGATTCATTAAAAAAATCAACATTTGCTAAAAAAGAAATGAGCCAGAATAAACTAAAAATTCATAAGCTAAAATGAAAGTTATGAAAGAATTACCTTTATAAGGAAATCTCTAAACTTACAATTTTTATAGGTAAGTTCATTCAAACTTCCAAAAAATTAGGTAACTGCTTTCCTTTGCAAACTGACTCAGAACATAGAAAAAGAGACGCTTTCCAACCAGTTCCCTATAAACAAAATCTCATGATAGTAAGTTACAAATAAGGAAGTCTACAAGTTAATCTTGCTAATGTGAATAGATATAAAATCCCAAGTGAAATACTAACAAACAGATCCATTATAACCAAGTAGATTTTTATCAGGAAGGCATGGATGACTTAGTATCAGGAAATCTATAAATGTAATGTATTACTTCAATAGGCTTGATTAAAAAACGGCAGCAACACCTATGACCCTTAGAATGGAAGAGATAAAATGATTTGATTAAATATATGGAAAATCTGAGAGAAGCCTTTAATAAAGAGTATCATTAACAAGAGAGTTCAGTGACTAATTAATAAGAATATTTAGATACAAAATTAATACACAAAATCAACAGCTTTCTTTTATGACAGAATTAACTAGTGAGATTTTAATGTACAAAGCTCATTTAATAAAGCAATAAAATACTTAAGTGACATTATTAAGAAATATGCAAGAATTCTATAAAGAAAATTGCCTAACAAAACTGAAAGATTTAAGAGAACGTCTTCAACTAGCGAAGAAACACACACAATTCCTTATTGAGAAGACAGCATTGTGAAGATGGTAATTCTCTTTGAAATAATTCACAGGTTTAATATCAATCTGTACTCCATATCCCAATGTGAACTTTTTTGGGAGAAAAGGAAATGAAGACTTGAAAAAATAATCCTAAAAGTAATTTGAAAGAATAGCAAGGGAAATAACTAAAAACAAAACAACATTGGAAAGAGTTACACTACTCTTAACTTATCCTTAATAAAGCTTTATTCATTAAGAGGCTGTAGAGCTGACATCCGAATGGAGAGCTAGATCAGATAGCCTAGAAACAAATTTGGCATCCACAAAGGTTTATCACATGATCCCTTGAGGACCACAAATCAGTGGCAAAGGAAGCATTATTCACTCAAGCAACAGTGCAGGGACAGCTGTCTAAGTATCAGGAGGAAAATAATTTAGAATCTTACTTCACACTGGGCTCTAAAATAAATTCCAGATGGAATAAAGAGTCAAATGTTAAAAAAAAAAAAAAAAAGGACCAAAAATTTGAAGAGAATGAAAGAGTATTTCTCACATTTCTGGAAGGAGGGGGGCTTTCTTCACTAAGACAATGGAAGAATGCATCAAAATATTAAAAGACAATTGATATGCTCAGGAAAATACACGCAATAAATGTGACAAAGGGCAATGGTCTTAATATATAAATAGTGTGTTCAAATTTGTAATAAAAGTATGAAATCCCTCATGAACAAATGGGGAAAGGGCATTAAGAGGTAAATCCTGTGTCAAAATGTAAATTACTAATACATATATGAAAACAACTTAATTCAATATCAGTAGTAATTGAATGAATGAAAACGTCTTTTTCCCATCTATATATATAAGGACAACTTAAAATGGTAATTGTCAATGCTGGTAAGGATGCAGTGAGACAGGCACTTATATATGGGCATTGGTATGACTTTTCTGAAAATCCTTAAAATAAGTCTTAAGAGTTCTTATTGTTTGCTCTGGTAGTTGCACTTCTGGTAATTATCATAAGGAAACAATTTAAAATATTAGAAAAAATAAGCTTAATGCACATAAAAATCTAAAAACCTAAGCACCCAACAACAGGGGAACAATTAAGTAAATGATGATTCATGCATCCATTAAAAATTATGTTTATGTGGCCAGGTGCAGTAGCTCACGTCTGTAATCCCATCACTTTGGGAGGCTGAGATGGGCAGATCATCTGAGGCCAGGAGCTCATGACCAACCTGGCCAACATGGTGAAACCCCATCTCTACTAAAAATACAAAAAAATTAGCTGGGCATAGCAGCACATACCTATAATCCCAGCTACTCAGGAGGCTGAGGTAGGAGAATCACTTGCACCTGGAGGTGGAAGTTGCAGTGAGCCGAGATTGCGCCACTGCACTCCAGCCTGGGCAACAGAGCGAGACTCTGTCTCAAAAAAAAAAAAAAAAAACACAACAACAAAAAGTTTATGAAACGTTTACAATAGCATGGGGAAAATGTTTATATAATGTTAAATGAAAAAAGCAAAACTGAAATTGCATTTACCATATAATCTCATCCATGAATAGAGTTTTTTTTAAAAAGAAAGAGGAGAAATAGTGTTTCACAGGAGTTGTCTCTCAATAGCGGAATTATGGATGACCTTTATTCTCTACATTACTTTCTGAATTTCTGATTCTCTGTGAATGTTTCTCTTTATAATCAGAAAAACAGCTATTTTAAAAGAAACTGGCAGGTTGTGACCCTTTTCCTTGATTTTTTGCATTAGGACAGTGGAATTCTTCTGGTAATCTGCCAGTCAGCAGTGATTCTCACGAGAAGGGTGGGGAACTGGGGTGTGAACATGCCCCGCCCAGAGGCCACCAAAACCCAGCCTGTGTGTCTCCTCTTGACACATGTTATAGGTTGCCAGCTTTTCCTCTGGAACAAGGAGTCCTTTCTGCCAACCGAAACAAGCCATTCCTCTAGCTCTGCCCCTAACCTCAGCCTCTTGTATCCAAAAGCAGCAAGGGGCCTCAGATTGGTGGCAGCCATTTCAAAGCCTGGTATTTGGCTCTAGGTTCTCATCTGATTGGCAGGCTACCTCCCAGCAACCCCTAGTGCCTTTCCCCAAACTTTAAGGCTACCATTTAAGCCCCGTTTCCTGCCTAAAACTATTTATTGACGTACTGCTATTTCCTGCACCGGCCACATCAATAAGCCCTGAAAGCCATTCAGTGTCTCAGGTTTCTCAAGGCATTCTGGGAAATTCTTCCCACTCGGGATAACCACATGAGCTCTGGCATGGTGGAGCGCAGTGGCCAAGCCAAAAACAGCTGTATACAGGCAAAGGGGAAAAAACACCCCCACACCACCCAGCAGCGCAAACCACCACAGGGAGATGCTGCTGGAGGGTGGGGTTGGGGGTAGTCGAGGCACAAGGACTATGATGCATATATTTTTTACACTTCCTGAGGGAGATGGGCAGCCCCTACCAATCGCTGCAAACTCACCTTCATTTCGGGCTCCCTCTTGGAAAATGAATGGCCTAGGGAAATTTGCCCATCCAAACGCTATGCCCCCAGTGACCCTGGTTTGTTTCTGTCCAGAGAGGTGGCTGCTGTTGCCATCTCTCCAGTGGGGAGGAGAAAGTGCACTTTTATTTACTGCTAGCAGGAAGTTTCTTTTCCTTGAGAAGCTGGATACATGTGGGAGGGACAGACCATGGGGAGCTGTGGGAGCCCAGCAGCCAGGAGTCAATCCCAGGCATTCTTCTCCCGGGCAATTGGTTGCATGGCTTAAAAAACATATTTGACAGAATTCTTTATACTGAAAAGAGGAAACTAATTTTCAAATAAAAGGTGCTTTATTTTTTATTTGGCCCCAACTTTCCTTCTTTCACCTTCCTGCTCCCACATTCCCTCTTTAGGGAGGCTTCCCTGGCTGTCCCCTCCACCACAGCCCCCGGGACTCCTCATTCCGACTCTGCTATGCTTCCTTCCCAGCCCTGATCACCTCCACTAGGTCTGATGTCTGTTGATGACCTGACTTTTTGCTAGAAGGGCTTCCTGAAGGCAGGAATCCTGTTTTCTGAGCCATCTTCATGTCCCCTGGAATGGGACTTGGCTCGTTGTAGGTGTTCAATGAACGTGTGTGGACCGGATGCATAAATATCCCACGGTACGTGGTCAGACAGCTCTTCTCTAAGAGGACAACCTGTCCAAAGGGTAGGGGGCTGTTAATCTAAGACATAAGAGTACAGAGTCAGCATGTATGCCTGTCTCATCTTTTCTTTCATTTGTGGCTGACAGTTCACTCCTGATATTTTCTTCCCACCTTCTCTG
Source organism: Homo sapiens (assembly GCF_000001405.40). Lineage (NCBI taxonomy): Eukaryota > Metazoa > Chordata > Mammalia > Primates > Hominidae > Homo > Homo sapiens. The sequence continues at coordinate 294,977 of NW_013171814.1, read as the reverse complement.
GGCCAGTCCCAGTCCCTGCTCCAAGGCCACCGTCTCATGACATTTGTTTCACTTTTGTGGGTAACATTTTTGCCATACAGTGATGTTTCTTGGCTTATTGGATTTTTTTTCCCCCTTCCCAGGGTTGCTTCAAGTAAGGCCACGACATTCCGCAGAGCCGCCCTTTGGTGGTGTGGTGGGGTCACAGTTGACGTCAATGTAGCTCCACCCCAACCCCGAGTCTCCCCTGTGTCAGACTCTCCCCTCAGGGCTTTGCTGAGGCTAGTTGCAATCCCCCCGGCAGGCTTTCCTCCTTGGTCCCCCCCACCAGTGAAGCCCCCTCACTCCTCCGTTCCTATCACACAGCCCAGGGCCTGCGGCCTGGCCCCCATGGCTAGACCTGGCCTTGGGTAGTTCCTGGAAGGCTCTTTTCTCACCCCAGTCATCATCATTTGGGAGGAGCCCAGGACAGGAGCCTCCAGCTCAGAGAGACAGTGCAGTCCTTCCTTGGCACCTGTTCCTATCAACAGTGAAGCAGAGGGCTGGGAATTCCCAAGCGTAGGGCTGGCCTGCAGCATGGAACCCACAGACACTGTGACACATCAGGTTACCCCCAGCCTGAGAGACGACCCTGAATGTTCCCTTCTGTCCTTCCCTGGGACTTCTGGGCTCCATGAAACCTCAGAATCCTTACAGAAAAGGATTTAGCAATGTTAAGCCACCTCAAGTTGGTTCCTGTGACTTGGGACAAAAAGAACTCATCAGTACAACAGGCTTCTCCTAGGTGACAAAATAATGGATTCCCAGGCCCTGGGGATGAGGATGAGACTGGGGCCTGGATGCTGGGGACTGGACGGTGAGGGGCAGAGTCAGAGAAGTGGGCACTGAGGCTGGGTGGGCAGTGCTTCTAGCAGAGCTGGAGTCAGGATAGGAGGAGAAGCAGGGAAGGGGTGATCTGGTTATTGCCCGGGTCCTGGGTGGCAGCCCATGGACCCTGCCTCTCACACACCCACCTAGGGCAGCATCGTGGAAGGTCTTGGCATCAGTCTGATTGGGTCAGGCAAACCTCCTTGGCTTAAATGAGTAACATGTGCAACGTATCTGGTGCAAAGTAGGTGCTGAATAAGCGGCAGAGAGACCTGGTAGCTGTATCCTGAGTTACTCCATCCACCAAAGCCTGCCTCGGACCTGGCCGCCCCCGACCCCTGGCAGTCTGCACATGCAGCCCAGCCAAGGGGCATGTCTGCTGGGCTGTACTCACAGCTGGCCATCATGCCACGTCCTGGCCACAGCTGCCAGTCTTGGCTCAGTCCTGCTGAGCCCTGAGGCCTGGCCCTGAGGACTCAGCCACACCTAGACTCTGGAGCAGTCAGAATCTGACCTGCATGTCACTCTGCACTCTGGCAACAGTCTGTGGTGGCTGCACATCTTGTCTGGAGGGAGACGGGGACCATGTGGGCACTGGGCTGCAGCCTCCGCCCTGGGACAAGTTTGCTTGAGTTCTGATGCCAGCTGGGCCCTGAACTACTCCTTGGGTTTGGGTGTGTCCCTTTTTAGGTGGACTTGAACCTTTCCCCAAGTATCCCTGATCTCCCTGGCCAACGACCCCTGACCATTCCACTGCTTCACTCTGCTCTGCCCCTAGACACTGAGGATTCTTGGATGCCAGTGACAGAAACCATCTCAGACTAGCTGAAGAGGCACACAGGCCTGGGCTGTCTTACATGGAAGGTGGGCCCTAGGACACAGCCTGTCCCCAGGGCTCAAACAGCAACCCCAGGGCTGGTCCTCCCTTCTCTCCCCTCTCTCCCTTGTCTGGGCTTTGACTTGCATGCTGACTGATTTTTCTGCTGCCACAGACAGGTTCTCCCTTTGCCATGGCTAAGATGGCGGTCAGCAGCACCTGGTCTCTCTCATAATGGTTCTTGAGCCAAAAGGAAGACAGAGCCCCCCCTCCCCAAATGTCAAACCCTCAAATCTCAGGGAAGGATTCTGACTGGCCCTGCTCATCACATGACTATCTCTCAGCCCAATCACTGTGGCTGTGGTGATGGGGTTCCCTGATTGGACAGAACCAGGTCATGTGGTCATTCTGCAGCTGGGGCAGGTGGGCTCAGTGACAGATCCCTGGACCACACGCAGAAATAACAGCTGCCCCCTGCAATCACAGGCCTTACCTAGGACCATCGGGTGGCTGTCACAGGTGCCTGACACTCTCCTGAGCATCATGTCAAATTCCCGATGTACTGGGTGATTGCTGCCCTTTCTGTCCCATCCAAAAGAATGAAGAGAGAGTGATATGATGAGGATTATCTTGAATCTGCTCTAATCAATGGACATGAAAATCAAGCCCCAAATGCCGATCCTTTAACTATTATTAATAAAAAATTACCAGACACATTCTCTGTGACTGATGGTTCATGACACTGTGGCTGGAAATGCTTTCTCCCCAGCAGTTGGCTCTAGACAAAGGGCACACACTGTGGCTGGGAACAGCCATCAGCCACTTCCAGCTAAATCTGGATCACTCTGGAGACATTTCCAAGTTTCCCAGGCTGTGAGCACCCAGCATATTTCTATTGGCAAAATCAGGTCAGGTAGGCTCAGCTCTGCTGATCCGTAGGAGGGGACAGGGAGGCGGGGGGATGGCGCTGGGTTGCAGCAGAGAGAAGCTGAGAAGTCAGGCTGATCCAGCAGGAATTCTGTCTCACACTTAGGCAGGCGCGAAGCCTTATTCTCAGGCAAGGGAGCCAGCACCTGCTGTGGCTGTGGCCTTGAAAAGCCCTCAGAAGAGGCTGGAAGTTTTCCTTTCAGCCTGAGCAGAGAGAGAAGGCTGGATTGTCTGACAGATGAAGAATACCAGTGGGACAAGCAGGAATTCCTCAAAGCAAGGTGTCACTGGACTCAGCCTCAGGGAGGACGTTAGTACCACTTGTCAGGTCAAGGGGCGTGAGGGGGCTGAAGTTCCCAGGCTCAAGGGCAGCCCTCAGTGATTACACACTTAGTAGCTGGTGCCCGTGCTGGCGCCCTGATCTTCTCTGCCGCCTGCCTGATGTTCATGTCACTGTCTCGCCATACCTCTACACAGCACTCTGCCTTTCTAGGCACTTCCTGCAGCTTTCCTGGCTCTGCCCCACACAGCAGCTCACTGGAGGATGAGGCTCCTTGATCTGCCTACCTTCTGAGGTTGACAGAGCTGGAACCCAGGTCTCTGATCCTGGGCCTGGTGCTCTTTGGACCCCCCAAGGCATCAAGTTTGAAAAGGTCATCATGCAGACATGACAGCCACCCACCCCTGCCTTACACTTCCCTCCAGGTCCTCAGAGGAGAGGGCTGAGTTGTTGTCTCTGCAGAATTCGGATATTCCCTGCCTGGCTGCCATCCTGCCCAGGAGAGAGGCCGAGGGCTTGGAGACAGGTGTTTGCCAGGCCTAGGCCCGGGCACAGGTGGTAGGTCTTATCCATGACATGAAGCTCTCTGTGGAAACAGAGTGGGGCTGTGCTCACTGAGGCCTCAGCCTGAGGAGCAGGCCAACCGCAAAATAAAAGGACAGCAAGACTGGCCAACTGCTGTGACTCTGTGTCCCCATCTATAAAATGGAAAGTCACCATGTGACTGTCAGGCCAGTCACCGTGCCTCTGCATCCTTATCTATAAAATGAAAGAGACCTTTGACCTGCACCCAGGTGACAGAGTGACGCAAACAGGTGTAATAACCCTTCCTAATCAGCAAAGGGTGACTGTGCCCATATTCTGCTATGTGAGAAACTGAAGCATAAGTTGGATGAATGTTGTATCCAAGGTTTCCTGTGGGAGGAACTGGGAGCTGGGGCCAGAATTCAGCTTATCCAGCTTTTTGGAGATTCCTAGAGTCTTCTCCACGGTTTCTGCCTGGACCAGGTTCTACTAAGAAGGTTGGGTCCCCAACCCTAGGCAGAAATGGCATCTGGGATCCCTCTGCTCTGGAAGCAGTTGGAAGCTGAAGAAATGACTTTTGAAACCCTACTTTCAATGAGTGGCCCAATTACTTCTGAAATTGTCCGGAAGACTGGCTTTAAAAATAGATGAATACACAGGCGTTACTAAGCTATTTATAGAATTTGAGAAAACCCCTTGAAATGCTCACAAAAAGATTTGACCTATAATGGGGATTCCAGAATGACTCGGCCTGAAGCTCACATCCACCCACAACTTTGAACTTTGCCACAGATGGTCTTTAAAAGTCATGTTAACATTTATGTGGCATTATCCCTCAAGGAAGCTGCAATGGGAGTGCACACATCCTTTATCTAAGCCGTATCCCAAAATGTCTACTGGACAACAGTTGAGGAACAGCCGGAGGCGGAGGGAGCCAGGATAGAGAAGGACACAAAGTCTAGGGAGCTTGGGGGAGACCAACGTTTGCGTCTGTGAAATGGTGATCCTGGCCTGTGCCTGCCTCTGGAGACCATATGGGGTTATAGACCAGGAAGTGACTGTTGTGCCTGCCATTTCTGCAGACGTGGATGGCAGCTGTTTGCACCGGGCTCTGTCTGAATGGGCCCCTCTCTCACAGTGTGCCATTCTGTGTGGTTCTGCCCCACTGGACTCAGTGAGGTCTGTTCTGAGCAGTGCCGGGGGTGGGGGTGGCCCTGAAGGAAGTGCTCAGACCTTCTCCATTCGTTCTGAGATCCGGTCTGAAGACTAGATGGGCCCCTTGTGTTGTTCCCAAGGAGGCTTGGGCCACCTGTGGGGATGGGTGAAGGGCAGTTGAGTGGGCAGACTCAAAGCTCCTGGATCCCAGGCAGAGGCCCTTTGCCAGGTCTGTTTCATGTGGTTGAGGACACGCCTGAGATTGAGTTTGGAAAAACAACTCTTCTGCTAAAAATACATGAAAATCACTAGTGTGTCAAGATATGCACAATGGGTTTGAATGCCAGACAGGCCTGGGTGAGGCACTCTGGTCCGACTCCCACTCAGCCCTTGGACCTGGGCAAGCCCCAGGTCTTCTACCGTCTCACGTTCCCCACCCAGAAAAGGGAAACACGGCTAAACACCGTGATGATGAAAATGCCTGGCCAGGGGAGCACCTCCGCAGATGCCTGCTCCTCCTGCTTCTTTGGTCTTACCAAGGACATGGGTGTGTGGGGGGTTATCCATGCCAGGTGTTATGGGGTAGCCTGGCTGACCTCCCACACCTTGGCCAGTGTATGGTGGGTGTTGGAGTCAGCAAGAGGGAAGGTATCTCTGCAGACAGGAGGGAGAACAGTAGGTGGCTACTGACATCAGGGGACTGAGGGTGGGGAATGTGATGGGCTGGCTGGAGATGGGGGCAGATGTTCCGGCTGGCCCTAGTTTTGCCTGCATGTTTTATTTCCTTGGCTAGACTGTAAGCCTCTTGGGTATCTTATTCCTCTTTTCCTCTCTTGAGTATCTGGCAGAGAGTACAAAACAGTACAAAACTGCCAGGTATAAAACAGCAGTGTGGGGACTCACGTTGACTTGATGTGTGAATGGAGGCCATCAAGATATTTCTGATGATGGGGATGCTGACTGTGAAATACTGGTAGAGTGGGGAAGAAAAATCCATCCTGTCACCATGCATACCAAGGTGCCCCACCTTCACCCCACGGTGCTTCTCTAACCAGAGCTGGGGACCCTCTTCCTCCGGCTGCTGAAAAGCTGGTGCACATGCACCTCCTTCAAGTCTCGGTCTACTTGTTTTCTCCTCCCAGAGGCCCTCTGCCTTCTCTAAGTAGGCCCTCCACTCTTGTGACATCCCTCACTGTGTTGTGTTGGCTCTTCTGTGTGGCCCCATCATAACTGGAAATGACACACCTGTAAGCTTATGCGTTCAGTGATTGCCTCTCCCACTCGGATTGCAAGTTCTGCAAGGGCAGAGAAACTCTGTCTGCTTTATTCGGCAATGTACCTGCTGCGTCTAGGCCCCTGGAGGCCCTCAGTGTGTATCTGTTAACTGAATAAATGGATGGGGGGCTCCAAGGCAGTGGCAACCCCAGGGAGGAAATAATCTGGGTGCACAGAGAGAGGTGGGCTTCTGGCCCCTATATTAATGGGGAAGTCCCTGGCTAGATCTGAGCTTGGCCAGAGAAGGCATGAAAATGAAATTACTCTGGCTTTGGGCTATTATAGAAGTTCCCCAGGAGAAAGGGTGGCATCTAGGATGGGAAGTTCATTCTGTCCTTATTCAGGTGTCCACTCACGATGTTAACAAATACGTCCCATGCCAGTGTCCCCAGATAAAAATACAAGAAAGGACTGATTCCTCACCAACATGGGATCCAGTAGGACCCAAGAGGGAAGAGGAGCACAGAGATCCAAATGCTCTAGTGAAAGACCAGAAATCCATCATCTGGGGCTGCTTTTTGACCTTGGGCAAGTTATTTACCCCACTGGGCCTCAGTTTGGTCATCCACAAAATAGGGCTGATTCTACTTGTCCCATCAAGCCCATAAGTTGTTGTGAAGATTGAATGAGGCAAGAGATATACAACCTCCTTGTGAACTGAGAGTATTCTACAAAACTGCATGGTTTGTCTTTATGGCCAGAGACCACACCTTGCTTATCATCCCCTTAAAATCTGGCTTGATCCTGGCCTTGCAGAGCTCAGTAAGACTTTCTGAACTGCTCCGCGTGACCCGAGGCTGCTGGCTGGCACCATTCACCTTCTCCACTCATAGCCCTGCTGACCCAGCCACCTCCTGTCAAGTCACGCGCTGGTGGCAGCGAGAGGAGGCTCCATCTGCCTCAAGATTAGAGCAGCCTTGCCTCATTCTTGGCACTACTGACATTTTCGGTCGGCTCATTGGTTCTTGGGGGGTGCTGTCCTGTGCACCGTAGGCATCTGCCCACTCAATGCCACTAGAAGCCCCTATCCTCACCCCCAGTTGTGAAAGCTCCAGATAAAATATCTCCAGACGTTGCCAAGTGTCTGCTGGAGGCAAAATCACTCCTGGTTGAGAACCACTGCTGAGAGTGACAATGGTGCCCAATGCTCCCACCCATGGGACAACTTCTCAGGACACAGCAAGATCCAGAGGCACTTGAGAAATACTGGGGAGCGCATTAAGAGAGGGGGCTATAATGTAAGGCCTGCAGGTGGGGGTGCACCCCGAAACTGCCTTTAGAAAGCTGCAGGCTGCACAGGACACACACCGGTATGCCACACAGTTACTTCATGGGACTCGGAACTCAGTACTGTGCTAACTTAACACACACTCAGTAGCAAGTGCAGACAACCTGTCCCTGCACTGAACCCACAGACTGCAAGCACTTTCCCACTTGTAGAGAACAGATAGGGAAGCATGGTTTTCAAAAAAGCACGAGCCCTTATGTGTGATGAACCCCAAACCGAAGAGGGTTAAATAAAGCCCGGGCTCTGGAACTGACAGCTCTGGGCTTCAGTTGTGATGGCAGCAGCATAAGCAAATTCTCTCCCAGGAGTCTAACTGTATCTTTAAATGTGAGCGGCTTAGCATGCTTAACACTACTTATTTGAGGGTTCCTTGGACAACAGATAATTCAACTGCGTTTACCAGATGACGTTAACAAATACCTCCCACGCCAGTGTCCCCAGATAAAAATAACACCAGCTCCCTCACAGGTCTGCAGAAGGAAAGGACAGGAGGCTGGAACTATCAATCCTGTCTGGCACCTCCTCACCCGTCTGCTTGCCCCTGGTGGCGCTGGCTCTGCCGCGGGCAGAGGAAGTGCTACCCAGGTGATAAGAGACACTCTGACTGTGGTCAGAGGAGCAGAGAGGCCTGGCAGGGTCTCTCTCCACCTGCTACTGGCTTTGCCCACCACCGAGGGCTCTGCTTCCTGGGCAAACATCCAAGGAGAGTGCAGAGTACCAGCAGAGCTTGGGCAAGTCACTCGGCCTTGCTGAGCTGCATCTGGAGAATAGGTTAGTAAGATGCTCCCTGTTACCTCACACAGGTACTATGAGATCTAACTGCCTGATTCCTGTTTTACAGGAGAGAAACCCAGGGAGGACTAAAAGTGCAGGCCTCATTGGATGAATCTGAGGAACACGTGGAAGGGCACTTTCTGCCTCAGAGCATCCCCCCACCCCAGAATACCACAGTGCCTGAGGTCAGCCCATTAACACCGCACCATCAGGATAAGGCTCTGTCTCCCCAGCAAATCCCCAGTCAACTCACAAGGTAAAATATCAGCTACAATTCATGCCAGCACAGTTCAAGGGATCAGAACTCAGAAACTTGCCCCCCCACCCCTTTTCTTTTTTGGATGGAGTCTTGCTCTATCACCCAGGCTGGAATGCAGTGGTGCGATCTTGGCTCACTGCAACCTCCGCCCACTGGGTTCAAGTGATTCTCGTGCCTCAGCCTCCCAAGGAGCTGGCATTACAGGCACGCACCACCACCCCCAGCTAATTTTTGTATTTTTAGTAGAGACAGGGTTTCACCATGTTGGCCAGGCTGGTCTTGAACTCCTGGCCTCAAGTGATCTGCCCACCTCGGCCTCCCAAAGTGTTAGGATCACAGGTGTGAGCCATCGTGCCCAGCCAGAAAGTTGCCCTTTTATGAGAAAAACAGGACTGAGACAAGTTGGATTTGAAGGGAGAAAAATTAGGGATAGTTTAGATATTCCCTATAGGGTAGTGCTCTGGGAAATCATCTACCGGGTGGCTGATCACAGGAGGCCTTGGAGTCCACAGGGGACTCTGACAAGTACATTGGAGACCTGGGCAGAGGGAGGCCAGTGCTGCAGATGGCTGACATGGCCTTTTTGCTCTGGGGTGGGCACCTGTGATTCCAGCTGTCAGAAAAAAGACCTGAGCTCTATAAAGGATGGTCTTAAGGAAACTGTAGATCTCCAGCCCAGACTCACTAAGCAGTGTGGATAGGGGAAACAATTCTCGTCACACAAGTCCCTCAGATCAGCTACCCACGCGATTTCAGTAGGAGTGCACTTACAAATATTCCAGAAGCTGTGAGCATGTAAAAGAGGCAAGAGCATTCTAAGTCCTTCTCCCCTGGGCAGCTGTGGGCTGGCTTTGCCTGTTCTAAGTCCTTCTGCCCTTGGGTGGCTGTGGGGTTGAGTGTGGGGGCAGGTGTGATGGGATGGCAGAGGTTCGGATGGCCACTTCCTTGTCATCATGTCCATGTTGATAAGCTACTTTCTGTTCTCACCATCTCCAGCTTGCTCCCTTTGTCGGCACACAGGCCCTCACTGATCCATAAACATGCAGAATGATGGACATGTTAGCCAACTTCAAAACTGGGCATTCAGGCCAGGTGTGGTGGCTCACACCTGTAATCCCAGCACTTTGGGAGGCCAAGGCGGGCAGATTGCGAGGTCAGGATATGGAGACCATCCTGGCTAACATGGTGAAACCCCGTTTCTACTAAAAATACAAAAAAAAATTAGCTGGACATGGTGACGGTCGCCTGTAGTCCCAGCTACTCGGGAGGCTGAGGCAGGAGAATGGCATGAACCCGGGAGGTGGAGCTTGCGGTGAGCCGAGATCACACCACTGCACTCCAGCCTGGGCGACAGAGTGAGACTCCATCTCAAATAAAATAAAATAAAATAATTAAAAAATTAGCCGGGCATGGTGGCACATGCCTGTAGTCCCAGCTACTTGGGAGGCTGAGGCAGGAGAATCACTTTAACCCGGGAAGTGGAGGTTGCAGTGAGCCGAGATCATGCCATTGCACTCCAGTCTGGGTGGCAGACAAGACTCCATCTCAAAAAACAAACCAACCAACCAACACCTGGGCATTTGGGGATTGCTTCTCTTCCCTGTCCTGACCTATAGTTCCAGTGACTTCCAGCACAGGAAAGATGGTACCTGGCTGAGAGCTGTGGGTGCCAGGTGGCTCGGCTTTCCCAGGGTGTGGATGGCAAAGACTTGTGTTGGGGGAAAAAAAGCCGTTTTCTATAAACATTAAATTCTTACACTAAACCCTCCCTCAAGAGAGATGGCCTCCCCTAATAGTCTGAAATTCTTCCCAACACAGAATTCTTAGTAATCAGGCTGATGACAACAGAGAAAGTATACCCAAGTGTTGAACTTGATTCTGGGGAACCAGAGGAAGGAGGACTAGTTCTATTTTCCAGGTTAAAGAGCTCCTGGGAAAATAGGACTACCCATCTGAAAGAGCCTGGGGATGCAGGTGCCTCTTTGCAAGCCATTTGAAGAAACCCGAATAAGATAAAACTAAGAAGTGACTTTTTTCCCCAATGGGCATCTTCATTAAATGGAAGAGCTCACTGCAGGCTTCCTTTTATCTGGGACTCCCTTAAAATACTCCTGGTTAGATGAGAAGGTGAAGTACAGGCTTGCATCTGTGGTAGCCCATGAGATGGCCCATTTTTCAAAAACTGCATTATCAGAATCCCAAGAAATTGTGACCTTGGAGAAATCAGGTTGGGGGAGAGGCTAAGGCCCACCTGCAGGGTGTAGGGCACTCTGAAGGGGTCTAGGGAGCGAGAGGAGAATGGCAGTTATGGGGGCTCTTGAAATGACAGCCTCCATGCTCTGATGAGCCTCTCTCTGGCAACTAAGTCCATGGTTTGACACAGTATCCTTCAAGTAAAAGGTAAGCTTGCCAGCCAAGGATCAAAAAAAGCCAGGAGTAATGCCACCTGCTTCCAAAATATAGCTTCTTCCTAAGGTGAAGGTGACATCTATTTAACAGGAAGCTACGGCAAAACTAACCACTTAGGATTGCCATGTTCTGCATGAATCCTCACACAGGACTCTCGCCAGCTAATGTGGAGTCTATAGTCATCCATCTATCCATCTACTCACCCACCCTGACCCATCTATCCATGCAACCCCCTACCGATCACCCATGCATCCACACACACATCCCTCCCTCCACAGATGCTTGTGGGCCTCCTCTCTGCCAGGTGCTGACTCGAATGCAATACACACAAAGGGCCTGGGGGAAGGAAGATCCGAGGCTGCCTTCTGAAATCTGCTGAACAATCAGGAAAACCTCCAGAGTTCCCACATGTTCCAGTCTGACAAGCATCTCCAGAGGGCATCTCCAGAGGGCATCTGCTTCGATCCCACCTGCCTTCAATCATCCTGGGTGGTTTGTAAAGCTGTCCTATTTTTAAAGCTATTCTGGGAAGAATGTTCCCAAACTTCCCTCTGATTCCAAGTTTCCCTTCAACCCCCCACCTCAGGCAGTTGGCTACTGAAATGTCAATCCCCACTACTCAGCCAGAGCCACCCCATCTGTGGGAGAACCAGCCGTAGCCCAGCAACCCCTCCCCCGGCCCCAAGACCCTTCGCCCACCCTGGGGAGGCCAGGTTTGCTGTTTGGGAGTTTAGCTGAGGCCCTTAGCTCTCGAGTTGCAGATGGCCCTTAGATCTGGCTTTCCCCGACCCTGTCTTTCCAGCACTGCTGTGCCGAACCCTCACTGATTCTGTGCCTAATGTGACTTAACACTGTTCAAAGGCTCACCCATGCCTTCAGCTTGGAACTGAGCTGGGAGGAATACATCTGTCAAAGGAGCAGCAAAAGATGTGAGTGGTATTGACTGCATATCTCTAGGAGGAATGGGCAGAGAGCAGGAACCAAGCTGGGGGCTAGAATGGGGAAAGTGAGGTAGAATGGCCCTGGGGCATTGCTTTGGGGGGCTGAGAGCCACCCTTTGGGCTACTAGTCAGAAAACCCAAAGGATCCCAAGGTGGTACAGATTACCTCGCCTCCCCTGGGGAGATGGGGATGGGGATGAAATCTGTAGAGCAGAAGCGAAGGTAACAGGTGCTTAATTTTTAGTATCCCACTGCCAGCACTGTGCGGGCATGGGTGGCTGGGAGACTCAGGATCTCATCTGCAAGGCTGGGCTATGTGATACAGTCCTGTGGTCTGTGTATTGGCTGCCTGGAAATCAGGCTTTTCCCCCAAAACCTTCCCACTTTCCTGGGGAAATGGCACTCAAGTCGGATAAAACTGGGGTGGGCTGCCATTTTGAACTCATCTATTTTCCTGCTTGGGCATTGGTATGGCAGCCTCAAAGAAGTATTTGGGAGCAATTTTAGGGAAAAGTCAATAAATGAAGATAAACTTGAGCTGGGCTAATTGTTAAGAAAAGAGAGGAGGAGAAGGGGGCACACAAGAAGCCCCCTGGAGCCTGTGGCCACCCAGCATGTCACTTGCGCCAAGGGATTCTGTTTACTGAGCTATCATCATGAGGGAGGAAACATTTTGTCAGAAATACAGAGCACAAAATATAGTGGGCGCTAAAAACTTAATCCTGCTGGCACCACATTACAGAAGCCAGAGTTGTAAATGGCTGTGGGGAAAGGCCTGAGTTATATAAAGCCACAGGGAGCAAAGCTGGCCCCCAGGCACCTATCCTATCCTCTCTGTCAGTTTCCCAAAGCTGAAATTTAAGCCTTACCAAGGAATAAAATGATAAAATGACACCACTTTCCCAGGAAATGTCAAGAGACTTAGAGGGGGTGGGGTTGCAGCCTGCCCCTCCCTGCTTCTCCCTGGCAGGAGCCTCCTGATTTATAAGGATAATTACTTGTCTCTCCTGAGCCCTCCCTTGTGCTAGCCTGCAAGGGGATCCCAGGGAGGGGGCAGAGGCTGAAGCCTCTCTCCTGCAGTTGGCCTGTTGTGACAGCGGTGGAGTCAGAGCCCCGTCATCAGCCACCCATTCATAACTCTAGACAACTGGAGACACAGCTTCTGCTCTACACCAAGTGGCCTTTGTACCATAGATCCTCATCCTCTGGAGATGGCATCCTGTCTCATGGTTTTAAATACCACCTAATAGCACCACCTAAATACCACCTGGATAGAAATTAGCTCCCTGAGGCTTATTTCTATCCAGATCACCCCTCTGAATGCCGGGCTCCAACTGTCCACTCAACCTGGCCACTTCCTATTGCACAATTCCAACATGACATGTCCAATAGTGAGCTCCTGGTCCACCCTCCTGAAGCATCTTCCCCACCTCAGTTAGTGGTAAGCCCCTCTTCCAGTTGTCCAGGCCCCAGATCTTAGGTTATCCTTGACCCCAACATTCTTTTGCACCTACGTCCAGTCCTTCAGAGGATCCTCTCAGCTCTTCCTTGAAAGTAGACCCAGACTCTGACCTGTCCCTTCACCCTAATCACTTCACCACCACCCCTTACTTAGACTCTCCCTTATTTACTCTCCCACATTTACTCAACAGATTTGTGGATCCATTGCTTTTATGCTCATTGTCCCCCTAAAGGCTCCAGGCTGGTATCCCTGCATCTACTCCACCCTTTCAGACTCCTCTCAACCCAGCAGCCTGAGTGACGCTATTAAAACTCAGGTCAGACCTTGCCTTCCCTGCTGGAAACCCTCTGATGCATCCCACCCCTCTCAGAGCTAATCTCGTCCTTGTGAGCCTATAGATCCCAGCATCCCGCTGACCTGATGCCTTCCCATGGCTCCCACCCACCCCCCTGACCTGGACTTCTTGCAGTTCTCCCATGGGGCAGGCACACTCCTGCCTCTGGGCCTTTCACTGCTCTTTCTCTTTGACCAGGATGCTCCCCAGGTCTGCACGGCTCACTCCTTCAAGCCTATCCAAGGGTCACCTGGGTGAGCTCTTTTCCAATCACCCTATTTAAAATTGTCCCCCAACATGCCCTGCTTCCTTCTCCACAGCCTTTTGGAAATTTACTTATTTGCAGATCTGTTGCTTTGATGCTTATCATCCCCTCCTCGCTAGAATGTAAGCTCCATGAGGGCAGGTTGCTGAGTCTGTCTGTTTGCTGCTGAATCCCACCATAGCCCAGGGCCTGGCACGTGGTAGGCCTTGAATTCATGGAGTGTTGAATGAACAAAGTTGCCTAAAGTTTGGTTAGAGAGACAGGAACAGACCCAAGAGATGACACTAAGAACACCAGGTGGCAAAAGCTGAGTGCCCAGTGAGGGCACAGATAGACTCCAGCAGCCTGGGTGATCAGGGAAGGCTACAGAGAGAGAGAGATTAATCTGGGAGAAGGGATGACTATGAACAGGTTCTGCTGACTCAGGGAAGACACTCACTAGAGAGGCATGGAGGAAGGTGATAAAAGCTACGGTTGAGACGGGGCAGGCTGCTTGGGGCAAGGAGATGCTGTGATTGAGGTGCTGGCCCTCAGGGTCTCTGGGCAAGCCACAGGCACATTCCTGTGTCCACAAACTGGTAGCTCCCACTAAGGGGAGCCCCCAGGGCCAGGCTGAGGCTGGGTGGGAGGGAGGGGCTTCCACTCAGCTTGGGGGCTGGGGGTAGAGGCTGCCCAACCCTGGGCCACTCTCTTCTTTCCTCTGAGTTTCTGGTAGCCCTGCCTGTGTCCCTGCCTGTCTATCCAGAGCCTGCCTTTCTCTTAAAGAAGGAAGGAAATGAAAAAAGAAAATGAAGTGAAACCATGAAAATGACTTAAAAGAGCTTGGGGCTCAGGGCTTGGGAGCCTTAGGTCTTCCATTCTGCTCTGCCTCTATCTTGCTATAGGGCCTTGGGCAAATCACATTTCCTCTTGGGCCTCAGTTTCCTCACCTGTCCAGTGTGGCTCTCATGGTCTGACCAGCCAGCATGCAGGAGGCCTGGGAGCTATCTGTGGACATGTGTCCCTCCTTTGGCCTGGTGTCAACCCCTCTCTGGGCCTGAGCCACAGTGTAGGGCTTGTACAGGGCCTCCCCTTCCTGCCCCAGGTCTGCTCATGACCTCAAAGACAGAGACATGACATTCCTAGGAGGTCTGTTCTGGGTGCCAGGACTCTCCTGAGAAGATGGAGTGAGAAGGTGGACAGGTTTGGGGGCTGAGGGAGAGCAGGGATTGGGGGAAGCTGGCTAGAGGAGGGTCCATGGCCCAGCAGAAGGAGAAGGGCTATCCGGGAACCCCAGCAGGTGAGCCAGCTGACAGAGGCCCCAGGAGGACGTGTTCCCCAGCACGAGGTGGCCTATGACGTGCCTCTCTGATTTCCAGGGTGGCGACTGCAGGCGCCCGTGGCTCCAGCCGGGCGGGGTCTGAAGTGGGAACTTCAGAGCTAGACTTGGCCGCGTTCCTCTGAAATCCCTGGCCTGTGAGAATGAAGGCTGCCGGTCACGTCCTCCCTTCGTCTGCTCCTCCATGAGAGACCTGGCCTCAAGCCTCTGGCCGTTGAGGCCGCCCGTCCAGCTCCCAGTGCTTTCTTAGTCTTTCAGGAAATGTCTCCAGGCCTGGTGGGGTACGTGTGTCCGGGGGATGGGGAGGGGGCTGCTGAGCTGGGCCCAGGCCAAAGGGCTCCATGGGGCGTCCTGTTGGATTTGGCAGCCTGCCCCTTGGTGACTCATGCCTGCTGGCTGTCCCTTAGCCCCATGCCCCCTCGAACTCGGCACTCCAGAAACAGCCTTCTCCCATGGCCCAAGAAGCACCGCTGTAACTCCTTGCCATGGACCTTTGCTCACACTCCCTGCCTGTTGGACACTTCCTCTGTATTTAACCTTCAGCCAAGTGACCCTGGATGAGCTATTTCCCCAGTCTGGGTCTTAGAAAAGGAGGTGGCTGTACTCACAGAGCCTGAGATCCTTATTCCAGAATTTCCCTTTTTGGAAAGGTGGTTCAGCTTCTAGGCTTTCCTTCTCCAAAGGACATACGGTACTGGGGGCGGAACCTCTGTCCTCATTCTACTTCCATCCCTTCCCCAACACCTAGTAGGCAGCCTTAGGCTAACATGGGTTAGCTCCTTTCATCTTCACAATGGCCCCATGGCAATGAAGCTGTGATCATCCCATTTTATAGATGAGACACCTAGGACATAGAGAGGGGAAAAGTACCCTGCCCAAGGTCATGAGGTAGCAGGTGGCAAAGCCAGCATTCAAAGCCAGGGGCCAGGCTCTAGCATCTATACTCTTCACCAGTACCCTACATTCCTAGGAAGCAGCATGGGGTCTCTTATTAGTCTTCCCCACTAGTCTTAAGGTTCCTGAGAGCAAAAAAACAAAGCCCTTAATTTATACTTCTAATTTTGTTCTTTTTTCAAGATTCCTTTGGATATTGTAGGTTTGAGTTTCCATATATATTTTAGAATCAGCTTGCCAATTTCTGCCCAAAAGGCTTAATGGCATCTTGATTTGAGACTGTTGACTCTAGAGACCAATTTAGGAAGAAGTGACATCATACCAATACTGAGTATTCTAGTCCATGAATATGGTATGTCACTGATCTACACTTGACTGTATCTCCCTAGAGTTTCAGACAGGGCTAGACCTATAATATTAGTGCACACCTGATGAATCAAACTGAAATTAAAATTCCTTTCACTATTATCCCAAGCAAAGTCCAATTGAACCATAGCCAACATTATGAGCACTTATTGAGGGCCAGGGTTGTATTATGCCCTTTACTACATTATCTCATTTAATCCCCAGCAATCCAACCCAATCATTATTACCATCCTCATCTTACCAGTGAGGAAACTGAGGCTTGGAGAGAGTAAGAAACCCATTCAAGGTTACACAACTAGTCTGTGACAAAGCTGGGATGTGAACCCAGCCCTTATTGTCATCATGTTATAGGAAAATGAAAATCAGTGACTTTCCCTAAACCCGAAGAAAATGATTTGAGGCTTCTCTGTGATTTGGTACTTCCTGCCAAGGAAGCAATGGTTCAGAGGCCTAGAGTGACTGTACTAAAGGAAGATGAGGCTTGCAGTCCAGGAACATGTCCCATGGGTGCTGAGGGACCTACGTGCACACACCTGCTCTTTGCCACCTTCTTCAGGCTCAGCACAGCACACGTCCTCCTGAGTCTGCCCAGGGTCTCCCAGGCCTAAGAGGTGTGCTATTGGATGGTGGGAATGGGACAGTTTTGGCCATCGTTAACCAGACTCAGTCATGCTCACTCTGATGTCATAGTACCTTTCTAGCATCCGTGTCCACTGTTGGCCTACCTACACCTCTGGGCCGGTGATGAGTTCACACCCACCCTGTACAGAAGTACAAGTGCTTCTTCTCATTTTTTCTGTAGTGACCTCCCCAAGGGAGACCCTTGAGTTTCCCTGTGATGGTGAGAGGGTCTGTGTCCTGTTCCTATTACAGCCACACCTCTGTATTTCCCAGACTTAGGAATCTTATCTTCAAAGGCTGCCACTGTGCCTCTGGCTGTTCCCACTGCTCCCCTGACCTCCTCCAGCTCCATGAGCCCTTCTTAGTAACAAGGCCTCCGGGGGCAGGTATGTGGCCAGGCAGGGGAAAAATGCTTCAGGTGGTGTGGCCCTGGGATACAGGGAGATAGGAGGAACACAGTCACAGGATTCACTGCTGGCACTAAAAGGCCCTCAGTGGCTTCAGGCCACTTATTTACAGGTGAGGAAACCAAGGCTAGGGAGGAAGAGACAGCTTACCCAAAGCTCTCCTAGGAGTCAAGTGTCTGGAATTCTGGCCTGAAATGTTGGTGTCTGCCCCTCCTTGGGGCACCCCAATTGTGTTTTATGTGGGAAGTGCTCAGAATGAAGCTCTATACTCAAAGCTGGGACGCACTGGCCCCTGAGCATGTTTCCAGCTCAGGCTATTGCTGTTACTGATTCTTTCCTACCCCTCTTCTGGGAAAGAGACAAAAACCCCAAATTCAGGTTTCTTCTCCCCCCAGCCTAAAGGCTAGAGAGGGTCGGCCATCCAATTGTCCCCATGGGGATTATCACTGGGAGACTCTGAAAGGGGGGGTCCCAGCTCAAGGTCAGCAAAGCTGCTCTCCCTGAGCAGTGTTTTACAGGGAGAAGAAGTGCCTGGCCCCAGCCTCACCTCCCGCTGAGATCCTGCCCATGTCACCCCCAGGAGAGACAATCAGGACAGACACCAAACGCAGAGGACTGCCAGACCTCCAACCCTTGGCACTGTGGACACAGCCAGCAGACTTTCTCATGCCTTTCTGTGTGGCCAGTCCCCTCAGGGTGCTGGGGAACTGGGTGAGGAGCAGAAGAATTGGGCAGGAGTTGGCGCAGGGGCAGAGGGAATACTGTTTCTAGCTGGGAGCCATGAATCTGCACTGCAAACCACCCTTTGGAAGAGAAGCAGACTGCACAGGCAGACAGAGGCAGCCGTCTGGGAGATGGAATGCGTGATGAGGCTGACACACACCCTGCCTCTTCTTCCTTCTCAGGAGGGGGCAGACTCAACCATGAGAGGATACCCAGGAGGCCTGGAGCTGGGGCCCGTCACGGTCCCTGGTTGGAATGCCTGGTTTGGGGGCAATTGTATCCAAGGCCCTCAGAATGGAGGCGGCTGAGGCCTAGAGTTGGGCTGCACAGCCCTGAGTGTAAAGCAACCTGCAGGCAGATGATTGACTAAGGAAAGCTCCTGGTGCTTTTTCTCTTCTGAGATGTGAGTCTCCTCTCTCCATCCCTTCCTCCTTCTCTCCCTTCCTCCTGCCCTCCTTCCTTCCTTTCTCCCTATTTCCCTCCCTCTCTTTCTGTCTTTCTTTCTTCCTTCCCTTTCCCCGCCTCCCCTTCCCTTCTTTCTTTTCCTTTCATACTTAACATGTGAACCAATGTGGTCACAGCCATCCTGGGCTGGGCCCCTCCTTTGCCCTATCCCTCGCAAATAGTAAGGACTGCGGGTGGATGTCGGTCATCCTTCTGGGCCGGTGCCCCCCACACAGCTGCTCCCAGAGAGCCAGTGAAAGGCACTGCTGTTGTCCTGACCACAGCTCCGCCCCTGCCTCAATGGTCTGGAGGCTTCAAACAAACTCCCAGCCACAGGGCCCCTCCCAGGCTGCTGATGAACCATATGGATGGGCTGTGGGCTCCAGCAGGGCACAGGCTGAGTGGTGGGGTAGGGGAAGGGAGATTTACTGCCATGGTGGGGTGAGGAGCTCCAGAGGTCATCCGGGCCACCCCCTGCCCCATGCAGAAGGTGCTTCCAGAGTCAGTATTTGACTGGGGGTGGGTGGGGGGAAGGGTGGTAATGACCATGGTGGGAGAGGAGGAAGGACCCCTGGGCTGGGGTGAGGCCAAAGAGGGAAAACAGGTTCCTCCTTTCCCTTCGAAGTTCCAGGTGTGGACTCCATACCCCAGGGGTTCTGATCTAGCTAAGAACAGGCAAGGCCAAAGGGCAAACATTGACTTAAACTTATCACCTTGACTGATTCAGGCCCATGTTCCATCGAGTTTCTGCTCAGCAATGAACTGCACGTTCACAGTCGTAATCCTTAGAGTGCCTGGGATTTTCTTGTTTTCTATGTTCCAGGAACTGCTTTCAATCCTGATATGCACTGTCTCATTTAGTACTCCTAACAACTCTAACGTCACCCCATCATGCAGATGAAGAAACTGACATACAGAAAGATCACTCACTTTGCAAAGGCACACAGCTTATAAGTAGTGGAGCTGGGATTTGAACCTAGGCAGGAATGCGGCTCCTGAGTCCAGGCTCTTGACAGTGCCCACCGCTGGGCTTAGACACTAAGAGCATCTGCTGAGTGAGGCTCAGGTTCAAACTGACCCAGACAGCCTGGATCCCCAGGACTAGGGACCAATCGTGACTTGGGAGGGAGGCTGAAAAACAGGCCTGAGGCTTGCACCCCCTCCCAAACGCCAGGAACAGGCAGACTGCTCCGCCGGCACCTCCCCTGTCTCCCTGCAGTGCTCTCTGAGCTCCTTCAGCTGGCTGGTTGGATCACTCACTGATGCTGTGCGGGGTCTGTACAGGTATATCCAGCCCTGCAAAGGAGGAAGAATGATGGGCTTTGGGATGAGGGAGAACCTCAAGGATCTCGGATGAGTGATTCAAACTCTCCTAGCCTCAGCTTCCTTATTCATAAACCCTGGCGGGGTTGCTGTGAGGATGAACCTACGTAAGTCTCCAGCCAAATGGGTGGGGGCAGTGGTTCTCAGCTGTGGCTGCATGTTGGGCTCACTCGGGAAGCTTTAAACAATGTTGATGCGGGGGTCCTACCCATAAGATGGTGACACAATTTGCTTGGGGCATAGCCTGGGCATTGGCATTTTCCAAATCTCCCCAGGTGCAGCCAAGCAAGGTACCCCATAGAAATTTGGTAAATGGCAGCTGTTGATACTGTTTACCAAAGGCACGGAGGTCAGAGCTAGTTCATGGCAAAGCCAAGCTCACAGCCTGGTTTGGACTCCCAGGGAGTCTGTTAAGAATCCCCAGATCCCTTCCCCTGGGTTTGGTCTCTGGGGAGTCTCACTTTTGAAAGCCTTTTGCTTTCCTTGATGGTCTTGTGGCTGGGTCCAGCTCTTCCGCCCATTTCAGAGGAAACTGTGAACTGTCTTCAGGTAGGCAGGGGGCAGGTTTCTGTAGGATGCCTGACTGCAGGGGTGGAAATGCTCCCCAGCCTGAGATGTGAGGAGTTCCTCCAGCAGTGCAGGCCGCAGTGGTGGGAGCCTCATGACACATCAAGGCCATCTAGCCTATTTTGTGAAACGGCATCCCAAGTCAGGTTTCATTTCTGCAAATTATTTTTCTAATTTTGTAGCCACTTAGAGCAACCACAGCTGAGTTTCGGTTTGGAGCCTCTAAGAGTCAGAAACGTCAATAGACTGTGGTTCCTTCTGCCTTTCTGTGAGCTTTTCTTCATGAAAGAAAGAGAGGGAAGGAAGGAGGGAAAAGAGAGAGGAAGGAAGGAAGGAAAGAAAGAAGGAAGGAAGGACAAAAGAGAAGGAAGAAGGAAGATGGGATGGTAGGAAAAGAGAAAAGAAATTCACCCTAGTGCCTGTTTTTTCCAGAAACAAAGAACTAGAGGCAAAACTGGCCAGAGTGCAAAACTCCATGCTCACGCATGCAGCAAGGCTGAGGGCTGGGCTCTCCCGGGTTTGCTTCTCAGGAACTAGGGGGAAGATGTCTAATGTGGCCATTCCTGGGAGTGTGGATGACAGCGAGGGTTTCCTCCAGCATGTGTGAGAGGAGTTATTCACATGTACACGTGCATGAATGTGCATACATGTTTCTCTGCCCAGCGGTCCTCCTGCTTGTGGTGCTGATGCATGTTAACTGCTCTACAGGTAGTCCCCCCACCTCTCTCTCTGTCTCTCTCTTTTTGCTGACCACTCATGGATCATCCCCTGACCCTTAGGCCCCACTGCCACAGAGTTGAGGCTGCCCACACCTCTCCTGGCTCTCCCAGGAGGCTCCAATAGGACACCCCCAGTGGGGTGCTTTGCTCCTCCCAGGGTCCTTATCCTGCCCTCCTCCATCCTGCTGCAGAGAGAGAGCCAAAGATGCCAACCAGGAGACATCACCTCCATCCTTACAAACCTTTGGTGGTGCCCCAGAGACCAAAGGGTATGGTCCCTCCGACCAGGTAGGGCAAACAGTGCCCCTCCCAAGCTGGTTCTGGCCCACACTCTCTCCTCCCACCTCAGCCCCCAGTGCACACTATACTCGGGAACAACCCCTTCTTTTGCTGTACATGATTCTTGTCTGCTTCTTGCCTCTGCTCATGCTCCTGTATTCGCCTAGACAATGCCCTTCTGCACGTTTCTTTGTTTGGCACCCCCAGCCCAGGTGCTGGGACTCAGGCCTGTGTTCCTCTCTCTGTGAGACACCCTCATGTGAGTTCTCTCTCCTCTCGATGCTCGGGGCCGTCTGGGTGTGCCGCGATGACAGCACCTAGCATGCTGGTCTGGAGTTACTGGGTACTGTCTGCATTCCCCACCAGATTAGGAGATGCCCAATGGCAGGAGAGGGGACCTCCTTTTCCATTTTTCCACCATCTCGCTGCCTGGAACACAGCACATGCTCAGCTGATAAATGAATGAATCTTGGTGTGGAAAAGGCCATCCCCACTAGAGTGCACATGGAGCAATGTAAAGATGTGTGTGAGATAGGGCAGGGGACTGGAGGTTTGGTGGCCCGTGTGGGTAACAGCATACGTGTGGACGCTACGTAAGGCTGGAGGGAGTGAGTGCTGACTGGGTGCCTCTGGGGCTCGGTGGACTGGGGTCAGAGGGCGGTGGTCGGCAGGCAGCGCTTGCCTGGAGGCAGCCTCCGCAGGTTTCCCCCGGCCTACGGGATGGTGGCAGCCTGCGGCAGACAGCAAAACACTGAATTCCCAGCCACGTGGGAGGAAGTGTCTCCAGCCGAGAGGATAGAGGAGGTGGGGTGGGGTGGAAATCCCAGGTGTAAAGATGAACTGGCAGTTCAAGCTGCAAGTTACTGTCAGGGTGAGGCATGCAGCCCCAGGGTCGGAGGCCTCCCCAGGCTGTACCCCACACACTCAACAGTTCCTCTTATCCCCGGGCTCCTCAGTGCCAGGAGAGCTGGGTATCCAGGTGAACCGTGCTGTTCTGGAACCAGAGTCCTGAGCTCCAAGATTTATTGGACTGGTAAAATTTGAGGGTTGCCCACATTTTATTTTGCTAAGCATTTTTTTTTTTAAAGCTTCATCCGTCATATCATAAAAGAAAGGACAACTTAATGCCAATATGGTAGGAAGGATGCAATCTCAGAGTAGTAGCCAGTCCTTCCCAGAAAGGGCAGTCGACGACTTTTCAAGTCATTCCATACATAAGCCGTGCTGGTGCAATGTAGACCAGCTGTGGTTGGTGGACTGGCCCCTGGGAGCCCCCCAGCTAGGCCTCCCAGGTGGTCCAGACCTGTGGTGGCCTACATGGGACCCTGTGTCTAACAGGCCTGGATCCCAGTTGCTCTTCCCAGCTAAGACATCAGCCTTTCCCAGATAGGAAGGGAGGGACAGTACACCCTGTCATTCACTAAAGGTTAGGACCCAGGACAGGTAAATGTTAATTGGAGATGAAGGAGAAAAACATCTGTAATCTGGGGTGTTCTGGGAAGCCAGGCCTGGGCAGGGGAGAAGGGTCTACAGGCGAAGCTCCCCACTTCCCACTCCTGCCCCATGGGCTCTCTGAGTCTGGTGGCTTGGTAGCCAGTGGAGTGGGGGTGGGTGGTGGCAGCTGCCCCGGGCCACAGGCGTGGGCATTCCTCTTCTAAGCTCCACACTCACACTCAGCCCTGTTTATAAGGCACAGGAGCCAAGGAGTCTGTGTGGCCCCGCCAACTCAGCCCGGAGGCCCAGAGGAGGGAACCCAAGCCGAGGTTGGACTGAACCACATCTCATGCCAGCCCCAGGACCTGTCCGCCTGCAGCTTCCCAGAGCCTCGGGCACCTGACCTGTGGCCCTGTGGGTGCACTGAGGGCCTGGGATCTGGGCCAAGGAGGGGAAAGCGAATGCTGAGAAGGCCTTGTGGGTGGGTGGCATTCATGTCCCCTGGGCGCTGCACGCTTTAAATAGCTCAGCTTCTCTCCCGCTCACAGTCTTGTCACCCCTGCCAGCTCCTGCCTGAGTTTCCACATCAGAGAGGGCTGATTTCCAGGTCAGGATGGGGAGCGGGTGGGGGGACAGGGGGACCTGGCTTCCTTGGGTGGCAGAGGCTCAGGAGAGGAAAACAGAGTGCTGCCCCCATCCCTCTGCAATCAGTGGGACTTTATGCTCCAGGCCAGGCAGGGGCCCTGGAGCTTGATGGGCAAGGGGCTTCATATGGCTTCCCCTGTCTCCCTGGAGAAGTCCATGCCCAACCCAGGCCACCTTCTACTTGAATCTGCAAGCCCATGACCAAACACCCCCACCCAGAGAGCTCTTGGACTTCACCCTCCACGCCTGCCCTGGGTCCTGGTTCTGGCAGGGCTCACTTGGCTGGGCCCGTGACCCACCCCTGCCTCCATGGAAACTTCTGGGTCCCTAAGTCTTGATCCTACCCACCCCACCCTCCTGCCCACCACTCAGCACCTAGTTCATCTAAGGCAGGTCTTTAATCAGCAGCCCCAGCCCCTGCTTCAAAGCAGTTTGAATCAGTACAACTCTTTAACATTTACGTGGCACTTTACAGTTTACAAACTATTTTCACGTCCTTATTTCATGCGTGCTATGCAGAGCAGTTATAAATAATCCCCATTTTACAGCCAATGAGACAGAGACAGCCAGAAATATTAGGGGAAGTATCCAAGTTCATATGTCAAATTAGTGGTACAATCCAGACCGAAACCCAGGCCTTTTACCGCACTAAGAATGCTTCCTCTCCTGCCCCCATGCCCCCTCCCTTTTCTACTGTTTGACAAGGGGGAGAGGAGGGGAGACTAACACAAGACAAGGGGAGGAGAGGGGAGGGCCACGTGTCTTCTCTCCCAGGCCCTGAACCCTGCTGCTGGCTCCATAGGTCACTTTCACAACCCAGAACAAAAATCTCGCTAGATATGGCCTCAGACCGCCCGGCTCCAGCCACCCTCGCCGGCAGACGCATGCAGATACACAGAGAACGGGCTGTTATCTCTCCTCTCCAGCCCGTTTCCTCCACTTCTCAAACAGCAGATTTCTTCCAGCCTGGCTGCCTCCCCTGGTCACCACCCACAGCCACTGGCCCCTGGGGCCCGGCCAAATCCCCCGCACCCTCTTTGCCCTAGACTGTGACGCCGAGTCTCTGCTAATCAGACAGTCGCCTCTGCCCTCCCAGCCGCCGCCCCCAGAGTTCCCTGGAAATGTCCCTTCTGCAGGCCCGGCCCCCGCTGCGGCGCACGGCTTTGTCTGCACACACAGCTGACTTGTGTTTGCAGGGACAGACAGGGGCTGGCGCTGGGGCCGGAGCCAGGAGGCACTAGGAGGGTAGAGCAGATGGGGAAAAACACAAAGTCCAGAGGACAAACTTTTGCAAGCAAACCCTTTGGGGTCATTTGGGAGCCTGACAACAAGAAGAGGGGGGCTCACAAAGCCAGAAGCTCCGTGAAGGCAGGGATGGGGGGGTCTTCGCCTTCTGTGACTCCCCCAGCAAACATATTGGCTTGCTAGTCTTTTGCGATCTGAGTACAGGAAAAATCATGCCAGCTAGGAGGGGATGGGATGACAGAGGAGTCCAGGGAGAGAGGGAGGGACAGATGGGCCTCCTGAGGCTATCAGCACGCCCCCCTCCTTAAGCCCTACCCCTGCACTCTGCCCTGCTAGGTACACAGAAGGAGATCCATAAATGCTGGTCATGCTGAAATGGCCTCTGGCCATCTTGCCCCTGTGGGGCCCTTATTCCACTGGCTCCCCAGCACGCTGCCTCTTGTGTGCGGACCGGCAGGAGGGAAGCCTGGGAGAGTGGCTGAGACAGCCCAGCACACCATGCATGCATCTTGATGCATGCTACATGAAAGGATCCCCCTTTATCAGGCAGAGAACCCAGTGTCCACAGTGCCCCGCCAAGCTCGCAGGGAGGGACACGCATGAACCGACGCGGCAGAGGTGCGTGTGCCACGTGCTGGATAAAGTGTCCCTCACCCTCCCACAGTCTCCCTCCAGCCTTTGCAGTTTTGAGCCTGATTTTGAACTAACACCGGGACACCGAGATGACGGGGTCATGATAAATCAAGTTGTATGGGGGTGGGAGGAGTTTTTAGCTTTTGTTTTGAAAGGCATAGCAGCACAGTGAAGAAAGCGATTTACAAGGTGGCTCTTTCTCCGGGTAGCACTCTGGGCTGTGTGCTGAGGAAAGCTTAGAAGGGTTTCTAGAGGACTGAGCAACCCAGGCTGCCTTGGCTCACACCCCAGGGTCCTCACTTCTTAATCATTTAGTGTTAGAAATGACATAGCGCACAGGCTCTAGTTTTTTTTCCTCTCTCCCTCTCCCTTTTTTTCTTTGCAGGCTTGGCCTCTTACACTTAGTGATCTGTAAGGAAGGGACCAGTTAAAGGTGCCATCACCCTTCCTCCAGCCTAGACAGGCAACGGAGGTACACAGCCTCATCTGAGACACAAGCTGCTTCCTTAGGACTTCTGCTGCTGGAACCTGTCATGGGAGACTCTGCCACCTGACCTCCGGGGCTGCATGCAGATGGTGCTCACAGATGCCCATACCCCACAGACCAGGGCCCACCTTCACCCAGAGCTGCAGCCTCCAGCACCTAGGGCTGCCAAGTGGAAGCAAAACATACCGATCTAAGTGGTCTTCTCTTTGCATTCACGAATCATGAAGGTGGTGGGTTGGAAACCAGCCCAGTGGGAAGGAAGGACATGGAGAAGTCTTGTCCCCCTTGGGAGGACAAGGAACCATTCTTCTGTCTGTCTGCAGCTTGGTGGAGACTCTCCCCCACCCCCGGCAAGACAGGAAAGGAGGCAGCAGACCCAAGCCCGCTGCTAAGCGCTGGCCGGGAAGCTGTCTCTCAATTCTTTTGGTCATAAGATGGCAGTGGGGAGAGCCCAAGGCCTGGCCTGTGGGGAGGAGGCTCTGAAAGCATGGCCACCTAAATGGCATGTTTCTTATCTCGTTTCCCTGTCACCTCTCCTCAGCCTTATAACTGACCCCCTCCAGATGCACTCCTGACCAATCAGGGCATGCAGGTGGCAGTGTGTTCTGAGGAGACAGAGTGTGGGGTACCAGGGACTTGGCTCCAGTTCTGTCTGTCACTGACCAGCTGCGTGACTTGACGTATACCTCCTAAGCTCTCTGGAACTTTCTTTCCCCATGTATAAAATGGGGCTGTTAACCCCCACCCACAAAGGTCTAAGGGATACTTATGGCCCACAGTGTATGCATACAGCTGGTATCCAGCCAGTGACTGCAGAGAGCTGGCCCAATGGCAAAGGAGGAGTAACTGGTGTTCCTGTTGGACCCCTGACAGGAACCCCCAGACATGAGCGACACCAGTCAATGTTGTGTTTATACTAACACCATCGTCCCCACCATTCAAGCCTCATCCACCCAAAGGAGGCAGGTATTATCTATTACCCCAGTTTATAAATGGAAAACTGGGGCCCCGAGAGGGAAAACCACTTGCCCAGGCCACACAGCTACGAAGTATTAAACTTAGGATTCAAATCGGGGCTGTCCAGATCCTGTACTCTCAGTCAGGGCTGAAACAGCTTTGTGGCATCATTGTCAGCCAGAACAAAAAGAAACAAACTGTCATTCTGGGCTCCCCAGGGACCAGCGCGACCTGCTGGACTGATGTGTCCCGATGCGGTGCTAGTGAGAATGCCCCCAGAACGCCTCCAGTTCTGGGGTTCAGGGAGCACTCCCAACCCAAGGTGCTCACCTCCTGGCTGCTGGCATTTCAATGAAGTGTAGTACTCCATGCCCATCCTCACCGCCACCTCAGGCCCCTGGACACCCCCACCACCTCTGCCTGTTACCTGCTTCACAGTCCCACGGTGGTTGATGGGAGAGGCCTTCCTGGCTCAGGGGTAGAAATCAGAAATGGGGTGCCCAGGGCACACCATGAACTACCCCTTCTGCCAACATGCCCAGAGGCTGAACGGCCATCCCCTGGCCAGGTTCCCCTGGTACAAACCCCGGATGAGAGTCCCATCGATGAAGATAGACCAGGGACCTTTTCTACCAAAAGGGAATGCCTGTGGCTTTCCCCGGTGCATTTTCTGGGGGATTGAATGCTTGTTCTAAGTTAGCTTGTGACTGACCTGCTCACATCCTCCCCTGCACTCCTGCAGACCTGGGGCTCCCGCCTCCTGATTGATAAATGACATACCCTTTGAACAGCTAACATTTCTGAATGAATAGCTAAAATAAGGAAGTAACTACAATAGAATCGACCCCATTTTTCTACCTGGCTCCTTAGAAGATGGCTGAGAATGCCCTCCTGGCTCAGGCTCCCATGCTGTGCACAGACATTTTTTCTAGAATTCTGAGGCCCTGTGGGCTGTTTGCCTTCTACTTTAGGAACATCCTAACGGGTGGCTGCTAAAAAACCCCAAGAGGAATCCTCACAGAATGTTCCATAAAACATACTGCAATGACCACAGGGGCCCCAGGCGTGGGACCAACAAATTGGCGGTGTTGAAACAGTGACTCTACGGCTGCCCACTGCTGGTGACTCAAGGCATGCCTGTTTCCGGGTCCAGGCAGGTGTGGAAGGAGCTGACACCCCACACGGAAGCCCCTTTGCCTCTGTACAAGGCTACTGAGGCCAGATGAGGCTGCGGCCTGCTCTCTGTCCCACCGCCCCATGGCCTGCCCTTGACCCTGGCTGCAGTCCCTCTGTCCACCCCTACTGCATGGGAGAAGCCTGTTGACAGCCAGGGCTCTTCCCACAACCTCTTCCTGCTGTTTGAGAAAGAACATAAACAACACTAGACAAACCAATGCATTTTAAGAAAATGCAGCCTCAGCTGGTTGATACTCATTCGTTCCTAAGGGCAGCTGGGTCTCTGGGCAGGCACTGTTCCCAGGGAATCCAGGACCCATGCTCTGTCCTCCTTCTAAGCTACCTGAGACCTCGGTGGCCCTCCTGTGGCCTCCAAGAGCCCTGGTTGTCTTGGGTATAAAATGGGAATGAGTACTACACTGGCCCGTTTTGGAGGTCTGGAGGGGACCCTTGCTGTGGGTTCTAGTCCAACTCTCAGCCTGAGGTTTCTGGACTCAGGGCTGGGACCCCAAGGGGTCTGAAAATTGCACATAGGAGGGTGGCTTGGTGGCGGTCACCATCATATAGTTTAAATCTTCCCTGTGGGACAGCCCCCAGGATGCCAAGATGCTGGGAGGTGGCCGCAGGCAGGAAGGGCTGGCCTTGCACACTGGTGCCCCCTGCAGGCCGCCCTGCCCACCCAGCAGGTGCTGCCGCCAGCACACACAAGCCAAGCAGGCCCCAGACTCTGTAAATGGGGCCAGGCGGGTGGGAAGGAGCCGGCCAGACCCGCCGGGTGGGGAGAGTTGGGGATGGGTCCTGCTCTGCACTGGTCAACCCGCTAACCAATCAGTCAGCAACAGGCATTTTAGCAGGCACCCTCTGTTTGCCTAGCGCATCTGCTTTGGGATAACAAAGCTGGAAGGAATGTCTGAAATGACTTCTAACCTCTCCATGTTTTATGGGTGAGGAAGCCACCATCAGGGTAGAAGGCCTGGCCTGAGGTCGCCCAGCCAGGGAAAGGCAGGGCTGGGGCTCCCCACCGGATCTCCTGCAGCCCAGAGCACCTCCTCCCACGCCGAGCCTTTAAATCCTCAGCTTCTGGTTCCCTGTTTGGGATAAACAACTGCCAGATTGCAGACAGAGCAGCTCCCATCTTCTCTTCCCACCCGCAGTGGGTTCCAGCCTCTCCCTAGTCCTAGACCTCCTTGCAACCTTCACAGGCTCAAGGCACTTGAGGGGCTGTGCGAGGCAGACAGAGGTGCCACAGGCTCTGCTGGAGAGGGCCTGGTGCCTGGCTGGGGAGACCTGACCCACAGACCACACCCGACCCAGTGCCCTCGTTTCCCCTATGGGGATGCTGAGGCTCAGACGGTGACATTAGTTGAGGGGCTGGCTTCAGACTTTCTGCCTCCTGCTCCACCACTTGAGGGAGGGGAGGAAAAGGGGCTTCTGCAGAGGGGAGTGAGGTGAAAGCAGCAAGTGTTGCTGTGCAGACCCGCCCCATGGCAGCCTCCTGCACAACCCTGCTCTGGCTCCTGCAGAGCTCCTGGGGGTGGCATCATGCTCCCCCTCCCCCACAGCGAGCACTGCACCTCTGTGCCTGGTTGGGCGGTGGGCGCCCATCTCCATATAGCTCTGGAAGCAGCTGGTGCACAAAGAGGGGCTGGTTGGGGCACATGGGGGCATATGGAGGTGGGCATCCCTACCCTCTCCTACAAGGCAGTAACCTCACCAGGGAGGGGTGGCGGGTATCTTCTGGCCTCAGATGCCAGGCCCTTGGTGCCACACCACCTGCCTCAGCAAAACCCCAGGGTTCAGAGGCCCTGGAGCCTGGCCAGGGTCGCAGATTCAGCAGCCCACTCTGCCACCTGCAAAAGACGGCCCAAGGCTGGCAGGAAACTCACGCCTCTTGAGGTAGAAGTTTTAGTTTTGGATGAAAATATGGTCTTGGCCTGAAATGGCAAGAAGCAGGCGCCAGCAAAATGAACGGGCCAGTGTGGTTACAGTGACCTGGGGTCACGGCCCGGCTGGGCAGCCTCAGCCCTGGGCTTGCTGATTGACACCCTCCGCCAGGCTGGCGGTACCTCCTTCCCCAATCCTCCTCTGCAACCCCCAGTCCCTCAAAGGGTCCTGCCACTTACAGATCCTCTTGTTGTCTTCCTTCCACCCAGATCCTGCCTCTTCCTTCATGCTTCCTCCTCCAGGAAGCCTTCCTCAACCTACTCCACTTACAGGGCTTGCCCCTTCCTCTGATGTTCCTAAACTGCCCTCTGGCTGAGCTGGCCCTGCCCCCCTTTATGTGTCAGGCAGAGGCCAGTGCCTGTTTCACTGGGGTTTCACAGTACTGAGCTCAGGGAACCCTGTGGGGCCTCCAGGCCAGTCCCAGGGCCCCTTGGAGAGCTTTCCTTGTGGCTGGATCCTGGGCTGTCTACAGTGCTGCACCCAAACCTCAAGTCCTACTGTGCCGGGGGCCCCTGGACTTGTGGAAGAATCTCTGCGTGGGCATCTCATGGCGCTTTCCCTGCCTGGGACCTCCCCTAAGAACCTTGAATGAATGGAATCATCAAAAGGAAAAGGAAAAACATGCTGCTATGAAATTCACAAGTTTCTCCTGGAGGAGGAGTCTTAAGGGAACACAGGTAAAAGTCAGGCATTTCAGTGGATTTTAACAATGATAATGTCAGTGCAGTAGGCAGGAGGAGGAGATGGGTATTATGACCCCATTTAACAGAAGAGTAAGTGTAGGGCTGCCACGCTTGAGATCCACCCAGAGTCAACCAGTTGCATGGCGCCACAACTAGAGCCAGGGGGAGGTGGCTGGCTCTTGGCCGCTTGAGTTATTTCTTATGCCACAGGTGGTAAGGCATTAAAGGAAGGGTCTATGGCAGGGAAGGCTGATTCCAGGTGACTGTGCTTCGAACCCCACTTTAGAGATATTACTCCCCTTGCCACATTTTTTTTTTTAATACTCAGAATAATGCAATGACGGTTGCCTAATGGGGTCCATGCTAAGTATGGGTCCAATATGTGGCGCTCCAATACGCAGCTGCTCAAGAATGCACTTATTCCGATTATAGCTATTCACCAGCTTTAGCTGGAGTCTGGCTTTCCCCAAATACCTCCTAAGCTACCCCCTTCTTTCGTATGGCCTTTGCTCTACGGAAAACTGGGAGGCAGGGGCATGACATGGTGACGTGCTGGCTCCCAAGCCCTCTCTGCTTAATGGGTCTAGGTGTGAATGACCTGGGTGCATACAGACTTCTCTGGAATACACTTGGTCTCAGGCTCGGCACTGTCAAGGGGGTGCTGGAGGGGGGACGATTTTGAGCATGCCTGTCCTCATACTTCAAAGTGGCCTGAAGCTTCTCTCACTCTGGGACCTGGGATCTGTCCTGGAAGGGCCAGCAGAGGGTTAAGGGAGGGTCGTTCCCTGCAGGTTCCTCCCTGTCCCCCCCAAAGAGGCCGCTGTTTTTCCCTGAAGACTCAGAGCTCTGCACCCTGATACCGAGTGAAGGCCTTTAAACCTGAGCTCTAGGTGGGAGGCAGTGAGGCACTCTGGCGGTGTACAGGGACCCCTTATTCTAGGCTCTGGGTTTCAAGGGCAGAGCCATGCTGAGCCAGCATGACGCAGACTCCCTGTGCCCATGGTTCTGCTTCTGGTCGAGTGTATCCGCCTCTCCTGGACAGAGGGGCCCAGAGAGGGAAGACCTAGAAGTAGGAAAAGCTGGCCTTTGGGCACACCATGGGTTTAAATTGCTCACATGATGCCGATTGGCCTCAGAGTAACCCAGGCACTGATGGCTGCCCCTGCAACAGCGCCTCCCTTCCATGCACTGCGCCGTGCACTCTGTGTGTTCCTGACCTCTTGGTGGCTGTCTGGAGGGGAGCTGGGGAGACCTCTGTCTCCGTAAGGGGGCCTGCTCTTTATCTAGACAAGGTGGAACCTGGCCACCCTGAACACTGTGGGTATAAATACTCTTAGAGCGGAGGGTTGAAGGCCAAGTGTGGCATTCCTGCTGGCTGTTGAAAGAGTTGTCCTGTCATCTCCTCTTCCTGTTCCTCTCCCCCTCTGTCCCCTCAACTCCCTTCTGGTTCATTATAGGCATCAGAAACGCAGCTCAGGCAGGTTGGTATGGGCGAAGGGCAACAAGGAGATAAGCCCACAGCAGCATGGTGAGGGGCACCAGGGCCGGGGGTGGGGCACCCTGTGCGGAGTCTCTATCCATTCTTCCTATCAGCGGCCCACAGGCCAATGTTAGGGGCCCTCTCTGGAATGCAGGCTATGTACCCCTGGGGAAGCCTGCTCACCCAGGGGCTCTGGTTCGAAGATGCCCACTGACTTGTCCCAGAAGCTCTTGGAGCCCACCATGGCACTTACTGAAGGAAGGGGACCAGCGCTAGGGGAGCACAGTTCCCCATGGCAGGCAACCCCAGCTCCTGGCTCTGGCTGGTGGGGGTGGTGGTGGAAATGCCACAGTTCCATGTGCCAGGGGCCAGAGAGCAGGATCCTGAGAGTAGGGCAGGGAAATGAGGCCTGCCATCACAGCTCAGGTCTTTGAGGGGCAGGCTTAAGCCTGGATATGCTCCCTCTCCACAAGAGACCACGTGGCTACCTAGAACCCCTGGTTCTCTGATGTAAAACATCTTTAAGTCCAACATCCTATGACCTATCAACATGTCTTCATGGCCTCTTTCAACCTCTCCAGGCCTCAAGTCTCTCAACTGTAATACGAGGGGGTTGGACTGGATGATCTATAGATCCTTCCTGCAAGTCTACACTGGTCTATGATTTTTAATTGATCCTGGAACTCTACATCTCAAGAACCCACAATGGCTCCCTGAGTCCCACTTTATAAAGTCCAGATCCTTCTGCCTCTTAGTCGGTCCCCCTTATAGACTTCCTCCAGCTCTCAGCTGAATTTCAGTAAGGCAGTGTCCTTATTGTCCCTCAGTTGTGTCATTTCTTTGGCTCTTGGTTCATGATATTTCCCCCATCAAAAACACCCTTCCTGGAAACAGTTTGGCAGATACTCAAAAAGCTAAAGATAAAATTTCCATATGATCCAGCAATTCCACTTCTAGGTATATACCCCAAAGAATCAAAAGCAGGGACTCAAACAGATATTTGTGCATGCATGCTCCTATCAGCATGAATCACAATAGTCAAAAGGTGGAAGAAAATCAAGTGCCCATTGACAGATAAATGGATAAACAAAATGTGGTATAGACATAAAATGGAATATTAGTCAGCCATGAAAAAGAAGGGAATTCTGACACATGAATAAACCTGGAAACCATGATGTGAAGTGAAATAAGCCAGGCACAAAAAGAAAAATATTGTATGATATCCCATGTGTGCTATTTGTAGAGTGGGTGAATTCATGGAGATGGAAGATGGAGGGGAGGCATTGCTGTAGGGGAGTTATTGCTGTAGGGGAGTTATTGCTGTAGGGGAGTTATGGTGGGTACATGGCTTTTGTTTGGGGTGATGAGAGGGTTTGGTGGGGTGCCGGGGGATGGTCATGGGCATTGTCCAACATTGTAGGTATGCGGGGTACTGCTGAACTGTGCACTTAAAACTAGTTCAGATGGTGAATTTTATGGTATATTTTACTGCAATAATAATTTGCCAAAAAGAAAAGAAAAGAAAAACAGTAACAAAGCTGTCCTGCCCTCTTCCTCCTCTGTGGCCACTCCCTCCCGCTAGGTTTAGCTCTCTTCTTGCTATAATACTGGGGCAGGCCTCTGAGCTCCTTAAGCATTTTCAGGAAACACCTTGGCGCCATGCACAGGCTGGTTCCAGAGGAGGACCTCAGATAACGCAACACTATTTTCTTCCTTTTGAAAGAGTGACCCTCTGTGGTCTCCTTCCTGCCCAGGGGCCACTGCTCTCTCTTGGTAGTGGCTGGGAGCCTCCCTGGGGAGCCAGGGACAGGGCGGTGAGCAGTTACATAACCCGCAGGGAGATTTTTTCCATCAGCCCAGGCGGTGCCAGCTTTCCAGCGGCAGCCACGGCAGGTAGAGGCGCCCTGTCTGGGCCGGCCGTGCCCGGGCAGGGCAGAGATGCTGCGATCTGGAGCCGCTTAGCATAGCTCAGATTCCCCGCGGCGGCTGGGGGCCGGCCGCTCACAGAGCTGGGGGGAAGGATCTGCTGTCTCCTGCCTGCCTGGCTCCGGGGAAGGAGGAGGAGGAGGTGCTGGGGGTGAGCTGCCAGCCAGCCAGGGGTGACCCTCTGGGGCCTGGGACACCCGAGCTGGCCTTCTCCGGTAACCCACTTATCTGCAGGGCCTGCTTCGGCGTGGCAGCCTCAGACAGGGCAGTGCCCGGCCAAGTTCTATCAGGGGATTTAGCAGGGAAAATGAACCCTGGGTGGGGGGTGAGGGCATGCAGGGAAGGGGACACGGTCTGGCAAGGGACACGGGTGATGGTGAAATAATTCCTGACCTGGGTAAAGCTCTCCTGGCCCAGAAGCGAGAGGGAGAAAACCCCAGGCCATTCCCTTTTGTGGCTGTGGCCTGTGCTATTCCCATGCCTGCCTATCCATGCTCCTTCCTCCCCAGTGAAGGAAGCTCCTGGAGCCAGCCAGCTGATGCCTGATGAATACCTTGTGGGTACCAGTATGGTGGTGGGACACAAAGATGACCCAGACGCATTCTTTGCCCCAAGACATCCACAGATACAAGTCTCAGATAAGAAAAGCTTAAACAGGGGAGCCCAGAAGACTTCATGAAAGGGACACATGGTAAATGTTCAAGAGTCAGAGGAAGGTGAGGTCCCTGGGCTGGGAGATCAGGGAAGGTTTCCTGGAGGAGGCAGATTTGACTAGGAGGAAGAGTACACCTGTCAATCCTGGGCCCACCGCCCAGGAAGACAATAGTCTAAAAGCACTCATTGCCTGCCCTCATTGTTCCACATTTAATCAGCGTAGGGGGGGGAAATGGAAATGCTGCCCAAGACTGAGGCATGGGGTGGTCTTTGGGAATCTAGGATGGGATAAAGTTAGAAGGGCCTCCCAGTTCATCCCACCAGGGCAGGGCACCCACACTGATGGAGCCATCCGAGTGGTGTGGCTCAGAGCTGGGGTCCGTGCATGCATTACCTCATTTAAGCTCTACCACAACCCAATCATCCCTTGCAGGACGGAAACGTGGGTGCAGAGACATGTTTTAAATGCTCAAGATCAGCATCGAGGCAGCAATCGATGCTACTGCACAGGTTTGCTACTCCTCAGGCCTCAGCGTTGCTGCCTCAGGGCAAGAAATCCTGTCTAGAGAAATGAGATTCGGGGGCACGACCCACACCTGTCTGCTCCAGATGGCCCAGCTGACCTGATTCATGAAGCTGCAGGCTGGTCTTGCTCTCCCCTCCTGAGCCACCCACGCTCCTAACAACACAGGGCAATGGCCACTTTTCACGGGAAAGGAGTGACTTTTGTCCAAGGCTCCCTCAGCCTCTGCACATCTAGAGTCTCTGACAAGGCCTGCAGTAGACTGCCCATGAGACTTGTAAAAGCCCATGCCGTGCACAGAAAGGCACTTTGGGCTTTCTCAGGAGCGGGGCTCTCTGTGATTTTGAAGAACACAGTAGTGGCGCAGTGGCGCAGTGGCACAGTGGCGCAGTGGCAAAGAGGCAGGAAGCTGGGCACTTGGTTTTGCAGGAAGCTCACTGGTCCCTGGGGGCCTGGGGCAGTAGTTGGCACAGCAGCAGCACCCAGGCCCCCCTGATGATATGATGACTGGACACCTGGCATGCTGCTGTTCTGGGCACTTTCCAGGACTGGCTGAGGATCAGTGGTCATTTTCTTTCCTCGCTTATTTTCAGATTCAAAAATCAAAATGCTTGTTTATGATCCGGTCATCGGCTGCTCTGTCTCACTGAGCACTTCAAAGCTCCAGAGAGAACCACAGGCTTAGCACTCCTGGAAGCCACATGTTCCCCCGCCCCACCCAAACTGAACAGTCAGGGCGATCTGGTCTAAGCACTGACATTGAGGTATCCCACCTGGGTCCTTGAATGCAATGCTTAAGATTTGCACAAACAGATTGAAAGACCACAGTGGAGGGCAAATGAACAGAGACATACAGGACCTGCCACAGTGCATGGTATATAGCAGGTGCTCAATAAGCGTTGAGAAGAAATAAAGATTGGAGAAAAGCAGGTCATATTTACTCATCCCAAAGCAAGTGCAGACAACAAGATTGGCAACGAGGCACACGGCTCCTATCCACTGTGGCTCTGGCCGCAGGGGCAAAGAACATGGATAGGAGTCAGGCATTGGCTCTTCCTGTTGGGGGAGCCCAGGGCTGCCACAGAATCCTGGGCAGGGGTCAAGCTCCTGTGACTGCTGGCCTCCTGTGATGCCAGGCCAGCCTGACGAGGCCTGTTGGTGCCCACCTTCAGGGAAATGTGTGTGCCAACTCTGCATGTCCCTTGCAGGGCACGGGCTTCAGCATGGGGACAGATGGCCCACAGGGGGCAGGGCGGGAGCTCAGATGCCAGCCATTTTTAGAAAAACAGCCCTTTTCTGGGCTTTTGCAAGCTTCCGTGCAGCCTGCCCACGGGGAAAGCGGCTTGCACTGCCTCTGGCCCTTTGCTTCAGCCTTTCTGATTTCTAGCAACTAGTGGAGGGGAGCTCGATGTGGGTATGGCCAGGGCTTTTGCTCAAGCTTTGGAATGCACAGAACAATGTGCTTCTATCCCTGGGTGTGCCTGGCTTGGGCCAACATTAAAATTAGTTTACATGCCTGGAGTGCACATCGGCTCAGCGGTGGGTGTGCAGAAATGAGGGAGGGGGTCTGAGAAGAGGGAGAGGATGCAAGGAGGAGATGGGAACTGGGGCCAGCAGCCTGTGTGGTTTCACAGGGACTAGGGCGAATGGAGAGTGCAGGGGTTTCTTCAGGTACCCTTGACCTCCAGAGGCCCAGAAAGCTCAGAGACTCAGCGACCCCTGGAAACACAGTGGGATTATTCCACAGGGTGGATTTTGAAATCCCAATTGATGACTTCCTGAGATGGATTCTTTTTTGTTTTTTAGAGTCTCACTCTGTCGCTCACACTGGAGCGCAACAGCAGGGACCTAGCTCTCTGCAGCCTTGACTCCTGGCCTGAATGGATCCTCCTGCCTCAGCCTCTGGAGTAGCTGGGGCTTCAGTAGCAATGCTGCCACACCTGCCTATTTTTTTTTTCAAAGATGGGGTCTTTTTATGTTGCCCAGGCTGGTCTCAAACTCCTGGCCTCAAGCAATCCTCCTGCCTTGGCCTTGCAAAGTGCTGGGATTACAGGCATGAGCCATTGCTCCCAACCATGATATGGATTCTTGATTTTCCCAAGTTTTTGAGCCTTACACCCTATTTAGGATGTGGCATGGCATCCAGAAGCTCCAGCTAGCCTCGTGATGCTGGGTCAATCTTGCAGCCTCACTGAGCCACTTTCCCCATGTATAAGCCTGGGGAGGGATCCCTGCCCTGGAACCTACCTCCGATTCACACACAGGAAAGTGCTCAGAAGAGTTTCAAAGCCCCTCATGCCCCAGAGAGCATTGGTACCCATGACTGATGGCTCCATGCCTCCCTTCCACAGCCATTTCCTGAGCATCTACTATGAACCATGAAGCCAGGAGCTGGGGACAGCCGATAACTCAGCCAGGATTCTGGCCATCTAGGAGTTTAAAACTTAGACTCCAGGAATCGATATCAGTCTCCCTCCTCCCTTCCTATGTAAAAGATAAGAGTTAGGAACTTCAAACTTCTGACAAAGGGGAATGACTTGATTTTCCAGAGACCTTGAGAGAATCACAAGAGAACGAGGTTTTCCCCTTAGGAAGAGAGTTAGAGGAATGGCCCAGTTTTCTTCCCAAGCCTGAAAACATGGGACAAGGAGAAGGGCAGGAGGATGGGAGAAACGGGTAGAAGTGGGGGCAACACACACATCCAGGATGAGGTATGGGTAAGATACATCTTCAGGCTTGTCTCACACTTGAGAGATTCACTGATAAGGAAAGCCAAGCCAGAAAATCTTGAGTGCCCCTTCTGTGCTAAAGTCATTCCCAGAGATCCCACAGAGTCACCACTCAACTGAGCGTCTATGTATGAAAAGCCCAAAACACAATGCTTGATGATGACCCAGCCAGAAACTCTGAAGAGTTTCTCCGCTCTTTAGCTCAAGGTCAGCTTTTTAACAGGCTGTCTTCTAGAAGGTGCTAGAGAAGAGCAATTTATTTTGAAATCTGGTCACACACCAGATTCTGATTTTGTGTTGTCTTTTCACAACAGGCCTGCTGTGTTTATGACTTGGTTGAGACAAACTTTTTTTTTTCAAAAAAAGGTATCGCATCCTTCTGTTAGATGTGTTGTTGGCAACGGTTGCTAGGGAGAGCTGGGTTCAGTTACAGACACACTGATGCCGGCTCTAATAATACTTTGCTCTGCATAGCTCGGATGCAGACACCTCTTGGCTAAACAGAGCACACACATTTCAACAGAGGAGGGCTTGAACTTGTACTACCCAAGCCTGTCTCAGCAAAGGAGCATTCCCAGAGCCCACGTGGACGTCCCGGGGCAGTGACAGGGCAGTGCTGGGTGGAGAGGGCTCAGGCTTCCATTCCTGTCATTCCAAAGGTCCCATAAAAAGAGGCACACTCGTTCTTCACTTCTCTGTGAAACTGGAGCCCCTTCACCGCCCTGTATCACACCACAATTCCCTGATGAGGATCCAAGGAAACTTTTGGTTCCTTCTCTAACCCAGGCACCCTGGGCACCCCACATTCTCCTGGAAGTCGGAAACAATCAATGCACATCATCTAGTTAGTCAGTCTAGTCTGCAGTCAGGACCCTGCAAAGCCAGAGAAGTTGGGAACCTTGGTGGGAAGGTGTATGGGGAGACAGGCT
This sequence comes from Homo sapiens, assembly GCF_000001405.40. Taxonomy (NCBI): domain Eukaryota; kingdom Metazoa; phylum Chordata; class Mammalia; order Primates; family Hominidae; genus Homo; species Homo sapiens. The sequence continues at coordinate 256,314 of NW_013171814.1, read as the reverse complement.
GAACTGCGAAGTGTGGCCCAGCCTCTGGTACAGCCTGGCACCGTGGGTGAGAATGAGGCCCTTTTCCTAAAACATGTGATAGCTGTTCCGACACACATCCCAGGCCAAGGAAAAGGAAAATGGGAAAAGGAGCTGAGGACAGAGAGAAATGGAGGCAGCGGGAGAGAAGAGGTGGCTTTCATCTCATCAAGGAGGAGGTTCAGGGTGATGACAAGAAGAGCCTGAGGCTGGGGGAGTGGAAGGCATGTTCTCAGCAGCTGAGGCCTCCTGTGTAATGGGGTTCTCCTGCCAGCTCAGACTCGGAGTTTTCCCCCATGGCTCAGCAGAGAGCCCAACACCTGGCAGGTATTTCTTGACTGGTTCGCGGCATGACAGGCAGAGCCAGCTGATTCATAAGTGGCCGCGATGAACCAGTTCGGTGTCTCTGGGGTGTCTCCTCAACAGTGGTGTTCCACCCTGGCTAACGAATGCCCAGGTTGCGTCCTTGGAGAATCTAATTCAACTGATTAGGGGTAGGCCCCCTGCCTGCTGTGTTCTCATGATTCTCATGCATAGCGAGGCTGAGAACCACTGACCTAAAGAAGAGCCAGTATCTGAAATGCAATATTCCCAGGCCAGACCTCCACTCTGACCATCACACTGATGACAGACTGTGCCTTAGTTTGCCCATCTATGAAACAGAGCCACCACCTACAAACCATCAGTCATTCAATGCCTTGTGACTTCCCACTGTGGTCCCTGGACTAGAGCACTAGCATCTACCAGGAGCATGTTTGAAACGCAGAATCTCAAGCCCATCCCAGGCCTCTTGCATCAGAATCTGCATTTAAACAAAATCCCACGTGATTCATATGCACATTCCGGTTTGAGAACCCCTGACCTAATAAAGACAACATGCTTGGCACATTAAGAAATGTCTGTTTTGTTGTGGGGTGGGGGGAGGGGGGAGGGATAGCATTAGGAGATATACCTAATGTTAAATGACGAGTTAATGGGTGCAGCACACCAACATGGCACATGTATACATATGTAACTAACCTGCATGTTGTGCACATGTACCCTAAAACTTAAAGTATATAAAAAAAAGAAAAAATGATTAAAAAATAAAATAAAATAAAAAGTAAAAAAAAAAAGAAATGTCTGTTTAATAAATAGAATTTTACTTACAAGGACACTACTAATAAAAGGGCCACATTTCAGGTAAAAAGGAATTGGCTTGGATGTAAAAACTGAAGACCATTTTGGAGCTGTGGGATTGGTGACGGGGTCCTCTGAGACCCCAAGGTCTCCAGCACTGTCATGGCTCATGAGAATGGTGCTTCTGGGTTCCTTGAGATAGCAGTGTTGAGTCTGGCTGGGAAGGGTTAAAGGACCTTAAACCTTCTCCCTTCTCCCACCCTGCACTTCCCACTCCATGGGGGCTGCACCCCAGCTTGGCAAGAGCCCTCAGACCTCTGCTGCAGAATGTTTACCACATCTGCGGTTGCCCCTCTCCCTCCATGCTGCCGGCTCCCATCACTGAAGCCCTGGCAGCAAGAGAAGTCAGCCAGGGAGAACCAAGTGTAAAGACCACTGCTGGGAGCTGTGCTAAGGAGGCACTTCACACCCTGGCCCCTTTGTAGCCTGCATTGCTAAGCCGGGGCCCAGAACTTGTGTGTGGAAGTGGTAGCTGAACCTGATCCTATGGGGGCATCTCGGAGGCTGCCAAACCCAACCAGGTGCTGGTTGGGGACCGAGAGCCAGATGGGCCTTGAGTGGATGGAGCTGAGTGCAAACCTCAGGGAGGAAGCAGGGGGCAGGGCTGTGCAGGCCGGGTCTAGAACTGCCTGCCAGGAAGGGATGCAAACATAGTTTGCCAGAAAATGAAGTCAGGTGAAAAAAGACATCCCTGGAGGTGTTAAGAGGGAAAGCAGGTTTTGCTGAGCCCAGCCCATCGCTTTCTTTTCTTGCACCTCTCGGGTTTGGGTGGTGAGGGGCCATGAATTATGCTGTCCAGAAAAGCCCACTCCACCTCTGTCTCCTTGGCTGCAGAGAGAAGGCACAGGGCCTGAGGAGGCTCAGCCAGATGTGGTTCAGGTGTCCTCTGGGCCTTGGAGTCAGGGGGCCATTGTGGGATCAGGGCAGCCCCGCACCAGCACAGTCCACCCGCCTTCCCATGGCAGCTGAAAGGGCCTTGTCTAGCCACCCAGGAGGTCTGAGAACGCAGATCAAGCCTCTGGTTATACTCTCAAGGGGCTCCCTCCTCGGCTCACATGAAAGCTGGGACTGCAGGTGGTAAACAGGGGTGAGTGGTGGCCTATGTGGACATTTAGATTTCTAAAGACCTGACCCGCAGATACTCCACCCAGGCAAATGGCTGGCTTCCTCCACTGTGGGGGAGGAGAGGAGGAGCTGCTCTGAAACCTCAGAATGTGAGCCATGACTGCCTTGGGTGGGGGGTTCCCTTCTTGCCCTGGACTTCAGCTGTCCCTGCAGGCCCCTAGCCCGGGAGAAGGGAGGCTTCCAGCGCCTTCCTTTTCAGACATCCATTTCTCCTTGACGACCGAGGGCCCTCCAGCACCAGGCACTATGCAGCCCCTGGGATACAGAGGTGCAGAAAGTAGAGGGGTTCCCACCTCCCAGAGCCCAAGATGGGGGGCAGTAACGGCACGCACCCCAGTTTGTCACTGTGGATTCATGTGGCCATTGGTTTAAGTTCAACTCCTTCACTGCAAACCTTTTAAGGACAAAGCTGTGCCCAGTGACTGACTGCTGTATCCTCAGTCCCCAGGCTGGTGCCTGGCACACTAGAAATACTCAGTGAATACTAGGAGGGTGACTGAACATTGTGGCTGCAGGATGAGAGGTGCTGGGACAGGAGAAGGGCCAGTGTTTCCTGGAAAGTGGGGCCCTAGCACCACCTGAAGTAGGAGTGTGAGATGCTTCAGGGGGAGGTGCATGCTCAGAGTGGGACAGAGAAGTGAATTCTGGGGGAGAGTTCGTCCATGCAGGGTGTACTGGGAGGTTCAGCCTGGCTGATGGGGGGTGGGGAGCAGGATGTGGAGTGCCAGTTCTCTGCTCCAGAGACAAGGTGGCACCTGCAGAACTAGGTCTCTTGGGCTGGTCCCAAAGCCTGCATCACTCATGACAGACCTACTATGGAGCCACTATATGGGGTGAGTGGGTTTGTGAGGACTCAGGGGGACCCAGGACAGTTTCCTACTAGTGGCAAGGCCTCAGGAGCATGAGAAAGGGAAAGGCTCACACGGGGTCCCTCGTGCCCCTGCCCGAGACCCCGGCTCATCTCCAGTAGTGCAAAATCGAGGGTACACTGATGAAGGCTGTTGCTTGCACTTTCCCAGGGAACTATAGAGGCCAAGCTCCAACGGATGACAAACGAATCAGGTCTGGAATCCTTGCTTCCCAGCTTTCAATTTTGTGTTTTCTTCCCTGCTGTAGTGTTTGCCAAACTGTCTCTCAGCACACTAATCCCACAAGTAGTTCTTAACTGGGGAATGCAGAGGACTTTGTTGAGTTAAACGGAGCCAAACAGGTTCCCTTCCTGCTGGGACATCTGGAGCCTGTCCTAAACCAGTGCACGTTGTGGTTGATTGAGAGGTGAGTGCAGGGGCCATAGGGCCCCCTTTGTGGCTGACTGTTCCCCAGGATTGATGGTCCGCTGGACACTTGTGGGTGAGGCCACCCTTACCACGGCAGGTTGGAAGAAATACCCGATCTGAGATGGCCCCTGCAGCCAGCTGCCCTCCCCAAGTGCCCCATGCCCTGGGTGCCTGTCTGCCACCGGGTCTGGCTGGGTTACTTGGAGCTGGCAACCACTGTCTAGAACTCTTGCCCCATCCTGGCCCTTTTTTGAAAAACAAAACCCAAAGCCGAGACCATAGGCTGATGCTGTCCCTGACTCCCCTGTGCCGGGTGCTCTCTGGCAGACAGGCTTCTCTGCCCGCCACTCTCCACACGCTCCCAGGACATTCCGGCCCGCGAGGAACATGCCCCATGTGCAAATCCCTCAGGTAATGCGGGAATTCGTCACCAGGGGAGTGCGGGCGATCCAGGAATGGGAACCTGATCAGGGCCTGGAGCAGGAGAGAAGCAGCCCAGGCTGGCCAGGGAGGGCTCATGTTGCAGTGAGTGCAACTCACATGCAGAGGAGAGGGTGGGTGGGGATGGAGCCCTGCCGGCTGCATGTAGAGGTGGCCTTAGCGGCAACTTCCTCCCAGCTTTTAGGGAAGACGGCAGACTGCGAACCACATGGTTAAGGTGAGGGTGGCCATATGCCCTTGTTTACACCTGTTGTCTAGGCATAATTATGAACTGAACCCCCTTTGACTTTCACAAGTGTTGCAGTTTGGATGATCTATTGTATGGTCACCCTAGTTAAGATGGCCCTATAGCCTGCCATTCTACTTCATTACTTGGAAACTACCATTTTATCTCATCTGGACCAGAAACTCACTTTGTATCTTAACTAGTCTCTAAAATACAAAATAGGAGGAAAGGAGACATGGCTCTCCCCCAGCCAAGAGTCTCCAAGGACAGTCCCAGGACCTGATGTGGCCACCATCCCATGACCCTGCTATCTCTCCCTGACGTCACCAGTTTTGGGGCCACCAGCTCATCTGCTACTGCCCATACAGGCAAGCAGGTACTTGTGAGATGAAACATTGCTAAGCTCCGTCCAAGTGCACGCGCCTACTCCCACGACACACTCATGCTGATAGAACCACTGGACGTGGGCCTTCATGGAGGAAGCAATGATCAGGGGTGGGGTTACACTGTCAGAGGTGAAGGGATATTAAGAGGGAAAGAGCAAGGATGAAGACAGTCTTGCATCACCGTGACTTCCCTCTGCCCAGGAGCCATAGTGTGTTGGTAAACAGACTATCCCTTTTCTGCTCATGTGTGGCTTTACTCAAACCCATCTCACTACCAGTGATGATCAACTGCATATCTGCAAAGGTCTAAGGACCTAGCCCTGGGTGGAAGGAGGAGGAAAAGAGAAGTCCACAGCAAGTTCATGTCTGCTTGGATGTAGAGAGGTCAAAGCACATAGCCAGGTTGAGACCAAGAGCCAGCCTCTTATGAAAATAGAAAGTGGGAAAGGCTGGTTAAACATAAAGCACCTATAAAATTATATTGGTCCATTGTAACCAGGGAGCCCACACATAAACACACACAAATCCAGCCGCTCATTCCTGGCCCCTTAACTGCCTTTGTGTTTTCTATAATTAATCGGGCAAGGGCGGAACTTGGGAAAAGTCCAACTGTGGCCAGAACTCGCAGCCTTCTCGCTAGGAATAACTCACCGAACGCAGAGGGGCAGGGGGCGCGGGGCGGTGGTGGCCGGCGTCCAGTTACCTGCAGCATGTTGAGGAGCAGGCTCCGGAACTTGGTCCCCTCCACCATAAAGAGCGCCATCTTGTCGCAGAGCTTGGCAGCGGTGAAGGCGAAGCTGCGGTCGGACACAGCCTTCTGGTAGATTGTGCGCACGATCTCGCCCAGCATCTCCTCGGAGTTGGTGGAGTTCTGGGCCTCCTCCATGAAGGTGGTGAGCTTGGTGTCCACGTCGCTGCTGTTGTTCCGCATGCTGTTCAGGATCTCGATCAGCTTGTCCATCTTGTTCTGCTGGGGAGTGGTCGTCTCCACGGCCACTTCATCCTGGGGGTGTCGGAGACAAATGAATGTGCCTGAGTGAAGCCGAGGTCTCTGTGCAGGGGTGGCCTGGTGGAAAGAGGGTGGCCACCCCCAGAAAGCAGGACCAGGCCTACTTCCCTGGATCTGAGGGCTGGTCCCTCTGGGAACCTCCACCAAAGACCCCTCATGCGCCAAAAGCTCCTTGTTGCCTTTTTTCTTGGCCCCTATGACATCCAGGGCTGATACTGTTTTTGGGTTCTAGCTCCTACCCAGGATTCTCATATACATTGGCTTTTTTTGTTTATTTGTCCATCAAATATCTTAATCTAGAAAAGATTTAATGGAAATTATGAAAGAGGAAATAAGATAACAAATATGAAATCGGGCCAAAGAGAAAATGAGGGTAGGAAGACTTGGTCAGGAAGGCAGGTCAGATCCAAAATGCCTGCAGTGGTGGTTAAAAGCGGCCCAGGCAGTGGCCACCTTGTCCCCTACACCCTCAGCTCCAAATGCCCAATGATGACTTGTTCTCTGGGCATAGGGCCCCCTGTGGGCACAGCCCTGGCTTTTTGTCCTGTGGAGACTGTGCTGGTCTTCTGTAGACATATGCCACACACCAAGGAATCCTCCCATGTGCCACTAAAACAGTTGGGCTTCTAGGAGGGATATTACAAGTAAAAAGCCCTACAGCCTTATGAGATTTCACTGCAACTAGGACCAGACCAGGGGCTTGAAGAAGAAAAAAATGTCATCTTATTGTATTGACTCATTCTTGGTGGCCAAGAATGGGAACAACTTAACTGCAAGGAAGTGAGATCTGGCTGGAAGGGCAGGGTCAGGGTCATGAAATGAGATCCAAGCTTGGTCTTCTGTCCCTGACAATAGAAGCTCTGGCCTAGAAGGCACAGACCAAGGCTCTAGATCCCACTCTCTGCCTCTAGCTGTGTGGCTTTGGGTAAGTGATTTCACTCTCTGGGCCTCAGTTTCCTCATAGGTAACACAGTGAGGTTAGACGAGAAAATCTATAGCTTTCCTTGAGCCCTTCCATGGTGGGATCAAGTTCCAAGGGCAGCTAGTCTCTGGCTTGAGAACCAAACACTCAGGAGGCTGAGGCAGGAGAATGGCATGAACCCGGGAGGCGGAGCTTGCAGTGAGCCGAGATTGGGCCACTGCACTCCAGCCTGGGTGACAGAGCGAGACTCCATCTCAAAAAAAAAAAAAAAAAAAAGAAAGGGCTGAATCCTGGGTGAAGGAATAGGGTGGCCTAGTTCTTCTCCTCAAACCCAACCACCTCTTCAGGGAAGGCTACTCTGAGTCCCTGGGTAAAGTTAACAGGACACAAATCCCCACCCCAAGAGACATCTCACGCTTTACCTGTCTCTTGAAAGAGAGAAGGAAAGTGTTGCTCTCCCTGATGAAAATGTTTAGGATGTGGCTGGTTGGCCACCTAGGATTTACCCTTTTTTAGAGTGAGCAACTAGCAGAGTGGGGAGTGACCCAGCCTGAGCCTGAGCCCATGTCTTCTTGGTCCAGGAGTTCAGGAGGCCTCACCTGAGTGGAGTCCTTGAAACTGATCTATAGGTGCTATAGATCTACCTTCTCTGTTCCATTCCCCCATGTACCCCTCTCTTCCGACCATCTGGGCCCCAGGGCAGGAACAGTGGTCTGCATATAGAATAGGAATACCCACAAGAACATATCTGTACACGTTATTTCATTTAACCTTCACAGTCTCTCAGCAAGGTGTGTAGTATTAACACCCATTTTACAGATGAGTAACTGGGGCTCAGGGAGATTAGGTGACTTGCCCAAGACCACCCATCCAGTCAAAGGCAAAGTGAGGTCTGAGCCTGCTCAGCTGCGCTCTAAAGCCCGTGCTGTTTCCACTCTGCTGCCCTGCAGTTACATTTAGCAGAACTCTAGAGGACTCGGTGGAGAGGATACTGGGAGCAGCATCTCATCTTCAAGAGTGGATCCAAGAAGAGGTCTGACCTGCCTTATCCTGCCTGAGTGTGGACCCTGGGCCTGGCCTCTGGGGCAAGAGCTTGAGGAGAGTCGGCAGTAGGGGAGGATGGAGGAGAAGCCCAGAACATGGAGCTCTGCGGAAGCCCCAGGAGGAAGCCTCTGTAGGCCCTGCTGCTGTGTGGGAATGGCTGTGGGCAAGTTGGCCTTTCTTGGGACAGTTCCTCTCCAGGGTGACCTTTCCTGTGCCCCTGCTGGGCAGTGGGGTCGGGGGTGGTGGCACTGGGGTGAGCACAATGGACTTACTGCTGCAAGTACAAATCCCCATCCCTCTTCTGGAGGTTTAGGGTCATCTCCTGAAGCTACAGGCCAGGCCAGGACCAGGGTGCAGAAAGAGCCTCCTGGGAGCAAAAGTAAGGAGGCCTCACTCTCGGGTTCATGCTGGCACAGGTAGGCACCTGCGTGATGCTGAGAATGGAGCCACCTTACGGTGTGCACTGTAGAGCACTCCCTGGCCTCTGGGTGATGAAGGCGGGAAACAGGAAGGCTGGAATCAGCCTGCCCCCACTCTGAACAACTCACCTCTGCTCCCCATTCTGGCAGAGACCACTGCCTGGATGGTACTCACCTGTAGAAAAGCTTCAGTTCTTATTTCATAAGCTCCATGTTTCCCCAAGTGCTCTTCAGCACAAACAATATCTAACCCTAGAATATGCTCCCTGCACCTCCCCCATCACTCCCAGGCATGCATCTCTTCCCCCTACTCCCTTGGGCTGGGGGCTGGTTCCAAGTGCCCACCCTGGGCCTCTTGGAGTTTGGAAGGTGAAAAGCCCAAGTGTGCTGGAGGGGTTCATGATGGCCCTACCTGCTGGCAGTGGTGGACCAGTGTGGTTGGTCCCCACAGTGACCGAAGCCCCTGCTTCCCTGTACATGGCTCCCTAGACCCTCAAACCCACAAGGCTCTGCACTGTGCCCACCTACCAAAGTGCCTACCTCTTGCTGTCCTCCCTGGTGCAAGAGAAGAACAAAAATTCAATTACCGGTACCTTTTCCTTTAGCCTTCGCCGCAGTCTGTCTTTGGAAGACTGGAGCAGGGTAATTTTGGGCCGCTCCCCGATGCGCTCGGGAAGAATACTGTCTTTACGTTTTGTCTCAACCTCTGGCCCCCCTGACTGCTGTGGGGGCAGCCGCTCAGAAGCCACCGGGGCCAGGGTGTCAGGGCTGCGGGGGGCCTCAAGGCTGCTGTGCCCGGTGTCCCCTGCAGTGTCCTCCAGTTTTGGGTTCTCGATGGTCATGGTCTCTTTGGCATTGCGGTGTGCGCCTGCCTCCCCCTTGTCGCCTGGTGGGTGCTTCATGTTGCCATGGTGCCAGCGCCGGTTCTGGCTGTAGCCATGGTGAGTGGGCCTCCCTGAGGGGTGGGGTGCTGAGCCCCCCTGGTAGGATTTCTGGTGGTCCCTGTTGTGTTTGGCACTGCCTGGCTGGTGGTCACCATGCTGTTGGGGCTTGTTGCCCCCCGGAGGTCTCTGCTGCCGCCTGCAAACGGAAGAGGAAAGACAGAGAAGGCGATCACTGGGCGGGCTGGTCAGAGTCCCTGTGCCCAGCCGCCAGAACAGGAAGTCATTGCCTTGTCCATATATTCATTCTTCCAACAAACACTTCCTGAGCACCTTCTACGTGCCAGAGTCTGTGACAGCCCCTGGGGATACAGCCGAGAACAGGCAGACCGGTCCTTGCTACTGCAGAGGACCAAAGCCAATTCTTTCCTTAAAATCAGTACTTTATTCGCTTACTAGAATATGTGTGAATGCAAGCATGTGGAACAAAATTAAAAAGATCCAGTAGCAGATAACAGTGAACCCTCCTGCCTCTGACTCTGTCATCACATATGGCCTTTGGAAGCAGCCGTTCCACGTGTGTGAATCTTCCAGACATATTCTATGCATGTACCAGCAAAGATGCATACGCAGACCTGCTTCTTACAAGCACCTTCCTATGAATGACTGTTCACCATAATGTTTTTTGAAAAGTTATATCCCTTTCAAACAACTTTTTTTTTTTTGGAACATTGTCATTTTCACCCCCAAACCCACAAACTACATATGCTATAACAAGTTTTCATGGGCTAAATTGTGTCCCCCATCCACCCCGCAAAACTTCATATGTTGAAGCCTTAACCCCCAATACTTCAGAATGTGACTGTATTTGGAGATAAGACATGATGGATCACCTTTAAAGAGGTGATTAAATTAAACGAGGCTGTTAGGATGGGCCCTAATCTGAACTGACTAATGGCCTTATAACAAGAGGAACCTTTGACACACAGAGACACCAGGGAGGCTGCATGCCCAGAAGAAAGACCACATGGAGACACAGCAAGAAGGTGACCATCTGCAAACCAAGGAGACAGGCCTCAGAAGAAACCAACCCCACCGACACCTTCATCTTGGACTTCCAGCCTCCAGAAGTGTCAGAAAATAAAATGCCTCTTGTTTATGCAGCCCAGTCAGTGGTACTCTGTTACAGCAACCTAGCAAACAGATACAGAAGGAATATTTAACATGATGGGTGTAGGTCAAGACAGGCTCATCTGACAACACTTTCTAAGCACAGGGAACAGGTGTGAGTTGTGCAGCAGGAACAAACCCCAAACTTTTGAGTTGTGGCCAAAAGGCAAGTGAAGGGGTGGTGAGGGACATTCTCATGACCCTTCTGGCTGGCTCAAAGGCTGCTTCCTGCCACTGAAAGCACTACTATGTTCAAACTCCATTTTACCCTCAGGGTGTTTTCCATGCCACAACTTTACTGGAAGTGCAGTTGGAGCACAAGATAAGCATGAATTCTGCAAAGGTTGTAAAATAGTGGAAAGATTTTGCAGAAAGATAATGTTAGCTTCTAAAGAATAAGCGCTGCACCTCCTCCGTGACCTATCTTGGGTACCACAGACCTTCATTGCATTGCATGTTATGAACAAATTGTATTTATTTACTTACAACTTATTGCTTATTACTTATATAAATTCAATTTTAATATTTACTTGATACATTTTTATCTGTGAAAAATTGAGGGTATCCTGGGTTGGGGTTAAATGCATTATTTTTTTCCACTAAAATGAATAAAATTTTTTTTTTCACTGAAAAGCCTCCATTGAAAAGCTTAGTAGCTCATTATCCCCAATGGGGATGACAGTCCCTTTGACACCACCCTGTTGGGGTGCTGGGTACCTTGTCACTGTCTAGGCCCCTCATTGGGCCTCCGCTGGAGTGGTGGGTGGGGGTGTGGCTACAGTTCCTGCAGAGGTGTTTGGCTGGAGGAAAGTAGCTACTGTCTCGAGTTTTCTGTCTTGCTAGGCTGCCCCTTCCCTGGTCCTCTGGCTAGAAAGAGTGGACTTTTGTTGGGGCTCCGTTTGTCTGCTCAGGCCTCATGGTGTTTCTGGGTCTCCAGTTTCTTTAGCTCCAAGTCTGGGATATCTGAGCCAAGAGGAAAACCCCAGGAACTCACCAGTGTGTCATTCTTCAGTTCCCAAGGTCCCTGGCCTGTCTGTCTTCTTTCTACCTTTCAGAGTCTTCTTAGGTTTCTTTTTATATACAGTGTCCAAGGTTTGGGGTTGTCTATATTTATTTCAATAATTTAAGAGTCATTATTAAAATATCTGTAAAAATCTGGTACCCTGAACTGAATCCTGCTGACTAGGCATACCCTGGGCCCTTCTCAGGAGGCCTGTGTGGCATTTTTCATCCTTGGTGTCCAAGTTCAATCTTGTTGGTTTCTGATATACATTCCTGGGCAAAAGCACTGTTGCCTTGACACTTGGGTGGGAGAGGCAGCCCCTCCATTCCCAAACACACCCCCCTCCTCACTGGCATTGCTGAAATATTCAGTTTCACTCCCCATGGCAGGTAGGAGCTATCAGCACCAGCACCTGGAGAAGAGTTGGGCCCCATGAGAAAAGTGGGGCCCTTGAGTCAGGTTCCTCCCAGTGATTCTACCACCAACTGGCCTTCCGACTACCCAGCCCAGCCCAGCCCCAAATGCCTGAGTCAGCGGGGAGGGCTGCAGCCCTCATTCTGCAGAGTGTAAGGCAACCCCCATTGGAAAGCCCAGAAGAAACTGTGGCCCACAGACCACTCTCCAGGGTGCCTCGTGCCTGTGACTTTTTGTGAATTCTCCCTCCTTTAACTTCTCAGTTACTTTCAACTAATTGCTCCTTCCATTCTCTTTGTTCTTTCAATGTGAGTTATTTTTAAGCCCAGAGAGGAACCTTGGAAATTCCCTGGCAGATAATAATTGATTCTCACAACTTTCGTCATCCTTATTTAGAATTTTTGTGGCGCCTGCAGCTATGGCCCAAGAAATGTCCCCAAAGGATGGTTGACCAAGCCCTTCCCAACATCCGTCTTGAAACTGCCTGGTTTCCCACTTGCCATACAGGGATTTCCCTCTCTCTACCCAGTGCACTCCTCCACCCCCAGAAAAGAAAACAACTTCTATCTACCTGGAGGGGGAAGGAAGTAATTGCTATATGGCTAGTGGTCAGGGGCTCCAGAAAGAAATCAGCTGGCTCCTGCAGGGCTTCTGCTGTTCATTCCTGGAAATCTGGAGGGACCTGGAATTCCATGTCTTTCTGGTTCGAAAGAGCTTGGAGCCAGCCAGCCCTGACAATATAGCAATGGCCAAGAATGCCCCAGGCCACTTGGCATTAGTGGGCGTTCTCAGGCTCACCCTTGCTGGGCGGCGGCTCCTTTGCACATGTGGAAAGCCATCCGTAGGTGGGAGGGAAGCCAGGGAGTCCACCTCAAGTGTTCCCTCCTAATTGGGTAGGAAAGACTAACAGGTTCAAAATAAGGAGGTCTTGATATGGAGCTAAATGGCAGATGGAATCAGCTGGGTGAGCCCTGGGAGGGCAGGGAAGAACCCAGATGCCACTGGAGGAAGAGGCACTAAGACTGTCCCTCTGTCCTCCCTTTTCCTTCTTCCTGCACAAGGCCTTGCTTAGTTCTCAGGGTGAGTGATTGCTGGGACTGGCCTCTGTGTGCAGGCAGGCCAAGAACCTTTCTTTCCATTCGACAGATAAGACAACCGAGGCTCCGTGAGGTGCACTCCTACAGCAGAGGGCCTGCCAGGGGCTCCAGGAGTGAGCTAAGCCTGTCAACTAATCACAGCACCTTGCAGCCACCTCCCATCTGTCTCCCATTCGCCTTTAGACACAGCCTCCTTGGCTGATGAACACTCAGGGACAAGGACCGCAGTGACCTGTAGTAATGGAGACAAAGGGCTGAATGGCCACTGAGACCTCGGTGGTGATAACTGCATGAGGTCCAAATTCTTTGCCTGAGAAGGAGCCAAGAGGGCTGCTAAGGGCACTGGAACAGACTTGGAGTTAGGCCTCGTTCCCCAGCAATGGAGACCTAGGCTTCCCTGCTCTGGCCATTCACAAATATTTGTCAGCGGTCGTTGGCTGGGCCAGCCAAAACCAGCTCCTCTCTCTTCTGTATTTGCTGGCGCTGGGTTTCGTCGATACCTTCATTCAGGGGCCAGCTGGCTGCTCCCCACGAAACCTGCGGGTTTGGGGTTTGGCTGGGCCAGGGATGAGCCGCTTTTGCTCCCAGCAACCCGGCAAGGAGGCTGCACTTGGTCTCAGACACATGGACATGTGGGTCCTGGGTTGGGAAACATACTGGACACCCAGTTTTGCAGCCCTGCAAGTAAGAAGGGCAAAAACCCAACTCTCTGCCTCTTTATTTCTGGGGAAGTCTTCTTCGGGTGAGGAAGAACAGCACAGGAGATAAGATTAATATTCCATTTGTGCTACTGGCAACACCTGCTGTTAGGAAAATAATGCTTTTTTTTTTTGGAGAATGGAAATTGTCGGTTTATGCTTTTTCCATCGTTCATTTAGTTTATTCTTTATTCTTTGGGTTCTGAAATCAGATGTCTTGTTTTACTCTAAGACTGCTCTCTTTTATACAAAAAGACAAAAATGTTCTCGGAACACCACAGCTGCATTTTGGGAGGTGGGTGTAGGGAGAATAACTTCAAATTTTGTTTAAAAAAATGGTTTTAACAGCAGTCCAAATGGAGACAAATGTCCCTCTGTTCGTTTTTTATTTCATAATCGTTCCCAACTAGATATTCTGAGTGCCACTGACTTATTATGGTTCTCTCCATGTCGGACATTTTACCACATAATTTGTAGGTCTGCTTAAAAATTTCTGAAAGCAAAATTCCTAGGGCAAGTGGTTTTAAAACTATGCATGGGCTCATATTTCTTGCCTTCAGGAAAAGTGATGACTGCTTATTACCAGCGTAGGCACCTCCACTCCTGCCCACCTACACATGCCCTGAGTGAGCTCTGCCTGCCCTGGCCCAGTCACCTGGGACAACGCAAGGGTTGCGGTGAGGCTCGGAGGCACAGGCACCAACAATTTCTCTGCAGCTCAGGGGCTGCTTAGTCGAGCGATGGCATATAGGACCCAGGAACAAAAGTCGCCACACACACCCACCCCAGTTTGCAGAATGATGGGGAAGCTTAAAAAGGAAAAGTATAAGGGAGGGGAGGTTTTCTTCCCTCATGAGGGAGTCAACCAAGGGACATCATGGTATTGGCTGATGAACACTCAGAGACAAGGATCACAGTGACCTATACTAACGGAGCACCCATGGTGCGCGCAGGGCTGATTCGGATGATGGGTGTCCCCCGCAGGACACTCCTTGCCAGGTCTGTCTGGGGTATGGCAGCCTGCACAGAGCCTGGCACTGTGCCACTCACAGTTGCATGGGCTGGGTGATCTCACCTCTCTGTGTCTCTGTTTCCAGATGTGCCAGTCCCCACCTGAGGGGCAGTTGTAAGGATTACATGAGTCACAGCATGACGGATGAGAAAACCAAGGTCCAGAGAGGTTGCTTTGTCCTTCTAGGGTCGCCCCGCTAGTTAGTGGCAAAGCCCTCACTGGAACTCAGATTTGTGTTTTTGCTGTAACACGCCATATGACTGGATTTAACAATTACTTATTGGAGATCTCAGTGCTCTTTGGAGAACTGGGGGCATCGCTACAAAGCTTAGGCAACACACGGGCCCTGTAATTGCCAGAGCCATCATTATCATGATGGCGGCAACAGCAGCACTGGGCCAGCTACTTCCTGAGCACTCCCTCCTAACAACGCTGAGAGGAGAGGGCCAGCATGCATCAGAAACACTCCTGCCACCGTGGGCGGCCAGCCAAGCTGCAGACTCCCCCACTCCAATAGATTTTGTGGCTCTCTTTGCTCAGAGTTGGGTAGAAAACAATTCAAGATTGAGGTCTTTGCCAGCCTAGGCAAAAGTTCATGTAAGAAGTGTGGTAGCTCACTGCATGGACTAAAAGCTTTAGAAATCAGATGTTTACCTCGCCAAACGATGCTCTGGAATAGATGAAAGGTCTGATTGGTACCTCTGCACCCTACAGGCAAAGACTTTTCTCACTAACTGTAGAATGAATGAATGAATGAATGAATGAATGAATGAATGAATAATAAATGATGCAGAGAAAGGCTGGTTCATTATTGTTTCATTAATTAAACACATGCTGAGACTCTGTTCTGCCCAGAGGTTAATCAGAGATGTCAGTGGGTTTGCCTGAGGCCACATAGCTCCTGCAGCCCTCTGAGAGAAGTTGGGGTGGAGGCAGGGTGTTTGTGTGACAAAGCTGTTCAGCTGTCCCTACAGAGTCCTTCAGCACTCCCCTAATCCTATCCAGGTCTTAAGGTCCAGACCTGAGCAGGAGCCTTCCCCAGCTCCCAGGGTCCTGCCCGAGCCCTCCAGACTCCTGATATGATTACAGTCTGGAATGCCCTACATCACACCCACGTCTCTGCCACCAGAGTGTCTTGTGTGTGCCTCTGAACTGCTCCCAAAGCATCCACTTCCTTCAGATGAGGCAGAACCTTCTCTCTATCTTCCTTGTGGTCTGGGGAGGGGAGGTAGCGATGACTCCAGCGCACAGGGCTGCTGCCTTCATGAAGCTGAGGGTCCATTTGGAGAGACAGATGTGAATCTATTAGTTACAGAAACAGGTCTCTAGCTTTATCCCAGGACAAGAATCACGAAGGAAAGGAAGCAGAGAGCAGCACAGGCCTATGTTCTACTCTGGCCTGGAGGCAGGACTGGCCACATAATGAGCGGAACCCAGTGCAAGATGAAAATGTGGGCCCCTGGTTCAAAAGCTATTGAGAAAGTCAAGACAGCCATATTGGAGCATAAACCAAACGCAGGCCCTGGACTCGGGCAGTTCACACACTCTGAGGGTGGTCCTGAGGCCACAGGACTCAAACTCACATCACAGGGATGCAGAAGAATGGTTCATAGCTAGCATGTAGGAAGCAGTTACAGTAAGCCAGGCATGGCTTTCGTTCAACCCCAAGAGAGGAACTATTGTTCACTCCATTTTCCAGAGAGGTCTTCAAGGCACAGAAAGGGTAAGAAACTTGCCCAAGGACACACAACTTGCACCAAGCAGAGCCTGGGTTTGAACTTATATAGTTTGGCCCCGAATGTGTGCCCTCAGCCACCACACTGAGTGTTCTGAGAGTGTAGGGCAGCTTGCACACCATTGCTGAGCCACTAAACCCAAATTCAGAGGACCACAGGCCTCAGCCAAAGTCAGCAAGGAGGGAGCTGTGGGCTGTCCTATGGCAGCGTGTGGTGCAGAAGCAAAGGCGGAGGGCTGAGCCAGGGCCCGCTGGGAATGGGGAGGCCGGGGCTGGTGAGGGGAGAGCCTGGGAGGGCTCTGGATGGGAGGGTTGGAGATCCGGCCAGCCAGCCTTGGCTCCACTGCGTCTCGGGAAAACCACAGAAGCCACTGCAGCCCTTGGTTTCCATCTGTGCTGGGAACAGCCCTTTCCCACCACAGTCTGCTGGTTCCTGTGGCTGGGGCCTGTGGGGCAGGGCTCGGGGATTGTTTTTCGGGTGGCCCCTCTGGCTTCATTGCTGCCTCGTGGGGAAGGGAGGAAAGCGTGCAGACTCCTGCCACCTTCCTCCATCTTGCGGCAGCACAGAAGGCCAAGGGAAAAAGGCTTTCTTGGGGATACTCTATGGGGTTCTGAGCTTCACTCAACTGCGGACCCATTTCTGAGGCCTCCCCTCAACCCCACTGGAAATCCAGGGCTCTTGGCCCACATTGCCCAGAACCAGTTTGCTGTGCAGCTTTGGCCAACCACTCAACTCCCCGTGGCTCAGTATGCCCACCTGCAGAATGGGGAGACCAACCCCGACTCAGGTTCTTAGGGTGGCCTCCCACCTACAGGACTCCTGCCTGGATCACAAGGCTAGTCTGAGGCTACAATGAAATGAAGCCCAGGAAAGCCTGTGGGGAACAAAAGCACGTTATGAATACGAGGTATTATTTTTGTTCCAGGGTGAATCCAGCATTCCAAGAATCCTCAGCCTCAAAAGTTCTGAGGCAGTGTGATGTCATGGGAAGAGCACGCGGCTGCCCTGGGGAGTCGCCAGGCTCCGCGTGAACCTGGTGGAGTGTTTCCAGGGGAAGGCCCTCGCCCTTCCGCTCGGCCTGCCAAGCCCTGCAGTCTCCCAGATCCGGCCCATGGACCCTCACTACAGCCTGCTGGTGGCTCTGGGCATCCCCCGAGCTTCACAGTAGTTCGTGGTAGTTTGAAGTGTGGACTTTGGAGCCAGATCCCCAGAGTTCAAATCCTGACGCTACACTTTTAGCTGTGCAACTTTGGGCAAGTTCCTTAACTGCTCTGTGCCTTAGCTTCTTCCCCTATAAAATGGGAACAAATAGAACACCCATCTCATAGGGTTCTTGTGAGTTTTAAAGGACTTGATACAAGTGCTATATTAGTGTTTGTTTGTAATATTATTATGCCATGGGTTTTCCAAGCAACAGAGCATGAATCCTCCAGCTATGCAGAGGGAGGGATCACACTGTGCACCCATAGTACAGATGGGAAGACAGGGGCTGTTTCAAATGTTAGGTCAAGGAAGAGACCTCAGGATGCCTGGCTTCTGTTCTGATTTTGGGCTCTAAGGGCTGAGCTTTGGGCATAGTTTCCCACCATGAAAGTCTTCATCACCCAACATTCACTACCATCATCCCGAGGGAAATACTGTGATGGGGTCCTCGCAGCTTGGGGTCCACCTTCAGTGACTTCCTTTATCCCCAGCCCAAAGCCTGGCCATTCGAATCCACCACAGCTGGCCTCGGCACCCTGGCTGATGGGCCTTAGCTGGCCCTCTGCTGTCTCACTCACCCTACGAGTTGATTGACCTGGAAGTTGCTCTCCCGGAAGTCACTCTTTCCTTGCCTGTTTTAATCTTACCACCTTGGTGTGGTGGAACAGCCCTTAAACTAGAAAAGCTAGGACCAAGAGGAAGGCACATGGACAGAAAGTCGCCTAAAAGTTATTTAAAATCCCAGGTGCGACCAATCATGGAGCCTGTCTAATAAAAGAGGGCTGGGGAGAAGGGGCCAGTGGAGGGAAGGCTCAGAGATGCAGAGATGCAGCCTGGGCTCACTTAATGAAGGAACTTTCTCATGGGGAGGGCTGCCCCGCAACAGAGGGGTCTGTCTGGGGACATGGTGAGCTTCCTGTCATGGGAGGTGTCTGATCACTGACCAACAGTTAGAAACTGCAGTGCCCTATACCTCACTAGTTAGCTGTTGCCCATTCTGCAACCAGCACCTCATCCAGGAAGCCCTCCTGGACCTCAGCAGCCCTCTAAGAAGTTCTCATCTGGAGAGAAAGCCTGATGTGGTAAAAACTTGAAAGCTGGACACCCTTGGGTTCATATGCTGGTTTTGCCTTGGTCTAGCTGGGTGGTCTTGGACAAGTCACTTAACTTCTCTGCCCCTCTGTTATCTTATCAATCAAACGGACCTCACAACAGCTATGCACATGGTAGCTGTGAGGATGGGGTGCGCTGATCTTCGGGAGGTGCCTTCCCAGGGAATGGGCCTGCCTCCATTATCCCATGCTGTCCCACACCTCTAGGCTTCTGGCTTTCCTTCCACTCTCAGGGCTGGAGTGAAGGTGGAGTAAAGGTATAGTGATACTCAATTTAGCACCATCATTATCCCTCCCTCCTTCCCTCCCTCCCTTCATCCCAAGTCACCATGGTACTCAGATTTAACAAACACTGAGTGGCCCCCACCTGCTGGGGGCACACATGCTCACCCTTGATCCTCACAGCAACCCTAGGGGAGCCTTTCCCCCTTGGGAGAGGTTGAGCAGAAAGCCCATCCAGGACCAGGGCCCGAACCCCCGTCTCGCCCCTATGCTCTTCACTCCAAGAGACTGACCCATCTGCGCTCTTCTAGAAGAACTTCCTCACTGCTATTTAAAATAATCTAGTAGGAATAGCTGAGAAAATGCAAAGGATTGGGCATTTTAATTCGTCAAAGTCCATCTTGGGACTGGTGGAAAGGGCTGCTTTCTCCATTACTTTGGCCGTCAATGGGGGTGACTTGCAGCTGATGACAAAAACCTCCTTTTTTTTGTTAAATAATAATAATAATAATTATTATTATTTCTTAGAGTCAGGGTTTTGGTTTTTGCTCTGTTACCCAGGCTGGAGTGCAGTGGCATGATCACAGTTCATGCAACCTTGACCTCCAGGGCTCAGGTGATCCTCCCACCTCAGCGTCCCAAGTAGCGAGGACTACAGGCTCGTGACATCATGACTGGCTAATTTTTTTTTTTTTTTTTAATTTTTGTAGAGACAGGAGTTTTGCTATGTTGCCCATGCTGGTCTTGAACTCCTGGGCTGAAGCAATCCTTCTACCTTGGCCTCTCAGAGCGCTGGGATTACAAGTGTGAGCCGCAGCCCCTGGTAGCAAAATCCTCTTGAACAAGCCAATTTCTCTTCTCCTAAACTTTCTGAATGAAGTGTTTCACTTCAAGGCCTGGGCATGAAACTGAGTAGTGACCCCAGGACTCCAAGTTGTCGGGAGCTTCCCTAGGACAATGAACATGCCTCAGTGGCCTGAGCTGCATGTGGGCCGCCACCCTGTTGGCTCCAGTGCAGGCCCTTCCCCTGCCCAGCGTACCTCTCTACTTCTGGCTACAGGCCCTCCATGCAAGCCTGCCTACTGGGGTTTCCCAAGTTTCTTAGCCAGGAACCTACTGGGGAGCTTGCTGGGGCAGAAGATGGGGCGCTGGAGGCTCAGCACCAGTTGGCAAGCTGGCCGATGGTGGCTTCCTCATCCATCATAGTTTATTCTTGATTCATTGAAAACCACGTTTGAGCTAACGAATGAAGAATATTGCTTCTCAGGCTGGCCTCTCCCCTGAGATCTGGGTAGAGCCACATACCAGCTTTGGAGTCTTCCTTTGCAATCCTAAAATCTGATCAAACTCTGGTGTATTTGTTACGTGTCGGGGCTCAGGTAGCCACAAAGCAACATAACATATGGTTCCCGCCCTTGGGGATCTTAAAATCTAGCGGCAAAATTGCTATGTCTACTCAAAGAACCATCTACGACAGCATGTGGCGAGACATGGGGTCTGGTGAGTTCTCGGGGTGAGGTTAGGGAGGGCTTCCTGGAGGACGTGAGGTAGTGGAAGGACCCACATAACTGAGAGGAATACCCTTAAAAAGGAGAAGAGTAGAGACACCAGCAGTGGTTGCAGGTGGGATGGAGACAGAGAAGTAGTGGGGATGGGAGGATCCCCCTAAGACTGCAGGGGAACTCAGCTCCCTCCTGGGTCAGGGGCCAGGGGGCTGGACTTGGCATTTTTGACCCAGACCTTCAAAGTCTCTGTTTCTGGATGAAGAGACCATGCCACACTGAGGCCTCTCCCCTCCATCCTGCTATGTGGCCGTGACTATCATCTTGCCACGCTCTGACCTGAAACCTTTGGTGACAATGCTCCCTCTCACCTAATTCCTGACTCCTCCTGGCCAGCCTGGACCTCCTGTCTACCAGGCAAGAGCTAGAGAGGTGGTGCCACCATCATAGTGCCGCATCTGCTTGTCCCTGCGCCTGATCTTCCCCATCCATCAAGACCCTCCCCACACGTTCTCACTTCAATCAGTATGCACGGAGTACTTCATCAGGCCAGCAAGCTGTGACCCTGGTGTCCCAAACATAAGCATCTCAGAGGAGGGCAGCACAAGAGAGACACTTTTCAAGAGGGAAAGTGTGGAGCCTGGGGCACCTCTGAGAGCAGGCAGGTGTCATGGGTGTGCCTGGGGGCTGGAAAACAGGTAACAGCCCAAGCTAAAAGTGCTGACCACAGGATGATGATAAACCTTGTCCAGCCCTTCTTGGGGAAAGGCCCCTACGTGAAGCAAAGATGGCCCCACAGATGGGACACAGAGGAGCCGGTTGGGCTTCCTGGGCTGTGGAGCCTCCAGGCTCTTGGCGGAGAACGCCGCCAGCCGCCTCACTCCATTAGGCCTCACAGCCCAGCCACCCTTCTGGGACTGCCTCCTCCACTCATGACTTAATTACTGACAGGTTCGCTTGTCCCTGAAGGGCTGTTTTTCCATCCTGGGAAGGAGAGGAAATGTGAAACGGAGTTAGCTGGAGTAGGGCCTCCCCTGGGCCACGTTTTTGAGCCAGGGCTGGTGGAACTGATGGGGCCATGGTGAGACGTTATCACAGAGAGGACTCCTCAAGGCTTCATGCATAGTGGAACCCCCAGCCCAGCCATCTTGGGACATGGCTCCCCAGCAGATAGTTTCTTTGTCTAGAACCTTCCAAAATACAAGGGACTTGTAGCAGGACGCTGATAACCTTCACATTAAACACCACTCAGCTAGGAGACAGCCCGTGTATTCTGGGACAAGGACCTGCTCTCCTAGTTCCCAAATGCTGAGGTCCTGAGGCTTAGAGCAGTGAGTTAAAAGTCAATGAAAGGCTTTCCCTTATGATAAAAGACAACTAGTACATTTAGAAGGAATGATGGAATTAGAAAATCATTTGGCAACCACCATAAGAACAATTGTTTCAAGCAAGAATCATCAATGGAAGTCAGTGGATGAAAGTTTTGAAGAAAAACAGAACATTGGCGTAGCCTCTAAATATCTCCCCAAAGATATTTCTTAATTACAAAGGGAAAACTTGTAACTTTACAGTGGAGAAACTTGGCAGTCACCACCTTTGCCAGGTAATCATAGTTAACATCACCAGGCAGGGGATTAAAGAACAGCACGTACCTCCTGACATGGTGCACTGGGAAGGTCACATCACTACAGTGCCTATAACCCAAGTCCAATCATGAAGAAATGCCAGAGAAACCGACGCTGAGGGACCTTCTACAAAAATAACTGGTCACTCTTTAAAAAAAGGCCAATGTCATGAAATACAGAGACTTAAGAACTGCCCCAGGTTGGCTGGGCACAGTGGCTCATGCCTGTAATCCCAGCACTTTGGGAGGCCGAGGCAGGCGGATCACATGGTCAGGAGATCGAGACCATCCTAGCTAACACGGTGAAACCCTGTCTCTACTAAAAATACAAAAAATTAGCCGGGTGTGGTGGTGTGCACCTATAGTCCCAGCTGCTGGGAAGGCTGAGGCAGGAGAATGGCATGAATCCGGGAGGCGGAGCTTGCAGTGAGCCAAGATTGCGCCACTGCACTCCAGCCTGGGCAACAGCGTGAGACTCCACCTCAAAAGAAAAAAAAAAAAAGAAGAAGAAAGAACTGCCCCAGGATAAAAGATACTAACAAGTCATGACAATCGAATGCAGCCCACAGTCTAGGATCGATCGCTGGAGAAATATGAATAAGGTCTACAGACTCAATTACAGTATCGTATCTATATCAGTTTCCTGATTTTGAGAATTGTATTGTGGTTATGAAAAAAAGTCTTTGTTTTAAAGAAACACACTGTGAAATATTTAGCAGTAAAAGGGCATCATTTTGGCAACTTACTTTCAGACGGGTCAGAAAAAAATGTATACGAGAGAGAGAAGGATAAAATGTTAACATCACAGGAAACTGGGTGATGGATATATAAGAATTCTTTGTACTATTCCTGCAACTTTTCTGAGAGTCTGAAATTTTGTCAGAATCAAAAGTTTTTAAAAATAAGCAGGATTTAGTTAAAAGGGAGGAGGGAAGAGGCCATTCGAGAAGAAATGCCAATCTCAACAAAGGCTTGGTGGCAATTTTTCTTAAGTCAATTTCTTACGCACCAGGCAAACCAAATGAAATACAATAAAATTGACACAAGGGGGTCCTGCTGCACCTAGCAGGAGGTGAAACTGCAGAGACCCCTCACCGTAGGATGGCGCTACCAGGGTTGAACACAGAGCTCATTGTGCATCTGTGTACTTGGAACCAATAGAATCCCTAATGGAACTTGAGTGTCTGGGCACAGTCTGAAGGGTGGCCAAACCCTCCCACATCTTGGGGAACTTGGGAGGGCCTGTGTACCAGCACTCACCATAAGCAAGTCAGTTTGACCTTCTGGAAAGCACTTGTGGTCAAATTTCTCAAAGTACGCCCCTCCTCTCAGGGGTGGGCCTATAAGGCACTTACCAGGAGACTTAGCCCCTCAACGGGAGGGAAAAGGATGAATTCTCATTATTCTTATTTTTACCTTCATGAAAACTGGGGCAGTTTAGAGGGCTGCCACAGCTGAATCTTGCTTGACTCTTTGGGATTTGAGAATTCCTCTCACCATAATAGTTTCTCTTGGAAACACTCTTAAGTGTTAAAAAAAAAATTGTTATTTTTGGTACTACCAGATAAAGAAGTTATTTTATGTCAAATACAGTTTTTAGATTGATATGTTATTGGAAGTGAATTACAAGGTTTGTGTTTAACCCGATCTTTAATAACATTTATGAATACAGGCAAAATTTAGCCTTCTGCCAATTATCAAGTGATGCATTCTTCTTCATTTATTGTAAACGAGTTGTAAAAGCAAAAGCATGATTTTCTACAAAGAAATTTCAAAATGACATATTACCATTACACTGTGGCTTTGGCATCAGTACACACTAAACTGCAGGCTAAAGTTTGACTATATAAGGCATAAAAAGAAACAAAAAGCAAAAACTGATTTCATGGCCCGCTGTTTGGAATTCTTGAATTTTATGTTTTTCTAAAAAAATGAAAGTCAACTGGTTTGATTTTGTAATATTCTTGCTTTGTTTCTAAATGCTGAGACCCGAGAGTTTTTAGGAAGTGCTTCTGTCCAAATTGCACGACGTGAGTGAGGAGGGCCTTGGCTCCGTGTGGACACAGAGTCAGATGGGTGTTGGGCTCTGTCTGCCTCCAGCCCGGGGTTGTGAAGCTCTGCAAGCTGCAGGAGCTGCCACACGAGAACTCTGACCAGATGAATGAGGCTTGCAGATCCGGCCAGAGCACCCTGAGGCATATGTGCAGAATTATTACCACTTACGTGTTCCTCATGAACCAGCCTTTTAATATCAGTGTTCTTTAATGCTTCCTGCCTTTAACCAACTGTCCATTATGGGTAAAAAATTAAATATTTGACTAAGAATAAAAATAATTTAAAATGTGTAATGGGCAAAACCACCAGAGTGGCTCTCTGGGCTGCTGAGTGATAGACTGGTGGAGGGGCCAAGTCCTGGGTGTGCTGCTCCCATCTCCGTGAAGCCCCGATGCTCACCCCATGACCATAGGCAAGGACTCACACTGCACTGTTTAAAGATGAAAAAACACCCCAATACCCCTGGCAGAAGCAGGGAGAGCCAGACACTGGACCCAGACAGACTCTGGACCCAGTTACTTTCTAGCATGGGCCCCTGGGCAAGGTGCTTACTGTCCATGCCTCAGTTTCTCCATTTGTGAAATAATGATGATAAAGTCTATTGCACTGGCTTCTGAGGGTTAAATGAGCTGCGCCTTGGCTCTGACACAGAGCAAGGCTCAATAAGTTGATCCCGCTGCTGCTGTCATCACTCACTCGGGAAATGGCAGCAGTGATAAGTCAGGACTCTGGGCATGGTGCTCTCGCTGTCTGCGTGTGAACCAAGGAGGCCCGAATGCAGAAGGTGCCTCCTCTGGCATTGCTACGGTTCCTGTGGCAGGTTCAGCCTCTTAGAGGCGGGTCTGCAGCCCCTTTGGGGAGCATCCACAAGGGTTTGGATTCCTCTGCTTGCCCTCTGGGGAGCCTCAAGACTTGAGAAGAATCCCGGGGCACCCTGCACACTGTGCTGTAACCTGCCCTGCTCCTTTCTTTTCCCCTATGAGCACCCACGCCATTCCCCTGCAGGAACTCCCACCCCACTCATCTTTGCCTCAACACATCTTCTCTTGGTTCTTGAGGAGCTCGTGTGTTGTCTCCTTCGGGAAACGGTCCTGGTCACCCTGGCCCATGAGAAAAGCCCTGTCTGTCCCAGGACCTTTTCCTAGTGTTGAGAGTAAATGTCTCCTTGTTTATGGCCTATGTCCACAGCTCATCCCTGGAGGCAGGCAGGGACCACATCCTGTTCTTCTGCCCCTGCCTGGCTTTCTGCAGATGGTATTGAGCTCCACTGGAAATGAATGTTTAGATTTTTGCTGTGGGTCAGGAGCCCTGGTAAGTGGTTTCTGAGCTGGGGGACAAGGAGGCAGGTGTCAAGCCCTTGGTCCCAGTGGCACTCGCTGGCTCTCTGTTCCCCGGGAGGCGCCCTGTGCTCCCTTCTTGTGCTGAGTGTGGCCCAAGGGAAGATGAAGATGACGAGAGGACAGCAGAGTGGGAGGCTCTCAGCCCCATAAGTCCACTTCTTTTGGGTGGGAAACTGAGCCAGGCCTCTTAAAGATGGCCTTGGTCGGCCGGGCATGGTGGTTCATACCTGTAATCCCAGCAGGTTGGGAGGCCAAGGCAGGAGGATCACCTGAGGTCAGGAGTTTGAGACCAGCCTGGCCAACATGGCAAAATCTCATCCCTACTAAAAATACAAAAAAATTAGCCAGGCATGGTGGTATATGCCTGTAATCCCAGCTCTTCAGGAGGCTGAGGCAGAAGAATACTTGAACCTGGGGGGCGGAGGTTGCAGTGAGCCGAGACTGCAACACTGCACTCCAAGCCTGGATGACAGAACAAGACTCCGCCTCAAAAAAAAAAAAAAAAAAAAGCCCTGGTCACTTGGCTGATGGAGTGGGCCAGGTCAGTGCTGGCAGAGCTGGCAGGACACAGGGTGGGGTAGGGTAGCACCTGGGTATTTTAAGCTCACGGAGTACCCACTGCCTGGCAACATGTACCAAGGAGGGGGGGCGGGGGCAGAGTAAAGAGCAGACCCTGGCTGGAGAGGCAGGCTGCTGGCTCCACTCCAACCTGTGGCTGTTAGCTGTGTGACACTGGCTTAGAGGAAACACCTCTCTGGGCCCCAGTTCTCTTCTCTAACAATAATAACAACAACCACCATGATAATGAATGACGTGCATGGTGCTTTCTCTGTCCAAGGCACTATTCTAAGAACACAAATGTGCTTATTCAATCATCACCACAATTCTATGGGGTAGACAGTGGCATTATTGTCCTCATTTTATAGCTGATGAAACAGGCATAAAGAAGTGAAGTAACTTGCCCCAGGTCACACAGCTAGAAAGCTGGAAGCTGAGGAGAGCCTACACTCTTAACCACGATGCTATATTTCTGGACTTGGCAGGGTCGGGGCATGCAGGGCTAGATAAATATTACAAATAAAACACTGTAATATTTCTAGAACCCATGAGGAATTTTTTTAATGGTTTTAATGAGTTGACCACGGGTAGGCAGAGGTCCCAGGAGCTGGAGTCCACTCCTTCCAAAGCCAGAGCATCTCTGCTCCCTGGGGACACAAAAGAACAAGGTGCGTGGTGGGGGAAGAGGTGACAGTCAAGGCAGGACAAGGGCAAGGCCTGAGTAGCCCAGGACATCCTGAGTGATGGATATAAAATACTTCTTGCTCCTGGTCCTCAGGCATAAAACTGCCAGAGTAAACTGAGGAACACCAGTCTCACCCTGACCATTCTGCTAAGAGCAGATCTGGGACTTGCAGCCTGGGTGAGGTTTCTGGAGAAAGGACAGTCCAGCAGGGAAGGCCCAGGCATGGTCAGAGAGTACGGAGGCCCAGCCGATGGAGACACCAGGTGCATGGCCAGTGAGGGTGGGGTTGCAGGAAGAGGTTCTGGAAAGTTAGGTTGGGCCAGGTTTTGGAGGACTCTGGAGGTCGATGGTAGGGGGAAGGGCAGGAACCTGGCTACAGGGGGCCATCTCTTAGTTTGGAAGCTGGATGGTCAGAACTGGGCTTCAGGGGCAGGGCTACGGCTGGGTCACAGGCTGCCAAGAGAGGTCCCAAGGGGCTGAGCAGAGAGAGAAAGAAGGGGAATTGCCCGAGCCTGGACTCTATGGCAGCCTGCCTGCATCCAGGCCCTGGCTTTGCCTCTGACTTGCTGTATAACCCCAGGCAAGTTACAGAACTGCTCTCTGCCTCACTTCTCTCACCTGTAAGATGTGAACATAATAGCACCTACCTTAAAGGGTGGTTGTACTGACAATGTGCATTGATATTTGTAGAGTCCTTCAAACACAGGAGACATGCTCTTAAGAGTTTATTAAATGCAATAGCCTGGTAGACCCCACAGCACATAAGCAGAAGGTCACCTGGGCCACTGCAGATGGCCAGGCAGACATCCAGGGAAAGGGAGGAAGACGGGAGGGAGAGGAGCCGACGGGTAAATATTCCAACTACCAGCACAACTCCCTCCTATGATTCCAGAGCAGAGGAATTACTAAAGGAATTTGTGAGCTTTGAAACCACAACGTATGACAGAGCTGTGCCCCACAGGCCTCTCAGCTTCCAGTGGCCCCTGGGAAGGGCCCCGCCAAGGGCCAATCTGCCGGGCCGCCATTTTGAAATGCTAACCACCCAGTATGGGTGCAGCACCCTCAGCACAGGCTCACTCAGTCTCCACTGCTGCCCTGTGAGTGGCGGTGATGACAGTCTCTTCAAAGATGAAGTGACTGGGAAGAGGCAGAGAGGTTCGTCCACAGGCCAGAGAGTGAGCAAGGGCAGAGCCAGGGCCAGAGCAGGGTTTGTACTGTGGCGCGTCCCACCACACCCCACCAGGTGAGTGAAGGGCCGTCAAGTCCAACTGAAAACCTCCCCGCAGTGGCCCATCAGGCAGGGGTTCCGTCCTTCACAAAGGCGTCATGGGCCACGACACGGGAGTGCATTTGCCTGACATCCAGCTTGGGGGTTAGGTCTGTCCTTCTGACACCCCAGTTTCCCTCAATAACCCACTGTGGCCTGTGCTAACTCTGCCCCACAACTCCCTCTGCTCTGTCCTGAAGGCTCCTATGCCGGGAGGAATCTTGGCTGTCCCACTGGTGATGGGGAGTATGAAGAGTAATGACTCCCACCCAGATGAGGACACTCACATCTCTGCAATGTCACAGGCCCTGGGAGGTGGGAGAAGACTTAGAGACAGGGGGACCAGCTATTCAGGGTGGACAGTGGGAGCTGACCTTTCCTTCTGCTTCAAATCTGGACTCTGAGGCTAAGACTTCCTGGGGTGTCTTATGTCTGGTCTCAGGAGGGGAACTGCAGGATGGGAGGTAGCCCAAGGAGCTGGGCAGGTCCCTAAGCGAGGTGCTGAAAGGCCCTGAGAGGATAAAGTAAGTGCTTTTGAGCAGGGCTGGCTACCTTCTTGTCCATTCATTCACTTACTCGACAGTGGTTTA
The DNA here is from genome assembly GCF_000001405.40 of Homo sapiens. Classification (NCBI taxonomy): domain Eukaryota; kingdom Metazoa; phylum Chordata; class Mammalia; order Primates; family Hominidae; genus Homo; species Homo sapiens. Next base: position 228,099 of record NW_013171814.1, on the reverse strand, counting down.
GTGAGCATTTACTCATGCCAGGCTCAGCTCATCACCCAGCGGGGAGATGCAGAAGATAAACAGAACAAATGCACCATGGAGAATGCCAGAGCGTGGGAAGGCCTACGGAAGTGGGAAGCTGGAAGAACTGGGAATGCTGGTGTATGGTGGGGGCACCCCTGGTGGAGACTGCCTTTTTAGGTGGAATGGTTAAGACAGGCCTCCCTGAGAAGGTGACATGGAGCAGCCAAGGCTTGAGGGAGGGGAGGGAGAAGCCATGCAAATACCCAGGAGAAGAGCAATCCGGGGAGGGGGAACAGCCAGTGCAAAGTCCCCGAGGTGGAACTTCTGGCACCCAGGAAGGCAGGGTGGCGGGAGTGCAGAGTGTGAAGGGGGAGGGCAGATGGTGAGGTCAGAGAGGTGGTGAGAGCTAGATCATCTGGGGCCTTGCAGACCATTGAAAGGACTTTGGCCCTTATCTGGATGAAATTGGGAACCACTGGAGGGTTCTGAGCTAAGAAATGACATTGAAAAAGGTGAGATCAAAGATAGTAATGTTATAGGAGTAATCCCGGTGAGAGCCCACACTGCCTTGGCCCAGCGGGCAGGAGTAGAGGGAGTAAGAGGTGGAGATCCTGGATCTGCTTTGAAGATGGGACCCGCAGGAACTGCTGATGGTCCACTGCGGGTGGAGAGAAGGGCTGGAGTCAAGAATGTCTGCAAGGTGTCTGGCCTCAGCGACTGCAAGAAGGATGAAGCTGTGTTGTCTGAGATGGGGAAGACAGAGGGAGTGGGGCAGGCTTGGGGCAGATGGAAGCTTGGTTTTGGAAATGCAACTTTGAGAAGTGTATTAGACACCCCACCGTGGGATGTTGAGAAGGCTGGGGGACCCTCTGCTACCCAAGGAGCCGGTCTGGATGCCTTAGCTCATGCAGGTGCCTGCCCTCTCAGGCATAGCAAAAGGTTTGTTTTTGTATCAATCTAACTTCTACTTACAATTATGTGAAACATTTAACATGGTTGTAAGGTCAGATCTGCAAAACAGGGTGTTCAGAGATATCTAGTGCTACTAACTCCCCTGTGTCCCATAAATAACCACTTTACTGGTTTTATGTTTACCCATCCATTCATTATCGTTAATATAAGTAAGCAGGAATATATATTTCTATCTGTCTTTTCAGAGAGAAACAGTAGCATACTACATATACTTTTTCTTACTTTGCTTTTTTTTTTCAGTTAACATTAGTAAGGTTCATGTATTTCCTTCTGCTTTTGATTTTTAGGAATGACCTTTTTTAATGAATTGATCCATCTGATTGATTTCTAAAAATTGCCTGTTCCAAGGTGGTTCAATTCTGCTTTCCAGCAAGGCCTACCACTCTGGGTAAGGGGCAAAGAGCCCCTAGAATTCCATGTGCAGCAGCTTGCAAGAGAATAGGCTATTTTGTGGTTTCTTCCTCTTCTGAACATCATGACCTCACTGCTTCTTCGTGACAGAGTGGGGTCTTGTGAGATGCTGGGAGCAGCACCAGGGCAGGAGCTGGAGACTTAGGAGTCAGGCTCTACTAATGGCAAGGGTCCCACCTTGGGGAGCCCAGCTCTTGCTGCAAAATGAGGACCTTGGACAAGATGTTGACCATTGGCCTTAAAATGGACACTGTGCAGAAGCTGACCCAAACCCACTCCCGGCCAAGCCACAGAACTAGCCAACTTCTCCTTGGAGGAAGGATGTAGACACAGGAGTCTCTCATCATGCAGGGGCCATCACTGGCTTCTCTGCACAGCAGTGGGGCACAGGACTGCTGGGTGACATGGAGCCATGTGGAGAATCAGGGAGACAGGACTGTGAGCAGGAGGCAGAAGAAAGCATGCAAAGCAGGGGTCAAGCAGCAGTTTGAGCAGATGCAGTTCTAGGGAGTTCACGGCTGTGTGAACGTGAGTGCAGCAGCAAGTGACTGGGCAGCTGGTCAGGTGACAGAGGGGTGACTGCTCTCCCAGGAAAAAAGAGGCCATGCCCCCGTGCCTGGCCTGCCCTGACAGGAGGCTCCTTATGTTTTGCCCGCCTGAGGCCGGGCCAATGTCAGCTTCCCCAGGAGGGCCATGTGGGGCCTAGGGGCTCACTGGCCATGGCGCGGCAGGTCCAGAAACTTCCTGACCCACAAGAGTTGCTTTTATTCTCTCTTCCACTGTGAAAATTTCAAGTCTGGAGCCACCCATTCTATATGTTTTTCCTTCTTCCCCCAACCCCCATCACGACTCACACATGCAAAGGCAAGAGGCCAGGAAATATATATGCCCAGAAGGAAAATCATCGGAGGAACAGGATAGAGCTAAACTCTGGGCATCCCAAGGCGGCAGTCTGGGTGGAGCGTTCCATGAAGCCCTGCATTGCACATTCCTGCTTGAGTCCTCTCCCAGCTTCTATGCACAGCTCTGGCTTCCACTCAGTGCAGCTGGAGGAAGAAGGGGACCCCAAACCCCAGAGACATGGTGGTATCTGCTGAGTGGTCCCAGAGCATGCCGAGTGCAGAAGGCAGCTTGCTCCAGAACTTGGAGAGGCACAGGCATTCACTCAAGCCCTTCACCTTCCTCATCCCAGACATGAAATACATAATCACCAAGCTCATTAACCACAGCCCCATGGGGCTATGCGGGACGGAATGTGGGAGAGGAACCCGCTTTCTGCACTGACCAGGTCTTGACTCAGTGTATCTTGGAAGAAAGAAGAGGAGGTCTGAATGCTCGCACCCAGAGGCGGCTTGGTAATTGCAGGTTTTCATAACACTCCGGGAAGGAACAGTCGCTTCTATGGAGAAGCCAGGGAAAATGCTTCGTGGCAACCATTCCCAGGAACGGGGCCATCCTAACCACCAGACCACCCGGGTGTGCCCTTTCCAACTCCTCCGCTTCCCATGACATACAGGATCACAACCAGCCCAGCCCTCCCCAAGAGGCCATCCACAAACATTTACGGAGTGTTTAGTATCTCTGTCCCAGATTGATGGCTGCAGCTCGCAGGGAGGACTGGAGATGGAATGGGAGCGCCTCCTCCTTCTCACCAGACCCAGGCACCTTTGGGTAAGGGAATCTCAAGTCTCCATCATAGCCTATTTTGATGGGGGAAACTTAATCACTGGCAAGAATCCTCAAGACTCCAACTAAATGGGTAGGAACTGGGCTCTGGGACTCAAGACAAAATCCAAGGCTCCACTGGACACTTGGAGATACAGAATCTGTTCAAACACCCTGTCCTCACCTCCTTCCCTCTTTCCCCTTTTAGCTTCCAGTCTTCCAGTCTCCTTCTCTCAAGCATGCACTTGCTTCCTCCACATCCTCCACCTGCCACGTGCTTCCTGCCACGTGCCTGTGCGCCGGCTGTCCCTCCAGCAACACGCTCTCTTGGACTTGCTGCCTGTACATCTGCATGCAAGACATCCAAAGATGCAGCCACAGATGCAGTGAAGAATTGGCGCACTGGCTCTAATTCTTCACTGGCTTCTCACACCTTCCTCCCTGGCTTGGCCTCTTTCCTAACAGTGTTCTCTGCTCCTACCTCTGGGCCTTTGTCTCTGCTCAGTCACTTATCAGGAATGCTCTCCCCTTGCCCTCTGCTGGCCCCATTGCAGAGACGGATCAGGTTCCACCTCCTCCAGGAAGGCTTCTTGGCTACTCTAAACTGCAAAGCCTTTCCTTTCTCTGAAGTTACAGGGCCTTATGGGCTGCACTGTGCCATCACACACACACACACACACACGCACACAAACTGGACATACATGCACATATGCATAGGCACATAACACATGCATATACATACTTGTACACATATTGCACACATGCAATATGCATGCATACATGTGTGCATATAAATGCATATAAACACACATGTGCATATATACCATATATGTATATGTACACAGGAGTACACACACAGCAATATGATATTAAGTGTAAATTGTTCAGTATATCTTAATCACCTCACTCCAACTAGACGGGATGCTCCTCTAATGCCTGGCTCAGTCTAGGCTTGCGAGAAGCATTCACAGAGCCTCCCTTCCTGACCAAAACCTCCTCTCCAGCCCCTGCTTCCTATCCATACAGGGGCTGGTGAAGGGCATTGCTCCCACCACCCTGGGGTCATGAGGTGGGTGAGGTCAACACTGCAAAGTGATTCAGCCTCTTGGAAGTCTTCCCTTTCTCTCCCAGAATGTTGCCGTGATGATGAACAGGATGCAAATGAACCCCAATGAATCCTGGGATTCAAATAATTTTATTTTATTTTTTGAGACAGAGTCTCACTCACTCTGTCACCCAGGCTAGAGTGCAGTGGTGCAATCTTGGCTCACTGCAACCTCTGCCTCCCGCGTTCTAGCGATTCTCCTGCCTCAGCCTCCCGAGTAGCGGGGACTACATGCCTGTGCCACCAAACCCGGCTAATTTTTGTATTTTTAGTAGAGACGGGGTTTCACCATGTTGGCCAAGCCTGTCTTGAACTCCTGGCCTCAAGTGATCCACCTGCCTCGGCATCCCAAAGTGCTAGGATTACAGGCGTGAGCCACTGAGCCCAGCCCAAATAATTTTAATGTAGCTAACCTGGTATTATCTCTGACCACAGCAATGCTGGGGGTGGGGGACAGAAGGTGCAGCCGAGGGTCTCCCCACTCCTTGTCCCAGGGGAAGTGGGTGGGGACTCGAGGTCTCTTTTCCAAACAGCCTGGCCTCTTCCCCTACAGGAAGTTCCCATGCTGGGTTTGAGCCACGGCTCACAGGGCAGGCTTAGCAGAGTTAGAAGAACACAGCGTCCCTCATGGCATTGCCAACTGGCTTTGCTGGGTGGATGCCCAGCTTTATTTTCAAATATCCCTTTTATTGAGCCCCAAATTGTACCCGCCTCCTTGAGAATGAAGACCCCTGCTGAAATGCTCCGAGCATTCTCCGGCTGGAAAGCTTAGTTCTGAGACAGCCCTGAGAGACTGGGGGAAGGGAGGGCTTAGTTATGATTTCCAGGGGGAAGGGCTGCGAGGGTGAGTTGGGAGCAAGCACTCTGGGGTGGGCTGGTGGGAGCTGAGTGTGAAGAGCCAGGAGGGTCCCCACAGGCGTGGCCTGAAGCTGACCTCTTGGCCAGCTGACTTCATCACGGGCTGCAAATGAAAACCCTAGGTGGGCTCAGATAATTTTCCTCCTTCTCCTCAATAATCCTAGTTGCTCTGTGGTGGATGTGCCAGCTCAGCACCCACACTGTCTCCAGACACTGGTGTGCCCTCGACTGCCAGGGAGGGGGGCCAGAGACCCTTGCCCGACAATCTGTTTCCCTGTAACTCCTCCCCAGCCACAGGATGTTCCCTGGGTCTTGGGCATGGCTCCATCAGTGTCTGAGAGCACCCCACTCCTGACCCTGCACTCAGTGGTTTCCACTGGAGACAGTGGTCAGCAAAGAGCTCAGCTAGCCCTATTCAACACTCAGGCTGCGGCTGGATCTGCAGGGTTAATGCACATGGAGGCAGTGACTCCCAGAAGAGACAGGCAGGGGCCCAGCACCATCATTAGAGGACTCAGCTTGATCTTCACTTCCACTCTGAGCACCCACCCCCTCCCACACAGTTTCCCACTTCCCTCTCGGCCCCTCCTCGCCTCCTCCCTTATCTATAATCCACAAACTTGAAAAAGTTAGTGACAGAGGTGTCCGAGTGCCTTGGGATACTGCCTCCCCAGGGCAGCTACGCTTTGGAAGGGACCACAGGGATTATGAATTTTTAACCCAAATAAGCATGCACTAATGATGAAAGTCCAGGCAACCAGGCCCCCGATGCCTCTCAAAATAACGCTCCTCCTCCTCCTTCTTTTTCTGATGATGGTGATGTTGTCTACAGCCACACCACCCTGAACATGCCCAATCTTGTCTGATTATGGTGATGTAGATCAAATATCTGCAAGGCACACCACGGCCTCTATTGAAAACGCGAATGAATGAAACCCTTAGACAGCTCTCACATCAGTGACATGTGCCTCCTCCTGCCTTGCACAAATTGGAGACCCTGGCTGGGATCTGGACAGCTCTGTCCCTCCGTGGCATGGCTGGGGAGGGCTGGAGGGCATACAGGAGCAGGTCACACTGGCCAGGCCATATTGTCTGGAGGAGAGGCAATGCTGCGAGCCAAAGGAACTTGAAGAGGGTAACAAGAAACCTCATGTCCAGAAGGAGCTGGGGAAGGATGGGCTGCCGAGAACAAGAAAGAAAGAGACCTCTTCTTACACCTGAAGATGCTTTGGGCTCTTGTTTTAGCTTCAAGCTGTGGCTCCCATAGAAGGGGACGGCTTTGCAGCAGCTTCTCCAGGGGGGATGCTGGAGGCAGTGGTTGCCCTGTGGTGGGCATAAAAAAGGTCCAAGCAGGGCAGTGTCCGGCTGGTCAGCCCCGTCATCAAGGTAAGAGCTGTCTCCTGGGTGTGCACTGCCCTGCTGGTCCCCTTCTGCCTTCTCGGGGTTGCCTTACAACCTCAGTGAAGCAGGGGAAACAGGCTTCTATTTTTCCTACAGCCTTCCAGGTTCTTCTGTTACCCCTGAGGCATCACTGGCTACTCCTGGGTACCCCGAATCCTGAGGTCTCCCGTGGCAGCCTCTGGCAAGGCCTTCTGCAGTTCCACATCAAAACGTACCCCAGGGAATGGGAGTCCTGCTTGGATAGGCCTAGGTCTGCCTCAAAAGGCATGTGAGCCCGGCGGCCAGGTGAATGCACTGCTGCAGCATGGTCTCCTCGGCTGTAAGGTAGGAATGGAAACTTCATTCTCTTCGGGGTGTTGGAAGATTCATGATAACCTACAACAAGAATTGGCCAATGGTGGCCTGTGGGCCGAATGGAGCCGCTATCTGGTTATGGAAACAGAGTTTTATTGGCAAGCAGTCACTTTCATTCATTTATATATTTCTATAACTGCTTCTGTGCTACAATGGCAGAGCTGAGGAGTTATGATAGAGACCCTATGGCCTGCAAAACCTGAAAGATTTATTCTCTGGTCCTTTGTAGAAAACTTTGCTGACCCCTAATCCAGATAGAATGCACAGCCTAGGAGGTGTCCCATAAAAAGCAGCTTCAATAATTGCTGTTATAATAAGCGGGAATGAAGTCACTGCAGTGGTAAGGGACCATTGGGTTTCTGGTCCCAACCCGCTAAAAACTAAAGAGGTCTTCTTTATTCAGTGGTTTATATGGATAATTTCCATATAAGACTTTGAAGAAATCCCATCCATCCACACACCTTTCACTTATCACAGACAAACCAAGCCCTTACTAGGTCCCTAAGCTGAGTTAGGTGGCCACTGGGAAGACATTGTTGAGATGTGGTTTGTGCAGTTCTCCAGGAATGAGAGGGTTAACGGAGTTCCACTCAGGCATAGAGGGTGGGGAATATGGTGACAAAGGACCAATGGTGGGTTAGGAAATGGGGACCTCTCCATTCTCCAGAAGCTTCCAGGCATCTCTCCCTATTCCAAAGGATTTGTCCTGAATTGACCATCATAATGAGCCTTCTCTACTCCCTCCCAGTGATGCCCATCAGCTGCTGGTGAGGCTGCACAGCTCTTGGGGGTCCTGGTGGTCTGCAGAGTGGGCCTGGAGCTTTTGAGAGAAGGTGCTGCAGGAGGTGGTCCTCCCTTGTGGGTTTTAAACCCCAACAGGGTAGGCACTGTCTGCCTCTCTGAGCCCCAGATCAAAGAGGAATGACCATTTCCTGAGCACCCAAAGGGGCCACACACTGCTCCATGAGCACCCCTTCTCTTTCTCAGCTTCTTCTTTCTCATCCTCATGCCTTTTCCCTGGCCCCCAGACCCTTCCAAATGGTTCTCCACTTTTCTCTTCTCCCCCAACTGCCCCATGCCTGCCTCTCTGGGCTGGGAGAGTTTCCCCAGAGCAGGGTCATCTGACAGGATTTTTGCCATGATGAAAACGTCCTAGAGCAGCATGGTCCACTGTGGAAGCCCCTCACACTGCGGGAGGCCCCTCATGCTGCGGGGGTCCCTCACACCACGGAAGCCCCTCACACTGCCAGAGGCCCCTCACACCACAGGGGGCCCTTCACACTGCGTTCATCGTGGGGGCCCCTCAAGCTGCGGGGGCTCCTCACACCACGGAAGCCCCTCACACCGCGGAAGCCCCTCACACCTCAGGGGCTCCTCACACCGCAGAAGCCCCTCACACCGCAGAAGCCCCTCACACCACAGGGGCCCCTCACACCGCAGGAGCCCCTCACACAGCAGAAGCCCCTCACACCACAGGGGCCCCTCACACCGCAGAAGCCCCTCACACAGCAGAAGCCCCTCACACCACAGGGGCCCCTCACACCGCAGAAGCCCCTCACACCGCAGAAGCCCCTCACACCGCGGAAGCCCCTCACACCGCGGAAGCCCCTCACACCACAGGGGCCCCTCACAGCGCAGGGGCCCCACACACCGTGGAAGCCCCTCACACAGCAGGAGCCCCTCACACCGCAGGGGCCCCTCACACAGCAGGAGCCCCTCACACCGCAGGGGCCCCTCACACCGCAGAAGCCCCTCACACCTCAGGGGCCCCTCACACCCCAGGAGGCCCTCACACTGCGGGGGCCCCTCACACCGCGGAGGCCCCTCACACTTCGGGGGCTCCTCACACCACAGGAGCCCCTCACACCTCGGGGGCCCCTCACACTGTGGAGGCCCTTCACCACATGTGGCTAGCCCTGAATGTGGCCAATATGACTGCAGAACTGAACTTGTGGCTTTATTTAATTGTAATGGGTGTAAATCACCACAGGCAGCTCGTGGTGACTGCGCTGGGCAGCACAGCTGTGGACAAAGCCGGCTACTATTACTTCACCTGAGACTCCACCTGGAGGTGAAGCCTCCTGAGGCAGTCCTCCCAGGGATGCCTCAAAATGCAGGGAAGGGCATCTGGGTGGATTGGAAAGAGCGGATTAACAGGAGTCCTCTTCTGTCCATCGCCACTGTCCCACCACTGGGTGCTCCCTCACAATCTTTCCTCATGCCTGCCAAAATATTTCCGTTTCTGAGGGACTTCTCTCCACAGCATTCTGAACCCCCACCATATCTGGTCCTCTACCCGAGGCAGGACCACCCTCCCCAGACAGGAAGACAACTCCAGATCACCACGGATCCCCAAGTGGGTGAAAAAGGAGCACGTGTTTTCCACCACAGGACCAACATTCCAGAACCCTGTGGAAAAGAATCCAGACGTCTGGATGTCTGGGACCAGCCTCAGCTCTGCAAGGCCTGGAGTAAATCGCATCACCTTTCTGAGTCTCGCTGATCTCACTCTTCTCATGGGGACGCCAGCTCTCATCCTACTGCCTCCCAGACCACTGGCGGCTGCTGTGAGAAAGGCTGGGGGAGCCATCTTTATTTGTGTTGTTAATATTTGGGTTATTTTCCCACCTAAGCAAGGAAGCCTTCTCTGTCAGTGTCTGACAGATGCAAGGATTTCAATACGCTTCCAATTAAAGCCCAAACTTTTTATAATCATTGAGATTATAGAGTTTAAGGGAAAATAATTACATGTGTGAGTGTGTGTCTGTGTGTGTGGTAGTGGTGGTGGGGGGAACGTGGGTGTGTATCTTGGAAAGTTTCCTTTTCCCAGAACTATCTGCTGGACCCCCTGGGTAAGAGGGGTGTTCCAAAGTTCTGGCAACAGCATCCCCTGGCTTCAAATCTTCCCCAGGCAGGAAGCGTCTTCACTGATGCCCCACCATGGAGAGGGGCCATGGGCAGGAAGGATGGAAGCGCAGAGGGGAGGACAGGATGAGGAGGGCATTTGTAGAGAGGTTTGAAGTTGAATCAGAACACACAAAAACCCTCAACCCATTCAAAGCTACCGGTGAGTTTCACTAGATCATTTAAAGTGGGGGGAAAAAGCAATGGTACAGGAAGGAACTCAAAACAGATAAAGGTGGCTCCCAGTGGTCCCCACCTCCTGACACTCAAACTCTTGTTTAGTCCCTTGCCACATCACGGTTAGTCTGTGACCAATGGAATATGGCAGAAGGGATGGTATGTTGCTTTGAGACCAGGTTACAAAAGATCCAACAGCTTATCTCTCTCTTTCCTTCTCTCTCTCTCTCTCTCTCTCTCACTCTCCCCCTCCCTCCTTCACAGGCCACTCACTCTGTCATGAGCACCCTACAGAGAGGCCCACGTTGCAAGGAAATGAAGCCTCCAGCCAACAGCCAGTGAGGAGCCAAGGCCTGCCAGCAACCACATCCGTGAGCTGGGAAGTGGCTCTTCCAGTCCCATCTGAGTCAAGTGTCAGATGACCGCAATCCTGGCCAACAGCCTGACCACAATCTCACGAGAGACCCTGAGCCAGAACTCCCCAGCTATATAGCTTCTGGATGCTTGACCGTCATAAACTGTGTGAGATCATAAGTGCTTATTTTAAGCTGCTAAATTTGGGGAGTAATTTGTTACACAGCAAGAGATAACTAATACAGCTTTGGGTACTTGGAAGTAGGGTGCTGCCATAGTGAAACTCTGCAATGTGAGAGTGGCTTTGGTACTGGGCAGTGGGCCGGAGCCAGAAGCATTCTGGGGTGATTCTTAGTGAAAACTTCAAATGCCATGAAGAGACCACTGGTAGAAATATGGACTTTGAGGAGACTGGTGATGGGGGCTTTAAGGGAGGTGAAAAATATATTATTGGGAATTAGAGGAAGGAGGATTTTTATTATGTAGCCCCAAAATGTTTAGCAACATTGTCTCCTACAGATATGTGAAAAGCAGAAAATGTACTTAATGACTTGCATTATCTAAGGAAGAAGTTTTTAGCCAGGGTCCTGCAGGGGCTGCCTGGTTTCTTCTTGCTAGGTAAAATGTGAGAAGAGAGAGACAAGTTAAAAGAAGGGCTGTCACAATAAAAAAAAATCCAGGACTTGCTAGTTTTGAAGAGTCCCAGACTGTCCAGATGGCAAATGATGCTAAAATTAGGAAATGACTTCTGCGTAAAGATCAAATCCAGGCACTCTCAGGAAAGCATAGTCCAAAGATGAGGTGGAGGGTGTGGCTATGAAGTCTTTGTCAAGATCTTAGAAAGTTCAGCGGTGCTGCCTCAGAGTACTATTCAGTCAGACCAAAAGCTCTGTAAAGATTTTAAGAGATGTTAAAGATCTTCTCAGTCAAACAACAGAGCTTCTAAGAAGCTTAAGGGCATTGTCCCTCAGCAGAAGCCCAGCGGAGAGAAGGGATGGTCTTGAAGAGATGTGTGGGTGGGCTTTTATTTGGTGGAACAGACTCAATAGGATCACAGAAGACCCATAAAGTTTTTCAAAGGATTATTTCAGTGGAAACACAACAACTTGGACTGGAAGGGAGAGACACAGTACAAAATATAAAGAAGCTCTTGGACCTCCCAAATTCTACCAGCAGGAAGCTATCTGAGCAACAAATCAGCTGCAAAGACATGCTACCTTTCATAGAAAAGGAAGGATGACTCAGAGGCAGAACCAAGAGCCCAGAGTATTCACTGGGCTCATGACTTGCTGCAATCTCATGAAAGACCCTGAATGCAGAGGGCGGAGACAGCCTTGTAGAATAATTCCTGGGCAGGAACAGAACTGAGTTCTAATCAAGAAACTTCCAATATCTGCCTGGCTGGATTTCAGAACTGCTATGGACCAACAATGTCTATGTGCTTCTTGTTTCCCCTCTTCTTGAATAAGTGTATCTAAGGCTGTTACCCTATGCCTGTCCCACAATTGTATGTTGGCTACGTGTGTGTGTGTGTGTGTGTGTGTGTGTGTGTGTGCAGCTAACTTGCCTCCTTAAATCTCAGGCCTACAGATCAAGAGTGAACTGTACCTGAGGTGCTGTACTTAAGGAGATACACCCAAAGAGCGTCATCTGCATCTGAACATGATCTAGATGATGAGACTTTGGACTTGGAGCTGATGCTATAATCAAATGAGACATTGGGAGGGGTGAGACTATTTTGCATGTGAGTCACTGGGAATGAGAGGGTGGGTTGTGGTAGTCAGCCTCTAAGATTGTCCCCAGTGATCCCCACTTTATGGAATTTATATCCCTGTAAAGTCCCCTCCCACACTGTACCAAGGTTAGTCTATGTGACCAACAGAATATGGTAGAATATGGCATGTCACTTCCAAGATTAGGTTACAAAGCATACTGCAGCTTCGATCTTGGTGTCTGTCTGTCTGCTTGTCTTCCTGTCTGTCTCTCTTGGATCATACTCTGGGACAAGTCAGCTGCTATGTCATGAACAGCCCTATGAAGAGGTCCACCTTGTGACCAACAGCTAATGAGAAACTGAGAACTGCCAACCACCTTGTGAAGGAGGCTGTTCTCCAACTGCTTGGGCTTTCTCCAGCCCCAGTCATGCCTTCAGATGCCTACACCCCTGGCTGACAGTTTGACTACACTCTCAAGGGTGACTTTGAGCTAGGACAACCCTGTTAAACTGCTCCTGGATTCCTGACCCTTGGAAACTGGGTGACATAATAAATATTTGTTGTTTTAAACTCTACGTCTTGGAGAAATTTGTTACACAGCAATAGATAACCCCAATACAAACGTCCAAGCCAAGCTCCATTTCCAGCAAATTATCATTGGAAATGATGATTAGCAGAGTCCTAAAGCAATCACATGCACACGTACATATCCACAACTATAAACATAAACCGAACATGTGTGATTCAAACACAAATATAGGCAATAAGTCCTCAGGTTTGTGTTGCCCTTGGCATTTTACCTCCTTTCTGAGCATCACCTCATTTGAACTGCAGAACACTCTTACAAGGTGGATATCGTATTTTATAGTTGAGCAACATGCCTCAAAGAGGTGAAGGGATGTCTTGAGGCTACATATCTAGTGACAGGACTCGAATGAAGTCTAGGCAACTCAGCATTCTCAAAGGACCACCTACACATTAGGCTGGAATAAGGGCCCTGGTGTGGCTCCTGTGATATGACCTCCAGGCAACAAAGTCAGAGGCAAAATGTGGGTTTGCCTCAAGTGGGATGGTTTTAGGCTCTTAGGAGCAAAAAAATCTGCCTTGAAATAACATGACATATACCCACCCTCACCTACCTCCCACACGTGGGAGCTTCTCAGTGTGCCAGAAACTAAATCATTCTCTTAACTCTGGGTAATCACTGAAGGCTCAAGTGAAAATGCAAAGTAACATGCCCTGGGTTACCATTAAGGGTAGATCAACCACTGACACACCAGTTCACAAAACGGGATGCAGGAGCAGTAAATCTGGGGTCAAAAGGGGCCGCATGAGAGTAGAGGAAGGTGGGAGCTCCTCCTCATTCTCACCCTAAGGGGGTGGTGGGAAGGCAGAAGGTGGCTGTCCTTGACTGCTTGTAGAGTAAGGAAGCACAGTCAAAATACACCGGGGCTGTCTCCCGGAAAGGGCGCCGAGGCTCCCCTGCCATCCTAGGAGGGGCGTTGGGACAGGAATTGGGATGGTGGAGCCTTGGGAGGGAATTGGCCTTTGTGTGCTCTGCCTAAAGAGGCCCTGATGATCACTGTTCCTACCCTACCCCTGACTGAGCACCGCCAGCCCTCCTGAATATCAGGGCACAGTCAGAATCCTGCCCTCTAAGTGTCTCACCCCAGCCTCCGCCCAGCCTCTTTGCACCGTGGCTGCAGCTCACAGCTCAAAGGCAGCAAGCTTCCTGCTCAGGGTGACCAGGCCGAGCCATCTGCTCCCTGACATGCAGAGCCAGTCTGGAACACGTGTTTGCTGTGGCCACACAGACCACCAGACCAAACATGCACACCACCCCAGAACACATTTTCTCTTTCTAAAAACATTTCTCATCTTTGTTTCAAGTTCACACATGTCTTTTCTTGAGTTCAATGTCAGTCCTGACAAGTAATAAGCCTAAAATTAGATCTTTTGTCCACCAAATCCTCCCCTTGAAGCTGAAAGACAGAGTTCAAAGCCAACACAAGGGCAGTCGTATTCCTGCAGGCGGGTGTCAATGCAGATAATGTGGGCTCCAGGCAGCAGCTTCTGTTTTGGGCTCCTCTATCCACCTGCTGAGGTGACTCAGGATCCCGGGGCTTGCCCTCCAGACATGAATGAATGTGTGTGCTGGATGCTCTCCGGCCCTCTGCCCTTCCCTAAGTCCCTCAGTGGCCGCACCTGCTTCAGGTGAGCCCAGGAGCTCACACACAGCAGGGAAAGCTCTCAGTCTGTGTCAGGCTGGACCCCGCCCAGCAGCTGTAGGGAAGGTCAGGGAAGAGGATCAAGGGAGGATGAATGAGGCCATGAATAGTAAGGGGTGGAGGAGTAGGAAGGAGTCAGCAGAACCTGCAGAATCAGAGGAGGCCAGCAGGAACAAGAGGCAAGGGAGAGGGACTGAGGTACAGGGGCTGGTCAGTGTTGGGAGCAGGACAGAGACAGGCCTGTTCAAAGAACAGCGAGAAGACTGGGGTCTGGAGAGCACAGCGAGTGAAGACAGTGGGTGGGAGGGTAGGTGGGGACAGAGCTGAGGGCAGGTGGAGCAGGCCATCTACAAGGAGCAGGGGGTCAGGGAGCGCGAACCAGTTGAGGATTCCAAAGGCCTATTTGAAAGGTTAGAAGCTGTTTGATAATGCCATCCCACAAGTTGTTGGTGAGTCTGTGTCCACCTACAAGGGGGACCTAAATCCTGGTGCCCAGGCTGTTCATCTGTCCAGGCCTACTTGGAAAGAATGGGCAACCCCATCCAGCCCATAATTTGAAGGGCATTGAAATCCCTGCAGGTGCTTAGAGACATGGAGAAGGTGGCATATGCTGCTGCTACAGAGATGACTACACCAAGCACCCAGGGGACAACTTCATCTTAATTTCCCCCGTGGGTGCTAAGTACAGGCATCGCCTCTGGGAACTTGAGGGCCTATCTTCTTGAGCTATTTTATTTCTGTTTGCTGGTGTCTTGCCTAATTGAGTCCCTGCATCACTTTTGGAAACCAAGGCCTCCCAAAATATTCCAAACTGTAATAGAGGCCACCTTGGCTTCCCCAAAACACATGCATTGGAATAAATGGCTATAATTAAATTACTGGGAAGACTCAGAAATAACTCTTGGAGTTCAGGGTAAATGCCGACCCAGGAGGAAAGCTCCTTGGTATTTTTAAAACCTGTGCCCCTGTCTCTCCTGGGGAGCCCTGAGGAGTGAAAGGCACCCTCATGCTCTGGGTTTGTCCTCTTGGGAGTCAGGGGAGCCAACAGCTGGAGGAAGCTCTCCTCTGGCCGGGCTGCCTCCCCACCCCCTGAGCTGCCCACCACTCCAGAACTCACAGAACTTTCCCTCTGGGTGCTCATCGAGTGGGGTCCCCACAATCTGGGAAATCCCTGGTCAGTTTCGAGGGCTTCCTAAATATGTCTATTCATGAATCATCCAGACAAGGAAAGTAATCTATGGGCAGGACTGACCTAGTGCAGGTGGGGAGAAGGTGGGAGGGTGGGTGACCCTGTCTGAGGGTCTCATCTGAAATCTCATCATTCATTCATTCATTCATTCATTCATCCCTTTGAATGAGGCAGCAGCCCTCCCCTAGTCCATTTGACATGACAGCCCCCTCACCCCAAAGAGGACCATGCCGTCTTTAGCTCCCCGTGCATGTGAGTTGATCAGGTGGTTAACAGGGGGAGTATGTAGGAGGCAGCCAGGGAGGGGCCCAGCAGACGGAAGCTGAGTCTGCAGATGGGGAAGGAGGGGGTCCCAGAGCAGTGGGTTGTTAGCAGCACACGCCTGGAAGCCAGGCTGCTTGTGTCGCTTCACTTTTCTGGACTAGTGACTTTCCTCATCTGTAAATTGGAAATAAAAATAGCATCTCCTTCCTAAGGTCATTGGGAAGACTATATGAGCTAAAGGGTGCCCTGAATACAGTGAGTGCTCTGGAAGTGCTTGTGAATTGCTGAGTGACATCCAGGCTTGGCAGAGGGTGGGCCAGGCTTGCCTGGGAGTCTAGCGAAAAAGACCCTCAGAACCAGTGGGATGCACAGCCTGCTACATCAATGAGTACAGCCAAGTGCTTACACCTATGAGCGCCGATGGGTATGGCCGGGTGCTTACACCTGTGAGCGCCGATGGGCACAGCCGTGTGCTTACACCTGTGAGCGCTGATGGGTACGGCCGGGTGCTTACACCTGTGAGCGCTGATGGGTACGGCTGGGTGCTTACACCTGTGAGCGCTGATGGGTACGGCCGGGTGCTTACACCTGTGAGTGCCGATGAGTACGGCCGGGTGCTTACACCTGTGAGCACCAACAGGTATGGCTGGGTACTTACACCTGTGAATCTTGCGGTCCTGGGCAGCATACGATCTCAAGAGGACAGAGAGGCTGGGTGCTGTGGCTCATGCCCTTAATCCTAGCACTGTGGGAGGCTGAGGTGAGAGGATTGCTTGAGGCCAGGGGTTCAAGACCAGCTTAGGCAACATGGCAAAACCCTGTCTCTATAAAATAAAAAATAAAAAATTTAGCCAAGTGTGGTGGCACGTGCCTGTGGTCCCAGTTACTTGGGAGGCTGAGGTGGGAGGATCACTTGAGCCCAGCAGGTCGAGGCTGTCGTGAGCTATAATTGTGCCACTGCAACTCCAGCCTGGACAACAGAGTGAGATCCTGTCTCACAAAAAAAAAAAAAAAAAAAAAAAAGCACAGGGCCAGGAGTATGAGGCTTAGCCTAGTATGACTGTGTGCCAGATCTGGGGAAGGAAAAATATACACAGGGGCAGCAGGCATGGCTGCCTTTCTAGAACCTTCTGGACAGGGCACATGGGCTGAGCTGAAGATACACGAGACACTGGTTATTTGCACTGAAAGCCCTGGCCAGCCTCCAACATGTCTTTCAGAACTGTCTTTCCCATCCCATGGTTAAGGAATGGAATATCCCTGAGAAGTGTCCCTTTTCATCTTCACCTCGCACTCTCTCTAATACATTGTAGAGCTGAAATCAGAGCCCTATTTTATAGCTGAGAAACTGTGTACCCTTAAAGTGTAAGAGAATTGCTCTGAACCACACCACAAGTATGAAAATCCAGATTCCATGACTTCTGGTCCAGTGTTCTTTTCTTCCTGCACAGGAGTGAGTGTCAGGACAGAGAGGGGGGGATGCACGTTCTCTGAGGTTAGACTCAGAGCCGCACACAGGGTCAGGACTTCCCTCGTATCTGCCATCACATGGCATCTAATGGCATCCCTGTAGTCTGCACAATGGTGTCCTTGGGGACATAAGAAGAATGGTTTGTCCAGGGCCCAAGATCCCCTGGCTGGTGAGAGATGAGCTCGTCTTGAAGCCAGTGAGCCTCGCCCTGGGCCTGGGCTGCCCACCAGACACACTGTCCCCGGGGAGGGCTGGGCTGGCTTGGTGCCAGAGGCCAGGTTGCTTGGGGCTCCGGAGAGGAATGAAGGGTTGGGTGTTAGTGTTTGTGAGCCAATCCTCAAATGCCTAGCATTTCAGTAGAGACTAGACCTCTGAGGAGGAATGAAACCAGCTTGGGTGGCTGGTTCCCAAGGCGTCCATTCTACGTCCCATCCTAGACGCAGACCTTGGGGAAATGGCATTTATCTCTCCAGGGCCAGTTTCTCAGGGAGCAGCCCTCCTGTCCTGCAGGTAACTAGACATGTGCCCCTACGTCCTCTTCAGTCACCTTTCTTGTCATTGGGTCTCCCTTTGCTATTTAGGGCTTAAGGGGTCTGAAGGAATTCTAATTGCTGGGGAAAAGGGGATTATTGTGATCGAGAAAGAGTAGTACTCTGCTCTCCAACTGTGGGCACAGAACTAGGGGATGCCCACTGCCTGGTGGGCACAGGGGGTTCCAGGGCTCTGCCAAAATGAGCTGTAGGCAACCTCTTTTCTTACCCATTTGTCCCCCGCGTGGATGTGGGTCCCGATGGGAGAGAACCCCCAGAGCCTTGTATTCCCATGAAGTGTGATGCTGGGAGGAAGTCCTGAGCATGGGGATCGGGGGAAGGTATATCCCTCATGGGTGAGTTGTGGGCCAGCCTCAACAGGGCCACTCTCTGCAGCTTGTTCTGCCCAGGAGTGCGGCCTGAGGCAGCTGCACTGTGCAAAGGATTATTGGGACCATCATGATTTGTACAAAGCGTGGGGCTTTCTCTGGGTGTATCAGGGGCTCCATTTCAATCAAGCATGGACCTGGACATCTGGCTTGAAGAAATGAGCTGCTCTTCTTTTCAAGAGAGAGCCTGCTTGGGGGTGGGCGTGAGGGAGGAGGAGAAGGATCCTAAAAATAATTCTTATCTGACTCATTTTGCTTAGAATCTGACAGGGCTGCCTGCCAGGTGGGGGTTTGCCTGTCCCATTTTCTTATCTATCTTTAGCAGGGACTTAATGAGGGCAATTTCCTTGCTGGGATGGAAAGACAAACCGTGGGCAAAGTGAGCATAGATCTGTCTCGCGGTCCCTGGGCTCGGATGACAGGATGGCAATGACAGTCACTGCAGGGCTGAGCTGTCTGCGAGGGCCTCAGCAACAGTGGCATCCCAGCATGGTGCAAATGAAGCAGTGATAGGCTCAGTCAAACCATGCAGGACAATGACCACTGGAAGAAGCATCCCCCCCGTCCCCATCTCATCCCCTAGCGAAGCTACCACCACACACGAACAAGATAAATCACTCAGACCTAAGATCCTGTTGCCTACAACATACTTCTTTATCTTCAGCATCTCTCTACTCTGTTTTAAAGAGCAAGTACGGTCACTTCTCATTATTTATGGTAGTTGCATTCCATAAAGTTGCTGCAAATACTGAATTAGTGAATACTGAACTATTACTCCTAGGGGAAATGCGGGGTTTGGTTCCTGCAAGCCTCTGGTCACAACATTTTCACCACTGGATCAATACATAACCTCGTTTTGTATGTGTTTCTGTTTAAAGAAACCTTATTTAATACATATTGTTGATTTATTAACATTGAACTCACGGCCAACAGCACTATAACTCATGCCTGAGTGATGCTTATCTAACACACACATTTTCTCCGGAAGGCACATCACAGCCTCCTTGCGCTTAAGAACAGTAGACGGCACTTCAGTACTATGTTTAGGAGCCATTTAAAATAGCAAATTCACCAAGGAAAAGCACAAAAATGTGAAAAACATGGCAGTAAACAGAACCATGAGAAGGGTGCTTGCTTATACTATGAGAGCTGAAACAAGGAGGCAGAGTGTTACTTTGGCCTGGACTGGGATCTTGCAGGTCAGGCAACTCAAATTTTTCACTGTTTGTGTGTCAATGACTGACTGCAAAAACACCATGAGTATTGAGTGCGGTGTTACAAATAAGTTTTACAAGTAGGCGAATGTGCAAATATGAATCAATGAGTAATAAGGATGGACTGCACTTCCAAAAGAGCTATCTTAACAACTCATGTGAATGAGCTGATGTATAGATATAGGACTCCGACTAGGTTAATTCCTCATCAGTTCCCGGTGGGCAAGATCTGGGGGACCTGGTCATTTTTGTAGGATGTGGGACTCTATGACTGGTAGAGTGTTCTGAGGTGCTAAAAGGAGCAGCAAGTTCCAGATAGCAGCTGTGACTTAAAGAGAGGGATGTCGAGAGGCACTTGGTATCCCCCAGAGTCCTTGCCCATGAGCCCACATGTGAAAAGGAATGTGGGGCCTCCTGTAGTCACAGATGACCATCAAAGCCTGGGATACAGAAGCCACAGCAGTGTCAAGGAATGGGGCTTAAAAATATTAAAGACAATTCTAGAAGCATATTTTCGTATTGAGAGTGAGAAGTCAGAGGGACACATGAGGCTACTGATGGGGCAGACAGCGTAGAATTAAGAGGTGGCAAAAAGAAAGCAGACCTCTCCCACTCCAAGTTTGCCTTCTGCAAGAGAACAGGTACCAGCCCAGAAAAGGCAGCTGCAGTTGCCGCATCTGTCAGACGCTGAGGGCCTGGAAGACTCCACGGAGAGCAATGGGTGCTCTGAGTGCTCACCTTCATGCCTCGGGAATGGGGCGATATTGATATTGATTGGAGTAAAAGAAATCTTTACATGAGGTCATAAATGGCCCCTGACCATGTCTGAGGAATCCTGGAGAACAGATATAAGGGTTAATTTCATGTCAACCTGACTGGGCTAGGGGGTGCCCAGTTAGCTGGTAAGACATTATTTCTAGGTGTGTCTATGAGGACATTTTCAGTCAGTAGACTGAGTAAAGATCTCTCTCCCAGTGTGGATGGGCACCATCCAATCCGCCAAGGGCCCAAACAGAACAAAAGGCAGAGGAGGGGTGACTTCACTCCCTCTTCTTGAGTGGCGACATCCATCTTCTCCTGCCCTTGGACATCCCATGCTGTAACACATGGTATGCTTACGGTCACGCTGGGAACCTCATACATGCTCCTGTTTCTTGGCCTTCGGACTTGGGTTGATTACACCACTGGCTTTCCTGGTTCTCTAGCTTGCAGCAGATGGCAGACTGTGGGACTTCTTGGCCTCCATAATCTCATGAGCCAATTCCCATGATACATCTCTCTCTCTTCCTCTCAATATATCCTATCAGTTCTGTTTCTCTGGAAAACTCTGAATAATGCAACAAAAGTGTTAGAGACTGTAGCTAGGTATACACAGTCTAATTTTCAAAAATTGGAAAAATATGGATATCATTTCTCCAAAAGAGATTGCCAAACAGATGGTTTGGAAGAAAAAAGGTGACCACTAATAGCTAGCACAGGTTCACACAGACCAAGTCATGGCCAGACCAAATCTATGTCCTTTTTTGAAACAGTTACTAGCCTGACACATTTAGGGAACCCTGAAAATATCAAGGTTGAAGAGGTAGCTGGGTATGGTGGCTTGTGTCTATAATCCCAGCTACTTGGAAGGTTGACGGGAGAGGAGCACTTGAGGCCAGGAGTTTGAGACCAGTCTGGGCAACATAGCAAGACTCCATCGCTACCAATCAATCAAGCAATAAAAATAAAATTAGTCAGGTGTGGTGGCGGGTGCCTATAGTCCCTAGAACTACTCAAGAGGCTGAGGCAGGAGGATTGCTTGAGGCCAGGAGTTCAAGGCTGCAATGAACTATTATTGCACTACTGTACTCCAGCCTGGGTGACAGAGCAAGACCCTGTTGCTAAAAAAAATTTTGAAGGGGTGTTTCAAGAGGCTTGCCACATCACTTCATCCTGGGACCTGCCTTATTCTTTAAATTTTTTTTAATTGAGATATAATTCACACAGTACAAAATTCACTCCTTTAAAGTATATAATTGAGTGCTTTTTAGTCTATTCACAAAGTTCCATATGTCCTGTTTGTTTTTATCAGTGACTTAGATGATGTTACAGAGAGCTTGAAAAATCCAATCTGATGACTGACACTTAGGGTCTGGGTTCACGTTGGCAGAGGAAGAGAGGGAGGGACAAAATTCTTATTATTTATTTATTTATTTATTTATTTATTTATTTATTTATTTATTTTTTAAAGACAGATTTTCGCTCTTGTTGCCCAGGCTGGAGTGCAATGGCGTGATCTCGGCTCACTGCAACCTCCGCCTCCCAGGTTCAGGCAATTCTCCTGCCTCAGCCTCCCGAGTAACTGGGATTATAGGCTGCACCACCACGCTCGGCTAATTTTGTATTTTTAGTAGAGACGGGGTTTCTCCATGTTGATCAGGCTAGTCTCAAACCCCTGAACCTCAGGTGATCTGCCCGTCTCAGCCTCCCAAAGTGCTGGGATTATAGGCATGAGCCTCCACGCCCGGCCCCAAAATTCTTAATTGGTTCTACATTTAGAAGACACCAAATCACAGTCACGGTCAATCGCAGGACAGAGGCAGCAAGCGCTGCTGTAGGCTGTGGCCACCCTGCAACGTCCAGCATGTGGCCCACTCCGCACGCCAGGTGGATGGCTCGCTCCCCTGCCTCTAGTCCTGCGGAGCCATCTGACACTAGCTGGGCTGGCTAAGGTCTTTTTCTCTTCTTCCTTTCAATCTGCTTTGCACATGGAGTAAATTAACCATTCCGAGACCTCACTTAATGAAACAAATTAATTTGGAGAATGGCTCTCTTGTCTCCCTGGCCGCACAGGCACGGTGCGATGGACCACTAATGCCTACATTAGCCACCTCTTCTGATGGTTAAGAGGCCGGGCTTTGGAGCCTGCAGGGTCTTCTGACATTGCTGACAGTCGGGCGGGATCATCTGGAGCTGGCAGGCTCCAGTGGCTTTTCCCTTCTATGTAGTTCAATTGGGGGTGGTGGCCGCTGTGAGCACCACCCACATGGCTCTGTTTCTAGGGAGCCATGTGGGGACGACTTCTGGGGATGTGGGGAATCCCTGGCTCCAGAGCCTGCTTAGATGCAGAGGAGCATTTAGAGGACACCAAGCCACAGTCACGGTCAATCACAGGACAGAGGCAGCAAGCACCGCTCCTCTCATCCCAACACCCTCCCATCTCCCAAATCCTCCTGGAGGTCTCACTAGTAGTTCAAGCCCCACCTCCTCCAGGAAGCATTCTGGAGCATCTCCCAGGATGGCTGCTTTCTCTAAGCCTCCTCCCTGTTAACACGTGGATGACTGACAGTCATGCACAGCGTTCTGGTTGCTTCTGGAGTCAAGGCACCATTGTGCAAGCTACAGCTCAGGCCCTCGAGAGCAGGGGCCACACCCTATACTTCCCGTATTCTCGGGCACAGCTTATGGCACAGGGTACAGCCCAACCAATCCCAGTAGGAGAACTGAACAGTGCTTCACTGCAGTGTCTGCTGTGATACACATTCAGGAGCGGGGCACTGCCTCCCGGCTGCTGGAAGTGCTGTGCAGACAGCCCTCAGCTGCCAACCCCTAGGACAACTGCTCTGGGCAAAGAGCGCAGCCCCGCCCAAGGTAACGCTCCCTTCCTTGGGCAGTCCCTGCCTGATGACCAACAGACATGGAGGTATCAAGGCCTGCCCCTTTACCCCATCTTGGGACAGCTCTTAAAGAGTCAGCCCAACTTCAGAACCTCCCCTACAGGCTCAGAACTCTCTAAGACTGCACTGCAGCCCAACTTCTCTCTGCTGATACCACTTCCTCTTTTGATCTTCTACCAGTATCAACACCAAAGGCATGCCTTTAAAAGCAGCTGCTGATAATCACTGTCCCAGAGCCTGCTTCCCAGGGAGCTCAGGCTACAACATCCATTCATTGCCTTAATGTGTTCATCTCTTAAATGCAGCCAGGGTGTGGTGGGGAGAGAAAATATCCTCCCCAGCGGTGAGGGACCTCACTCAGGGTCAACTTGGGCAGTGCGCCGGGTCTCCAGCCCTCTAGTGAGCTTGCTCTTCTGGTCTATGTGCTCTGGGCAGAAAGCTTTGAGAAAAGGGGGGGAACGAGCCTTAGCAGCCCCCGTTCCAAGCAACAGGTCTCCAACTTGCATGGGGCCAGAGCATCAGAAGGCATGCTGCTCTTTGAGGAACGCGTGGAACACTCATTTAGCACATTTATGTCACAAAATGCATAATTTTGTCTGAAATCAGCAAATGTCTTTTCTTAGCTTCCAAAAACAAACAAGTGGTTACTAGTTGTTCAAATGTCAAGAACATTCTTGAGGAAACCTTTGAACTGTCCATGAGCTTAATTTTTTTTTTTCAAAATGGAAAAAAGACATCCACAATTCACTAGACGCAGCCCATGGCATCAGGAGCAGAGTCTGCAGGTGACCACTCTGAAGGGGCCTCCTTCCCTGCTAGCCCAGGCTCTGCCCCCTCTGACAGTGTGGGTAGGGCTTTAAAAGTGGATCCAGGGGAAGGAACAATTGATCCTAGCGGCCCGCCCCTGGAGGGAATGCAGGGCAAGGCTTTCCGGGTTTGCTGCCACAATCACAGGACAAAAGCTCCCCGCTCACTGCAGACACCTGTGCTCCACACTTACCTTGAAAGCCTTCCTGAGCACCTAGGACCCCCTCTGACCTGCAGAGTGGGCCAACACTAAGACCGTGTTTCTAGGTGCTTTATTAGAATCAGCTCCTTTCAGCTCCCTGACTAGTGAACCCATTTTGTAGAAGAAGGGACAGGGCTTTCAAAAGTGATGTAATTGGCAAGATCATAGGGTGAGTGAGGAGAGGAGGTGGGATTCCCATCCAGCTCCTAATTCCAGGGCATGTCCCTAAACTGCTATATAATTCAGCTTGCTAACAGCCTCAGACTTAAACAAGTGGAAAATAAAAGCAGTAAGGCACACAAAAACCCCTGAGAGTGCAGCTGGAACTGGGATGGGACACAGACTTTGATGAAGCCTAGGACTTTAGGTCCCAGTCTGAAAATCCCTGCTCCAGGCTGTGGGAAATTGCATGCTCCTAGCTTCAGCAGCACGCTCATGCTGCCTGGAGTTTGCAGCTATCGGACACCAACTCCAGCCACTTTGCAGGAAGATGGAAAGCCACAGACTCCTCTCCATTCCAAGGAGAGCCACCAAGCCACCAGAGGGATACAGCTGGCCCCTTCCCTTCATATGGTGGGGGGAGATCAGAGGCATGGCACAGATGCTGGCTGTGCCCTTTGTCCACCAAATCTGATTCTGGTCACTTCTCCCTTTGCCACCATGCGTGCCCAGGAAATGCAAGCCCCTCCCAGTGTAGTTTAAGCCCAGAATATTAGGAAGGTGAACCTGCTGCACACAAGTATGGACTTCCAAGGTCAAATATGCAGGTTTGACACTTAGCAAGGCTACTACTATGGGTCATTAGCTGGGAAGGTT
Organism: Homo sapiens; assembly: GCF_000001405.40. Classification (NCBI taxonomy): domain Eukaryota; kingdom Metazoa; phylum Chordata; class Mammalia; order Primates; family Hominidae; genus Homo; species Homo sapiens. Next base: position 203,414 of record NW_013171814.1, on the reverse strand, counting down.
AGGGGTCACCTGATAATATTCTGCAGCGGCTCTTTGGGTGGCAGAATCCCACGATTTCCCAAAACAGACTCAGGAGACCCCTGCTTTTAGACAAAAAGGTCCTTAAACTATATGGCTGCCTGCTTTCCTCCTGAAAGTCCCCATCACCTGAGGACTCCACGACAGCTCCAGGCTGTGAGTGAGTAACGGATTCTACCGCATCTAGAAGAGGAATTAGAGCGGGGCGCCCCGACGAGCACACGCTCTGTGTTCAGGCATGGCTGCTGCTCTGACTTGCACAGTGTTGCCCCAAATGGTCAAGATGTTTGCTCCATAAGTCTGTCTTCGGTCTAGCTGAAAACTCTGTTCTTCCATCCAAGCTGACTTCCTCTAGTCTGGGTCCCTGTGGACATGGAGGCAGCGGCCCCTCATCTCTCCGTATAAATCTTTCATGAGTTTCACGGCACGATGTTCCTTCCCTCCGGCCTCCTCTTCCCTGGCCCCAGCCCTCCAGCACTCCTCACAGGACATACTTTCCACCCCTTTAATCATCTTTATTGCCTCACTTTGGACCCTGGCCCGTCCACATCCTTTGGGAGGTGTGCTGACCTAACCCGGACATTGGTGAATGTGAGCGCAGCTCAGCGGAAGCTCGGCTTCCCAGCCGTTGCATGCCGCGCTCCTCTTCCTACATCCCTGGGTCACGCTGCTGCTTTCCGGAGGCCTGCCACTGTCCAGGGTCTTCCTGCTGAGTGAGGTGACCTGGCCCAGAAATGGACATGCAGGCTGACCTGGATGCTGGGTGGCAGCCTGCCATTGCCTGGGCGCAGAGAGGTGGGGCAGAGGGTGACTTCTCATCAGGAAGCTCGGGGACTCTCCACACCTCCCAGACACACACTCTGGGTCTTCCCTGCCATCAGAGACTACAGGGCCAGAGGCAGAGGACATAAAGCCTTTGCTCTCTCTGACACCTCCCAGGCCCCTGTGAACCCTATTCCTCCTTGAGGGGTGCTGCCTCCTTCTTCCCTCTACCAGGAACCCAGAAACCAGGAATTTGCCTCTGTGATGCTGCACAGCAAAAAGGCAGCACACACGATGCGATAAACTGTACTCTGGTCAAGGCAGGAACAGGCCTGGGTCCACCTCTTCCTGCTCAGTGTTCCTTTTTGATGCCTGGTGCTTCTACAGAAAGTGTCTGGTGGTTCTGATTTCTAAGCCAGGACACTGCCTTCTTCCCAAGCTACTTATACATTTGCCATCCTCTGTGAATGTGTTCAGATCCACTTAATCCACCAGTGGATGACAAAGCAGTCTGGGCACCCAGGCCTACATCCACCCTGAGAGTTGCAGTCACCACCTAATAATCCCTATTCAGGGTGTGCATGCGTAGGGAAGGATCAGAGACCCTGGTCTCAGCCTAAGGAGGTGGCCAGCCAGCCTGAGCACAGGCGCCGCTAGGGTTCTGAGCAAGGCATGTCCACCGGCTGTTTCTTGGCCCTCAGAGAACATTCTCTGTTCATTAAAGGTAGAACCAAAAGCCGTCATCTTTATCTAAGAATATATTCCCTATAGAGGAACACCTCATTTTAATTCCTGAGGCATAAGCCTTTTTGTTCGTTCTTTTTTTGGTATTTCCATCCAGAAATAATTTATGCATGTTCAAGCAAAAAATATACTCTAACTCCCCCTTTTGCATAAATGACCACACATAAGAAACATTACTCTGCACCTGAATTTTTTCCACTTAAAATATATCTTGAAGATCTCCCCTTATAAGAAAGCCTTTTTGAAAATAAATGCACACATTCCCAGGATGCTCAATTTCAGCTGCATGTTCTTATCCAGGGCTACCTCATTGCCCCTTTCCTGGCCCCATTGTCACTCGGGAGTCTGAGCTCCACAGGAGATCTCGGTTTCTGCCTTAGTTTAAGTGGGTTCCCCCAGGAATTTGGGAGCAGTAGCATGTGCCATTGCTGATCTGTGTGTTGCCTGTGACAGCAGAGCCAGCACGCATGAGGGACAACCCCCAATGACCAGGGAGGAGGAAAACAGATACTCTTGCACTTGTGAGCTCCAGGAGCCTCCTGGAGGCCATGTCTCAAAACACACAGCCAGCCAGTCCTATTTTCTGAGGACCACTATTGTTGCTTTGAGGTCAGCGGAAACAGCATTTTTCCTCCTGAACTGCAAAGCCTGGTCACTGCCTGACCCCCAGGAAGAGGCAGTGGTGATGGTGGGCTCTCAGCCAAACGCCTGAAGGGAGCCAATCCCTAGGCCAACAAGAGAAGTGGAGCCGCCACTCTGCCCCTGGGGAATCCCCAGCCAGTAACCAACCCACGATGCCACCAACCCCATCTCATCAGGATCAGCTGGTGACTGGGAAAAGCGAAATGCAGGCCAAAGCTGACGTCGCTACAGATGGCAGAAGCAGGAAAGGAAAACCCAAAGCTCACGACGAAGTCTCTCCTACCTTCGATCATTTCTCCTCCTGCGGAACAGCTTCTTGGTGTGTGCGATCTCCACTTCATGGGGCATCGGGTGGTAGCCCTGTGTCATGGGGGGAGGAAGGGGGATCATTAGTAACTCCTGAAAGAGAGCAAAGCACCTCTGGGACTGCACTAAGTACACCAGCATCTAAGACAGAAAGACATCAAGAGTTTGGAGAGACTAGACTCTAACCACCAAATCCAGACTGAAAAAGGAAAAACAGTAGAGTCAATGAACTTCCTACCAGGCAGTGATGCTGGAATTACAGAATCAAAGAACAGTAGGGACAATGAGGACCTTAGAATCCATTATGTCCAAGTCCTTGAATTACAGATGAGACATTCAAATCTGGAAAGATGAACAAGCTGGTTCAAGGTTTTGCAGAAAATGAGCAACAGAGCTGGGGCCAGGTTCTGCAGCTCACTGGCTGTGCATCCCAGGACAAGTTACTTCTCTAAGCACAAGTTCCATAACACAATGGGAATGTTACCCTTCTTCTCTGGGCTGCTAGAGGACCAAGGAGGTGAAGCCTGAAAACCCTAAGCCCTGTGAAGAGGAAATTTGTCTCCTAAACCTAGTCCAGGCACCCCCAGTGAAATTTTTACCCAAGATCTTCTTTCCCTATATTGCCTAGGGAGTATTTAGGAAAACATGGAATTAGCTAAATTACTTTTTCAGCATTACTATCATCATTATTATTATTATTTGAGACAGGGTCTTGTTTTGTCATCCAGGCTGAAGAGCTGTGGTACAAACACGGCTCACTGCAGCCTTGACCTCCTGAGCTCAAGCAATCCTCCTTCCTCAGCCTCCCGTGTAGCCAGTATCATAGGCACACATCACCACGCCTGGCTTGTTTTTTGATTTTTTGCAGAGATGGGGTCTCACTTTGTTGCCCAGGCTCCTTTTTCAACTTTAAAGGAGGAACTGGGGAAAATTCTAAGGATAGTCTTTTGCGTATTGTCATCATGACAGCAACTATTTCTACATCTACATCAAGGTTGGAGAGAGACCCTCTATTTGCAACCCAGGGCAGATCCTGCAAATGCAGGATCACAGGCAGAGCTATTTGCACAAGCTGGGCTGATGGCCAGCTCTGCTCTTACCACCTCTTCCCATCCCTCCTCCAACAGAAAAGTGTGTTCTGGTGTGGACATGGCAGAGAGCACCACCATGCACTACCATTCCATTATGAGCGGCCTGGGGTGGAGTAGGGGGTACCAAGGCTTGGAGTCAAGTGGGAGGGAGTGGTCTGGCTTGGACCTGGGACACCTGGGTATAGGCCTGGATGCAGAGGCCATAGCCTGAGTGTGACTCCCACCCACCTGCAGCGACCTGAGCATGCGCTGGATGACAGGGAGCCACAGGGTCCAGGCTGCTGGAGAGCAGTCAGAGGGGGTCTATTCTGGCCCACTCCCCACCTTACAGGCAGGGAGCCCAAGGCCCAGAGTGGCCACACAGTGAGTTAGAGATCATAGTCCTGTGGGTTACACCCTGTGGTGGGGCACATGCAGCCCTCGGGATTCAGGTTCCATAAAGGAGGGTCCCACTGTTTTGCCTTCACGGGGCTCAGCCCCCAAGCTCATGGGGGAAACTGACCACCCTGGCTATGCTGGGACTGGCCAGTTTTGGGGAGCTTCCCAGAGAGGTAATGGGAGAACAACAGACTCAGGAGGACACAGGGACCTTGGAGTTATGGCCACTTGGCCTGGACTGGATTGAGTGCAGGGAGGGAGCAACACATTTCAAAATACATTTTAATAACAATCCTTTCCTCTCACCCCCGTCTCTCTTGCCTCCAACAATCTAGCCAAGAAAGCATGAATGAATTCCGGGCTCCAGGCAGCCACAATAGGCCTCTGGGGCCTTAGGATGTGCTTTGTTTAATGGTTTTCTCAAAGGATATTATTTGTTTTCTTTAATACAAAACACAAATAAGGAAAAACACCAAGTCTTCCCCTCTCGTTTCCCCTCTCCCACCCTGACTAGGCTCTGGGCTGGCCCCCTTCCCTCTTTCCCTCCCTCCCTGCCTCTCCAGGTCACTTCAGGAACACACCGGGTGTGCCCCAAGGAGACAATGGACAGGAAGCCGAGGCTCCCTACCGGCGGCGGCAGGGACTAGGATCTCGGCTCTGAGGCCGGGCAGAGGGAACTGGCCATAGCCCCTAGTGTAACACGAGCCCAGGGGGTGCCAGCCTCCTCGGTGTGGGCCTCCAGCCCTGGGCTCTAACCTACCTCCTGGCCTCCTTACCTGCACACAGGCAGCAGCCATGGGGAGCTAACCCTGTCCCAAGACTCAGTGTGGCTCAATGGGGCATACCGGGCCACTCGGGGCTTCTCATGAAGCCACTGTTAGGTCCCCTGTGTCCACCCATCCATCCATCCCAGAACAACTCACATCTATGTAGTGTATGTGTATAAACCATGACAGTGGTTAGAGGCCTGTGCTCTAGAGTTAGACTGTGAATGTCAGATCCTGGCTCTTCCTCTTGATGGCTGTGTGACTTTGAGCAGATGACCTAACCTCTATGTGCCTCAGTTTCCATATCTGTAAAATGGAGATAATAGCATCTGGCTGCTAGAATCCTTGTGAGGATTAAATGAGTTCCGAAACATGTAAAGAACATAGGATAATGCTTGGTACATAGTAAGCCTCATTGTCATCATCACTGTCATCGATGCCATCATCATCATCATCATCGTTATCTTTCCTGTGATCCTGACACTCTGCTCAGGGCTGAGTGTGCCAGGACAAACAAGGCAGCACAGGCACCTGTCCTCATGGAGCCCCCAGCCTTGGAAAAGAGTCCAGCAGGAAGTGATTTGCAGGGAGGGAGGGCATGGGAAGCTCAGGCCATGGAAGGAAGACAGAATCTGCACAGTGCCTGGTGGTCCAGGGTGGTGTGCTGGGGGAGGATGGAGAAGCTCTATTTTATGCTGTTTTTGGCCTGGGGCTGGAAGACTATAGTGAGGCGAAAAATGAGTGGAACAAAGTGACAGAGGTGACAGAACAAAGCCTTGCACCCTCTGAGGTCCTCCCTCTCCAGGAACAATCCAGGCCAGGGCTATAGAGGGCTGGTCCTATGTATAAGGCCACCTGGGGCCTCAGCCTCAATGTGGCATCTAGGTGGATAAGTGAATGGACCTTACTGCCTTCCCTGGGGCCTTTTACATAGAACTTCCAGCACCGGGAACCTCCTCCTGCATGCAATGGGGGGCACTGTGTTGACACAAGCTCCATTGAGAACCCCTCAAAATCAGCCATCTTGTTCTTCAAACTCAAGATGGTAGCTGGTACCAAGAGACACATACAACTCAGGGTGCTGCCTACACTCCTCCCAAAACAAGAACACTTGGGTGTTAACAGGGGGCAAGTGTGAGGCCAGCAGAAGAAAGGAGAAAGTCTGTACTGAGTCACAAACCTGTCACCAGATGTGCAGCTCATGCAGGTTGGCAGAGCTTCTTTAAAGTCATTGGTGAGAGGTAAGGTAATATGTGAGTGGTCTGGGCAGCATTGTTCATAAGAGCCAAAACATGGCAACAACCTAGTGCCCGTCCACTGATGACTGGATAAATAAATTATGGTACATATATACAGTGGAGTATTATATGGCCATAAAGAGGAAGGAAGTTCTGAGCCACACTACAACATGAATGAACTTTGAAAACATCATGTTCAGGGAAAGAAGCTAGTTACAAAGGACCACGGAGTGCATGATTTCAGTTTTTAAGAAACGTCCATAATAGGCATATCTGCAGAGATGGAAAGTGGATCCGTGGTTGCCAGGGGCTGGGAAGGGGAAGAATGAAGAATGACTGCTAAGGGATGCTGCGTTCCTTCTGTGGTGATAACAACGTTCCAGAATTAGACAGTAGTGATCGTTGCACAACCTTGTGAATACCCTAAAAACCACTAAGCTGTATACTATGAGAGGGTGAATATCATGGTATGTAAATTATATCTCAATTAAAAAGGTAAAAAGTATCTGGGGGTGGTGTATTCCAGGTAGAGGGAATGGCATGTGTTCAGAGGAAGAAAAAAAGGAGAATGAGGAAGAGGAGAAGGAGGAGGAGGAAGAAAGGAGAAGGAAGAGGAGGAGAAGGGAAAGAGGAAGAAGAAGAAGAAGAGGAGGACAAGGAAAAGAAGGAGGAGGAGAAGAAGAGAAGATCAATCAAAATGAAAAGTGCCCCCCACCAGTTAATCTCAAGGAAACAGCTGCCCTAAAACATTATCTGTTAAGATGCGGCTGGAAAAGGTGGCATGTCCAAGACAAGTGGCACCCAATGACAGGAAGGACCAATACGTTCCTGAAATCTGGAAAAAGTATAAGTTGTTGCTTCTGGTGGCCTGGCCAGGGGAGATAGTATTCTGGCTTTAGACCAAAGACCTCTCCTTGCTTTTTAAAAAGGATAGATCCCTTGAATGGTAAATGGGAAATGTATCCTTTAAAAGCACATACAGTGGACTTTGCTTTAATTCTTTGCTCAGCAAATCCTTCTACTATGTGCTTTGAAAGGGCCCCATGTAGACATCAGTCCAGGTATAAGTATCCCCTCCACCTCCTGCACTCCCCACATGAGAGAACCAGCCCTTGGGTTTCCCAGCTGGCTTTTTGGCTGTCTGGTCTACCTGAGTCAGATGTGCCTCTGTAGCACACTGGGACTACCCACCAGGCCCTGCCTGCTTTTCCCCAACCTCTCTGCATGAGAACCATTCTCCCCTGAGCTCTGAGACCTGGCTGCAGTTCCCTGTCTGTCTAACATCTGACCACTTCCGGTAACTAAATGGGCCTGAGAGACAAGTAGATTATATAAACCAAGCCTCTCCAGGGATGGAGGGAAGCTAATACTCCTTCCACATGCAGCGCCGGCAGAGTACACGTGGAACACACACGTGCACATACACTCCTGTCCTGAGGTCAGTGCTTGCAGAAGACATGACACTGAGGGGCGGCATGTTATTGCTCTGGTTGCAAAAACATGTTATGTAAAATCAGCCCACTCCAGGGCAGGCTGAGGCTGGTATCTCACAACCCAGTGTGGTGGGTATTTCTGAGGGATTAAGGGCAGGCCCAGCAGAGCTCTGGCCCCAGAACATGAGCCCCAGATAGTTAATAATCCTAGGCAGAGAGTGCGAGGCCTTGCCCTGTGATGACAGCCATAAAAAAATAATAATTCTTGAATCTGGGGGTGAGGGGATGGGGAGGGAGGGCAAAACAAACAGTGAGCAGAAAGCATTGTGCCGGGTGGCTCTGTGACCAGCTGACACTGTGATAGGAGTGACACACCTCCCCTAGGCAACAGGCTCCCAGCCACCCACCCGTCTATGCCTCCATCCACCCATCCCTCCATGCACCTGCAATCTCATAAATATTGTTGTTTCAGGCACTGTGGATACAATACTGAAATAGAAAGGCAATATGCTTGTTCTTACAGAGCACATATTCTAATGAAAGGAGAGAGGCAACAAAGTATATCATATGATAAAGGACTATGTTTTGCTATGGAGCAAAACACAACAGGGCAAGGGGATGAGAGAGGGACGGGTGGAGGGGTCAGGGAAGACCTCTCTGTTCAGGTAACACTTGACGTCCATCTACCTACCCATGCCCCCATCCATCCACCCTTGTCTCTCTCTCACTCGACAAATGTAGGGGGCCCGCCATGCAACAGTGCACCTGATGGAGAATATCAGGAGAATAAGACTCTGTCCCAGGCCTAGGGGAACTCAAGGGAACACAAACAAAGAAGCTGATATGTGCCATGTGCGATAGTTGAAGTTGAACGGGCGCCTCTGGCGGCCCATAGGAAGGACCGAGGACTTCTTGGGAGAAGAGTCAGGGAAGGTTCTGCCAGGTGGGTGATAGTTGAGTGGAGCTCTAAGGCATTTGACAAGGCACAAGAGAGGAGAAGAGGGCATGCCACAACCTCAACCCGGCAGGCCGATGGCAGCAGCATCATGGGCTGAGTGCCGGGAGTTGGGCTGGGCCCCTGGGCAGAGGTGAAGCCCTGGCATTCCGAGGACCGTTGCTGGTGATGCTGACCACAGTGTGACCCCATCTGTAAAGTCCTGGTGTGATCCCATCTGTAAAGTCCTCCTCACCCTCCGCAGGAGGTAGAATTGTGTTCCCCAGAAAGACTGGTTGGAGTCCTAACCCCGTGCACCTGTGAACGTGACTTTATTTGAAAATAGAATCTTTGAAGATATAATCAAGTTATGATGAAGTAAGTCCTGTGGGATTTAGTTGGGCCCTAAATCCAACGATGGGTGTCCTTATAGGAGAAGTAAACTTGAACACAGAAAGATGGAGGAGACACAGAGGGATGAAGGCCATGTGAAGACGGAGGCAGTGTTTGGAGTGAGGCAGACACAAGCCCAGGAGTGCCAAGGATTGCTGGCAGCCACGGGAAGCTGGGAAGAAGTGCAGAAGGCTCCTCCCCTAGAGCCTTGGAAGAAGGAGCGCAGCCCGGCCAACACCTCTAGACTGTGAGATGATGCACTGCTGTTGCCGTCAGCAATGGGTCAGGCTGTGCCCGTGGACACCCATTACCCCACCCTCCCTGAAGGATGAACCTGCTTCCCTGGAGACCACAGTGGAGTTACCAGTTGTCCAGCATAGACCAATTCCTTCAGAGGCTGGAAAAGGCTCTTGTCTCCACCACTGCCTGCCAGCCGAGGTGGTCAGCATGCACTTAGGGGCCTCTGGTGTAAAAGTTGTTGTCTCTACCCAGTCCTCACATGGGGCCGAGATGTGCCCACCCTGAGGGGCCTGTGCCTCTCTCCCATGCTTCCTCCTTCCCCAACCAAGGGTCCTCTGGATGATGTCATGGGTTGAAGTGTGATCTCCAAATTCTTACGCTGAAGTCTTAACCCCTGGTTCCTCTGAATGGCCTGATTGGGAAAGAGGGCTACTGCAGGTGTAATTAAGTTAGGATGAGGACACATTGGAATGTGCATGTGTGGGGCCCCGGTCCGATATGACTGATGTCCTTGTAAAAACAAGGCCGCGTGAGGACTGGGGGGACACTGCAAGAAGCTGAGGGGCTACTAGAAGCTGGAAGGGAGCGATGGTCCTTCCCTAGCATCTTAGGGCGGGTGTGGCCCTGCCGACACCTTGATGTGGGAATTCTGCTTTCAGAACAGTGAGCCAAGAAGTTTCCGTTCTAAGTCACCCAGTTTGCGGTCCTTTGTTATGGCGGCCCCGGGAAACTAACCCAGGTGGAGTGGTGGGCAAAATCACCCAGGCTGGGAGGGATATTTTTCTGAGTATATTTCCTTTGCCAAATTTTGAATTTGAATTTGAGATTTGAATTTGTATATGTTGAATGCTCACCAGGTAATTCCACTGTATATCCAGCCCATTTTTATGGAAGAGGAAGAGAAGGCTTAGTGAGGTCAAAGAAGTTGCCCACAGAGGCCCAACCAGTTAGCAGGAAGCCTGTGTCTTCCATCTCTGAGGCACATGGTCCCAATGGTGATGTGACATGGCCTACGGTACCAGGGCAGAGATGGGAGGCCAACCCCCCAGGAGCATCAGAGAGCTCTCTCCCACCCTACCATAGACCCCGTGGTGCTCCGCCATGCTCCCCAGGCCTCTAGAAGCAAGAGGGAGTGGACAAGAGCAAGTCCCTCCCTCATTTCTGTACTCAGAGACAGGCAGTCCCTCCCAGTGACCACTACGCTTCCCCCCAGGCCCAGAAGTGGGAGAGCTGGCGTCTGGCAGGCACTGGTTCAGACAGCCTCCTGTGTCTGCCTGGCATATCCTTGCTGTAACCCCAGAGATGACCCTGGCCACAGCCCTTTTGGCAGGCTCACCTGCTCGCCTCCCTTCTCCTCTCCAGAAAGGGGTATTCCTGGCCACCAAGCCCACCCTGCCCTTCACTCCACAGGCTGGAGTGGTGGTGGTGGTGGTGGAGGGGGAGTCCCCGGGCTGCTGCCCCTGCCCCAATGAGGTTTTGAAGTGCCCCGCAGAGCTCAATTCCATGGCCTGCACTTTCATAGAATCCAATGCCCACTTAACCTTCAAGGAAAATCTTCCTGACAGTCTCATGATCTTTGACCTCTGACCCCTGACCACGAACCTAGGTCTGATAGAAATCATCCAAGCCTAACTATCTCTAGGTCTATTATCTCTCTCTCTCCCATACAGCAGCTTTTTGAAAAGGAAGAAAGCATTATACAGACACAAGAAAGTCTTCCTCCTGCTTTGTTAAAAACAACTACACTAAATGCTTGTCTTTGCAAGGAAGTGGTGCAGCCGTGCAGTGGTGGGGATCCTAGCCCAGGCCAGGGAAGGGGTGGGAGGTCCCAGGCAGGAGGTGGCCACACCGGGCTCCTCACCAGGCACACCTTGCAGCTCCAACCCTGCTCCCTCCCAGCTGATCACCTGTCTGCCCCCACAGTGCCTGGATATCCACTCTGCCCTGGCCTCTTGGAAGCTACAGTCCCCCTCTTCTTCACAAGCTTCTATATTGATTACATCAGGTTTCTGTCACTCCCTGGGCATACCCAGAGAGCATGAGCCCCATGGAGGTAGGGCAGATCCTCAGGCCAAGTCCAGACCCTGCTAGCTCAGGACTTGCAGACTCCCATCATCTCTAGCCCCAACCTGGGTAGACATCCCAAGGGGTGAACAATACAAAGGAACCACAGCACTTGATTAAAGGACCATAAAAATCCCAAGCACAGCTCCTCTGACAATAAGCTTGTCTTAACAGCAGAGGCTTCCTCCTGCTGGGGGTCATGGTTTTTCATGTTTTTTTTTTTCTAAGAAGTTATCCTACCAAGGTCTCTCTCCACGTGGGCAGGATGTGTGGGTCACGTCCAAGCAGAAATAAATAGGTAATGTTTCTAAAATTCCTGGAATCTCTAGGCTGCACAGCTATTCAGAGAAGTTGACCTGATTCAGAAAGGAAAGTCGGGGGTGGGCAGGCTCACCCATGCTTAAATTTGTGGTTTTCTAACTTTTAATTTATTATTTTTTAATCAGCAGAGATCCTTTTAAAAACAATACCTTAGCTGAAGTTCTAATATAAAATCATAGACAATAAAAGTAAACATGGAATTTCTGGAAGCTGCCGCTGAGCCCTGGCACCCCACACATCCTGCCTCCACCTGCCACACATTGGTGCCCTGTGGCGTGAACCTAAAACTCTACCCATTCTGAAAAGCTCTGCTCTCAATACTATCCCAGAGGCTAGCTACACAATGAGCTAGACATTTTTCTAGAAGAAGGGCTTCACTCAGGAACCCCGGACAGGTTTCAGTGGATTCCACGACCCCCTTAAAAGTGCACGTGAATATTTTGCGCAGGGTAGCCTTGTGGGTGAGAGCCTATGACATGCACCCTATATCCAGATGGTTTTCATCTGCACAGCACTGCGGTTCCAGAGGCTGGGTCGCTGGAATGGGCAAGACTTCCTTGGATGCTCCAAGGGAATAACCACCCCTCTCTCCCTTTTCCTTCCAACAGGGTTTCTTATTGTAACAGTCTAAAGAGTCCTGAATAATAAACTGCACACACCCTTTGGGTGACCCGGATCCTAGCTGTCGCTAAGCCTGGATCACCATGGACCATTCTTTTAATATCCCATTCTGCCCTCTCCTCTCTCTTGTGTAAAATGAGGATGAAAATATTTGCTCTTCCTACCTCCTTTGCCACACTATTAAGACTTTCTTTGATTTCATGAGCCAACAAATTCTTTTTACGTTTAAAATACTTTGAGTTGGGTTTCTGTCGCTTGCAACCAAAAAAGTCCTAAATAATTTAACATGATACAACTTTAGGAGTCAGTGGGGCTGATCTTATTATATCCAGGAAGTCATGGAAAGCAGACATGGCCCCTCCCTTATTGCCCTCCACGGGTAGCCATGTCAGGAGGAATCTACCAGGCAATGTCAAATACAAATGACATTTACTTATTAATTTCTGAATAAACAGATAAAATAGGTGAGGACACTGATGCAAAGAACAGGGACTAGGGACCAACAGGGAAGTGTTAGAAGATTGTTTCTACATTATAGAGGGTAAAATGTACAGGAAACAATTAGTAAAATGCCACTTCTTCAACTACCATTGTCAGGCTTCCATTCTGCAGCCAGCACAGTGCACTGAAGGGAGTGCACTGTGTGCACTGGGGGCTGGGGGACGGAGGCACTGGAGGATGACTGTGACTCTCTGTGTCGAAGACCAAATGGGACCAAAAGGCTACGGGCCTTCTCCAGGTCATGAACCCAGGAAAGACTTGAACACAGGCCACTTAGGCTCATGGTGTTCATGCTGCTCATTGACACGGGACACGCACAAGAGAATGGAACTGGAGTGGACTGACATGCTCCATTCCCTGGATAATGGATATCTATTAAGGGTCCTGGACACACTTCTGAACTGAAAATGGCAATGCCTTCAAGCTGCTGCAGACCAGGGGCAGAAAGACGCCCAAGAAATGTGAGAGGTACAAAGGGCCATGAGGAATGAGAGTTTCCATTCTGCAGCCCCTGAAAAAACCACCTGGGCATGATGAGACACATATGGCCTGTGTCCTGGCCCCTCATGAAGTGGTGTGTCTATGGCACAGATAAGACCCAGAGCCTCAAGAACTCTAGAGAGCAAGCTCAAGAGAAGGCAAAGCAATGTTTGCGTTCTGGCCTCTAAGGGGGAAATGACAACTGTTGAGAAGTGGGCAACATTGTGAAGAGTTTTATGTACTTGAGGAGGTTCAAAGACCATCATAGAACTGAAGCATCAACCAACTCTAGAAGAGGAGTGATGCTCAACAAACCCTCAGAGGATGCCCACGGTGCCCTGTGAGCATGCTGTGTGCACAGACACAGGAAAACAAGACTCCACCTCTGTCTCCAAGAGGGGCATGGGCCCTGGGGAAGAGGGACACGCAAATTGAGTGGAGTCACAATGGAAGAACATCCAAGGTCCAAGGAGCTGTGGAGGAAGGGATGCCTGAGGTCACCCTTCGAAGTGAACAGAGGCTCTGAGGTTAGAGTGAGAGAGGCACGGCCCACGCTTGAGGGGCTCTGCTCTGCTTCTTCTGAGCACACTCTGCTGCAGCTCATTATACAAACTAGCAGTAGTCACGTTCGCACAGGGCAGGGGCATCTGTGGGTAGCAGGGAGGGAGCCCCTGCCTAAACCACCTGCGCAGCCATGCTAAGATTCTGAGGTGTACCCCGCTGTGCCGGGGGGAAGCCTCCAAGGCCTCACATGAATGAACAGGTTCATCACTGTCCTGCTGTCTGCCCTGGTAGGTCACAGCTGGCTGGAGAGGCCACAGGCATGTGTATTAGCCTGTTCTCACACTGCTAATAGGGACATACTTGAGACTGGGTAATTTATAAAGGAAAGAGGTTTAATGGACTCACAGTTCCACATGGCTGGGGAGGCCTCACAATTATGGCAGAAGGCAAAGGACGAACAAAGTCACATCTTACATGGTAGCAGAAAGAGAGCATGTACAGGGGAACTCCCCTTTATAAAACCATCACATCTCATGAAACTTACTCACTACCATGAGAACAGCATGGAGGAAACCATCTCCCTTCAATTATCCCCACCTGGCCCAGCCCTTGACACGTGGCAATTATTATAATTCAAAGTGAAATCTGGGTGGGGACACAGCCAAGCCATATCAGCATGGATAAGGAGGCCACAGTGAAGGCGAGAGCAGCAGGACCTGCCTCTCAGTATCTGCCGAGCCAGTGTGGAGTGTGCTCACGTGGAATTGGAGAGCTGGGGGACTGCAGCAATGCAGATCCAGGTGCCCTGAGCAGAGATCAGGCATCAAACGTTTTGGCTAGATGCTGTCACTGCCACTTACCGCAGGAGCTGGCAGCAATGCCTACCTTATTTAAGCTTCTAGTTTTCTCACCTAAAAAATGGTGGTAATAAAGAAGCATACGCATATCAGAGGACCGTTACGAGGGTTAAATGAGATGACTGGGCATGAATGGCATGTCGACAGCCCAGCTCAAGAATGCCCCGCTGCATGTGGAGACCCCTGGGCTAGGAAGGCCTCCAACCTGAGGCTTCGTAAGCACTTGCGTCTGTGGTCTTTGTGCACCTGCTGGGAAGCAGCCGCCCAAACCCCAAAACCATCCTAGAATGTGGTCATACCTGTGTTAATCAACTAACCACCTGCTAAGCTCCCAGGCCGTGTCCAGGACACTCTTGGGCCAAAGCAGTCCCTGCAACCTCAGCTTCCTCCACACAGACCTGCACCACCCGGCTCCAGCCCCAGCCCCAGCCCCAGCCCCAGCCCCAGCCCCAGCCCCATGCTGGCACTTCCCAATCCCTCCCCTCATCTCATCACAGGACTCTGGGCAAGGCAGAGAGCTAGAAGAGGGGAAGCTGCAAGGAGGCTCTGAAGAGCCAGGGAGGGGCCTGTCTCCCAGAGGACCAGCCAGTCTGTGAACCTGCTCAAGGGCAGAATGTTACTCAAAGGCCCTGAAGATTTCAGGCCTCGGCAGCCAAGAAACTCGACTGAGACACTGGGTCTGACTAGCCTGCTGGGGCCGTCGGGCACCAGGAGGCTCGGGGGTATCTAAGAAGCTAGCCACAGCACAGATAAGAAGAGTGGGGAAGAGAGGACCTCTCTCCTCAGGTCTGACCGAGAACCAGCAGGGGCAGCTCAGCCTTGGTGCTGGAGGGACAGAGGGTTGAAACGTGGGTCCTCGTCCAGGAAGCCAATCCGTGGTTTCATTCATTCAGGCAACACATTTCTGCTGAGGCTTATGTGGTGCCAGCGGCTGTACTAGGTGCTGGGGATGCCACAGTGACCTAGGCCACAGAGAGGAACTTCCACTCTACCAAGGGGAAATGACAGTCCCCAGCCTGCAGCTAAAAACACCAAGGTCATTCAAACAGAAACAAGTGTGCTCAAAACCAAACCAAACCATAGGAAGGGGATAATGCTTTAGATTAGGGCATCAGAAGAGTCCTCCCTAAGAAAGGGACAGGTGAGCCAGACCAGAATGACCAGGTTGAAAAGATCGGGAAAGATTCAAGGCTGAGAGAAAACAAATAGGGTATTCCTATTCTGTTTAGTCTTTAATATGTGAAGCTTAGAGTTTCTTTAAATAAAGTCGTAGACCTAAATTAGTGGTGCCCAACATTTCAAATTTCATAAACCAGTAAATTTAAAAATGGAGAATTGGGCTGTACACAGTGGCTCATGCCTGTAATCCCAGCACTTTGGGAGGCCGAGGTAGGAGAATCACTGGAACCCAGGAGTTCGAGACCAGCCGGGGCAACACAAGGAGACTCAGTCTCTGAAAATAAGATAAATACATAGTTGCCTCCCCAGGATGGAAGCGAGTCCCATGCCAGCTGCTGGGCCCTCCTAGCTTGGCATGCAGCCGGGGCATCTCCTGCGACAGGTTCCAGGAGGGCAGCCCCTGCAGCTGAATCACCCAGCTGCCCAGCAGCAGAGGCCAGGAAAGCAGCATTTTGTCATTTTCTCCTTGTGTACTTGGTGTTCCCTTCAAGTGCTCCCTTCATCCATAGGGTTTTCAGAGGGGAGTTTGCTTTTTTTTTTTTTTTTTTTTTTTTTTTTTTTTTTTTTAATGATGGCTACATTTTCCACTGAGTTGACTTTCAGGAGGGAGGAGTAGAGAGTTGCCCTGCAGTGCCACATGGTTCCTGGCTCTGGTCATACCCCACGCTTGACCTGGAAGGCCAGAGTGCATGAGCCAGGCTCAGGGGATCAGATCCTGTGCTTCAGGACTGCAGGACTGCAGGGCTGGGGTGATGGACTCAAGGGCTAGGATGCAACGGCAGGATCACTATTTCTGGCTGCATCACAGCCTCCCAACAGTGGAGGTGCTTTCTGGCTTATCAGGAGGAGGTGATCCCTTAGATTCTCACTACCCCCTCACATGTCATCTCTCAGGAGAAGCCCATCCAGAGGAAAAGCTTCAGCAAATGGATTGCTCCCCAATCCCCTCTGGCCTTGAGAACCACTTTAAACTTCTATTTACAGCAATGCAGCAGAAGGAGCACTGGGCTGGGGGCCAGGATACCCGGGTTCCTGCCCTGGCATTTGGAGTTAGACTGGAGAATGGTCAGCCACTGATCTTTAAGGACCATCTGGGCCTCCCTTTCCCTGTGCACCTGCCATGCCATCCCTGAACACACACTCCTCCTTCCAGGCTTTGTCTTCAGCCTGGAACATCTTCCCACTTCTGTTTACCCCTAAAATTCTGTCAGCTTTTACCATTAGCACAAATGCCCCTGCCATGCAAAGCTGATCCCAGTTCCCATGAGAAGGAATCCATCTGGTCACACAGCACACTGGACAAACTTCCTAGTACTCCATCCTGCTGTCTGAATGGTCTAGATAGTTACTTAAATGCTTGCCTCCCCAAACAAGCTACAAACTTTCAGGAGCTCAGGAGCCATGCTTCCTTCACTTCTGTAGGCCCCACAGTGTCTGGCACAGTGCCTTAGATACCATGAGCCTCCATAATTGTTTGTTGTATAAAAAGTTAAGATGACCACTGTCCTGACAGGCCAGAGTTGGGCCATTCTTACTGGATCCACTGTGGACCAAGAGCATTCATTGGTGGCCCAGAGGCCCAGGGGTCTGTGGCCTTTAACTAGGCAATATCTCTTGCTCTGCAAGAGGCCAGGATCCTTGATGTCCTCTAACCATAAGGCTCAGTGCTTAGTGATTGCTAGCTCTCCTTCAGTTAAAGGGAAAAGGTAACAAAGACCTGGGTCCCCCAGGACTCAGTGAAACTGTAAGCTCTCCGAGGACAAAGGTGGCCATTCACTGGCTGCATGGTGACAACACACCACAGATGCTTAGGCCCACTACTTAGCTCCACAGGCCCCCTGTGTGTAACAAGTGTCTCACTTCTGAGACAGCAAGGCAGCAGGTACATTGGCCAGGCACCCATGCTGCTCATTTATCCTCTCTAAGCTTCAGTTTCCTCTGCCTGAAAATGGAGAGACTAATACCTACCTTTCGTTGTAGGAATTAAATGAGATGCTGAAAACCAAAGGAGATGACAGATAGAAACACACCTGGCCAGTTCTGGATTACATGTTTGCTGAACCCAAATGGGAAATGCTCAAGCCAGATCAGCTTGCAAAGAGAAGGGTCCAAGTGGACCCTAGGTCCCGAGAGCTCAAGCCAGACAGACTAAGAGCGGTGTCGGTACCCATAAAGAGAGCAATATGTCTGGCGGGGGTCACACAAAGTAACACAGGCCGGGACGGTGAGACCAGGAGTTCCACCCTGCGATGGATGGGCAGCAGGGTCCAAGGAGGTAGGCCAGCCCAAACTGTGACCCCAGTCAGCACCAACAGGGGGGTCCCATCCAATGGCCTCTACTGGGTTATAGAAGACACAGGCTCGCTGCCCTAGATTTGTGCTGTCTACTGATGTGAAAGGGCTGGAGGTGAAAGTAAACTCTGGATCACAGCTGGGCCCATAGCCTAGGCAAAGACTAGGGGACTCCAGGGACTCCTAAGCCCCCCGCCCCATGCCAGAGCCCTAAGCTTCACCTCCAGAATTGCATCTTACACGTTGCAGATGCTAATGAGACTGACAGCTGGGGAAGAAGTGGAGAGGGGGAATATCTGTGGGAGGCGGCTTGGGCCTTTGCACGAAACCTGCCAGATCTGTGACACTCCTTGGCTGTTTTCAAAAGGTTCTACTAGCTCCTCCTAGGATACCTCAGAGTGGCAAGAACATAAAGAAAAAGGAGACAGCAAGACCAGGCTTGGGCATCTTTGAGCCGAGTCACATGCGGAGGAGACAGCCCAACAATGGCAGGAAGTTCCCTGCGAACTCTTTCCTTCCCCTCCAGTCCTGCCCGATAAATACGCGCTCTTCTCCTGACTGAGCAATGCCAGTTTCCTGGAAGGTGTTCAGAAAGTCTCCTCGCCATAGAAGGAGCCAAATGATGTCTACATGGATTATGAGCTATCATAATGATAGCAACGGGCTGTAATGTATGGAGGCAGGCACTGAGTGAAAAGTTTCTGATACAGTAACTAATTTAAACCTCACAATAGCCCTGAGATATAGGTACTACGATTATCTATTCTCTACAAATGAGGAAAAGGAGGGCTGGATAGACTAAACAGCATGTCTAAAGAAATGCAGCAAGTAAGCAATGGAACTAGGGTGGCACCTCAGTTCTCTAACATCAAAGCCTATTCCCATGAGGCTCAGGATTGAACCGTAGCGGAATGCTCATAAGAGCATCAGTCATGAGACCCAGCACTGACGGCAGCGAGTGCCCATCCAGAAGTGTGTGCGTGGGTTCCCTTTCTCTGGCAATAGACCCCCAGATCCCATTATAATGACTCTGCACAGCAATGTCACATAGCAGGTACTCAACAAATGCTGATTGATGGAGTGAACAAATGAATGAATGAATAATGAATGTGGCTTTAAACAAGCTACAGAAAGGGTTAGCCCCAATTGTGGTGGGCACTCGCTCTGTAAACAATTCCAGCACTGAATGCATACATTTACAAGGTTGCTGTAACTGGGTTGTGCCAGAGCACCTCACTTCTTCCCTCTCCCTTCTTCCAAATTCTGTGCTGTGCTTCCAAAATAGCTGTGCTGCTTCATGTGAATCTGATCAGTACCAGAAGAAGATAATAGATCTCCCTGACAAGTGTGTGGTCAAAAATTTAAAAAGCATGAGGAACTTGCAGAAATGACAAAGGATAAGGTCTTACAGAGGTTTCCAATTAGGAAGAAAGATTAGATGGACAAAGATGAGTTCCTAAAAAGCTGCTTGCATGCAGAAAAATCTCTGTGTGGAACTGTATTTTAAGCATACTAGGAAATTGTAAGTCCTGTTCCAAATATCTTTAGTAAATTAGACAATCGACTCCAACTTGTTAATTTTACAAGAGAATCCAGATGCTTTAAGGAGACTGGTTGTACCATTCTCTCTGACTATAGTGAAATTTATCATTTCAGAAATTCAATTACTTGTTCCATTCCCAGAAAGCAGTGCTAAGCTTTTGTTGTGTGGATGCACGGCATTAAAGAGTCTGCACCACATAAAAAGGTCTTTATGGGTTGTCTTAAATTGGGCAGCCATTGGTTCTGGCCAGCAGGCTCACTAAGCAATAGTGGCCCTGCTGACGTAGTTGGTATCTCATTCCCACCATGGCTCTGTAGCAGACAGTGATCTGACCTACTTTCAGGGGCACAGCGGTGGCTCAAGAAGGAATGGCGGAGAATTTGAGAACCTGGACTCAGGATATTGAAGCTCAGTCTTTAGGCGCTTCCTGGCCATCCTCCACTGCCAGGGTTCCTGTGGCTCTGACTGAGGGCAGCTCTCATCCCCTCCCTGCTCTCTGTCTCCAGAGCCTCTGCCTCCTGCAGCCCTCCTCACCTGAATCCATTGTCCTTGGGCAGGAATAGCGTCCATTCCTAGCCAGAGTGTCTAACTTCTTACATCTACTAGGTTTTGATATGGGGCTTCCCAAGCCCCCGACTCACAGCCTGCAGAGAAAACAGTAACATCTGCCGGGCACCCTAGGGCAACCAAAGAGAGTCTTTGGGACCAGAGGGTGGGAGCAGCAGCACCTGCCACCCCAACAGCTGAGTGAGGGAAGCCAACCAGGACTTATTGTCAGCACAGCCACCAGGACACTGCTCTGTTTTAAGAGCAACTAAAAATTTACACAAAGTCCAAAATGTGGTTTTAAAAATTCCCCGCATAGGCACCAACGCATAAACTGCAGTTAGGGAGTCTATGCAGGGTCAACCCTCTAGAGCAGGGATCAGCAGATTTCCTGTAAAGAGTCAAATACTAAATATTTTAGGCTTTGCAGGCCATAAGGTCTTTGTCACAATGACTCAGCTCTGCAGCTGTATGGCAAAAACAGCTACAGAAGTGTGGCTGTGTTCCAATAAAGCTTTATTTATAAAAACCAATGGAGGGCTGGACTTGGCGCGTGGATCATGGCCGATAGACCCTTGCACTGGAGACATGTTGGAGACCTGGCGCATTTGGCAGCAGTGTCTTCCCTCTCTGGGCCCTTCTCTCTACTGGGTGCTGGTTTTCTGCCTTGGATAGGTACCCAGCCTTCTCACACTCTCTCCCCACTCCTTCATAGAAGGACCTGACAAATTCAGTCCACCTGAGATGAGGATAAAGGGGTTACATTTACCTGAGGTTGGTGGCTCTCAGCCCTGGTTGCTCAGTGACAGCCCCTGGGGACATTTAAAACATCTCGATGCCCAGGTCCCACTCCAGAGACTCTCATGCATTTGGTCTGGGTGCAGCCTGGGCATCAAAGATGTTAAAAGCTCCCCAGGCGAGTCTACAACGTGGTCGAGAACCACTGCCTCAGACTAAAAGGAGAAAAAGTGAGTATTTTTAGAACAAGCAGGCCAGAGAGGTAGAATTTCTTTTTCCTCTTGTGGGTGGGAAAGGGCCAAAAACATGCCCAGAGCCCTTGGAGCCTGCCACACAGGACAGCCTGGGCCACCCTCCGCTGATGCTGGCACCGGGTAGATTTCACCATGGTCTGCCAAGATCCATTTTTATTTCCCTCTTGATATCTAGTACATTTCTCTGTGGCAACACATATATGCTCATTAACACCGATTCATCATCAGAAAAGCACGTAAGGGCCTAATATCTAATCAGTTGGTTCATCTATCAATGCTCAAAACAAAATGTTGACCAAGTCCTGCCTTAGAGAGGGCTGTAGTCTATCAAGGTCGAGACAAGGTAAGCACAGATGAAATAATAATAGGCTTAGCCATATTCACTTTATGCAATAAGGCAGTGGTTCCCACACTGCACAGTATAATGACCTGAGGAGATTTTAAAATCCCAATGCCTGGGTCAAGCTCCATGCTAAAAACATCAGAGTGTCTAGGGATGGAAGACTAGCACCAGTCTCTTTCAACCCACCCCTCCACAGGAGCCCATTGTGCAGCAAAATGTGGGAACCATTGTTGTAGGGTTCCGCTACTCAAAGTGTGGTCTGAGGACCAGCCGCGTTGGTCTCACCTGGGAGCTGGCTGGAGATGCAGAAGTTCAGGCCTACCCTAGTCCTCCTGAATCAGAAGCTGCATGTTCACCAGATCTGCATGCTATTCATATGCACGCTAAAGTTTGAGAAGTAATGAGGCAGGGTACCATGTTCTGAGAAAGCAAAGATTCTAGAATGTCCCAGCAGAATGGTTAGGAAACACTTCTTACAAAGAGGGGGAAGTGAGAGAGATTTTGATGGATGGGAGAATTAGAGGCAGAGAGGTGGAGAGGACAAGATCCAGGCAAGAAGGAAACTGATCTTCGTGTATGGTGAGCCAGAAATAGGAGTAAGGGTGGTTTTTTTTTTTTGTTTTTTGTTTTTTGTTTTGTTTTTGTTTTTGTTTTTTTGTGGCCCATGAACACCCAGAGTGGCCCTTGGGCACAATCCCTTTGTTTCCAGACCTCCAGAAGTCAAGTGGATTCCCAGTTGAGTTGAGCAAGGGTTTTTTGTTTTGTTTTACAAAGATAAAAACTTAAGTCTCATTTAGTGAGACAATTAACAAGCTCAGGTTTTTGAAAAGGATAAAATCTGAGGTCAGGAGTTTGAGACCAACCTGGCCAACATGGCAAAACCCCATCTCTACTAAAAGATATACAAATTAGCTGGGCATGGTGGCACACGCCTGTAATCCAGCTACTCGGGAGGCTGAAGCACAAGAATTGCTTGAACCCGGGAGACAGACGTTGCCGTGAGCCGAAATCACACCACTGTGCTCTAGCCTGGGTGACAGAGTGAGACTCTGTCTCAAAAAGAAGAAAAGGATAAAATGGCAGGTAAATAGGATTGTCCTGGAATACCTGGGGCAGCAAGTGAGGGGCGGTGGAGGATAAGAATAGATGAGGGAGTGAAGAAACATTCCAGGGCTTCAGATCTGTCTCAGGCCAGGGGAGAGCTGGTGTCACCACTTGGGTCTGGGAGGGAGAGGGAAAGGGGAGACAGGAGTGAGCAAAGATGCTTGGACAATTTCTTTGAGGAGGACAGACTCACAAGAGAAGGAGTGGGGAGACAGGAAGACCAGACAAGGACTGGGGACATGAGCACCTGTTCCCAGCTAGAGAAAGGAAGAAGGAAAGACCTTTTAGGAGAGGACTGATTCTATCTGGTGCAGGTGGCAAAGAGTCACTGAGCATTGGGAGGCCTCGAATCTGGAACACTGGGCTGTGTGACTGACTGGAGGGAAATCTAGAATCTCAAGTGTATTCTAACAAACTATTTTGGTAACGACCCCTACAAAGTTATGTATGGGAAAATACAAAGCCCTTCAGCAAATATGTCTCCCAAAGGGAGGGAGAGAGGAAGAGTAAGCTATACACAGGCCCTGGAATTGTCTTCGGCACCAGAGGGCCACGAACACCCAGAGTGGCCCTTGGGCACAATCCCTTTGTTTCTAGACGTCTGGAAGTCAAGTGGATTCCCAGTTGAGTTGGAAATGCCGGGAGACTTTTCCCATACTACAGTGGACTGAAACAATGCCGGCAGAGTGGACGTTACAATTGTTTCCACTGAAGTTATTTTGGGGGAGTTTAGGAAGATTGTCTATTCCAAGACATTTCCTTCACCCGATTCCCTTTATAAAAATACCGAAGGAAGAAGCCTGTGTTGCAGCCACTCTGTCTGCCCTGCTCACAGGCACGTGCACCATGCTCGTGGTGAGTGGCTCCCAGTGGGCCCCAGGAGCTGCCGTGTGCAATACCTATTTACTGCTGCCCTCTCAGAAGCCCTTAGATTTGACTGGCACCTCACTGTTTTCAAAGAAGTTTCTCCATTATTGTCTTGCTTGATTCTCACTACAGCCTTCTGAGATGGTGGTTTGCAGGGAGGAGGTTTTATTATCTCCATCCTAGATAGGAGGAAATGGGGAAGTAAAGGTGCTTGGTCAAGTCCATGCAGCTTGGAAGAGGTGGAGCGGGGCAGGCTCCTGTGTTCCGGCTCTGGGAGGATGCCTTCTGGGTCCTGTGCGTGTTGCAGGGTGCGCCAGGGCTGCTGAGAGAGTGTTCCTTAAGTGTTTGTGGACTACTTTCCACAGCCAATCCCCGAGCCAGGTCATGATGGATCAGCCAGGAGAAGACAGACCTGGCCCTTCTGTACTCAGGGCTCCACAGCTAGTCCAGTGTGCTGTTACATGGGGTGCAAGATAGGGAAAATGTGGGATGCAGGGTTGGAAGGAAATGCAGGGGCTGGATTGGGATGACCGTGCATGAGAGGAGCTTGTCTTCCACGTGATGGAAGGCAAGGACAGGCTGGAGCAAATCAGGAAACTAGCTAGATGTGTGCACTTTGTAGGTCATGCTAGAGGTGACTGGATTTAGGGGATTTAAACCAAACCCAGGGCAGACTGGTAAGGGGCTGTCACAACAGCCAAGGGGCAAGGAGGACTAGCGGAGGAGTTAGGGAAGCCATAGTGGATGGAAGGAGAGTCTGTAAACGCCCAAATAAAATAAAATTTAGAATGAAATTGATGAGTTTTGGTGAAGGACGGGGTGGGGTGGAGATGGGGGAGAGAGTGTCACCTATAAGAAACACAATGGCAAAGAAGACATGAGCCCTGCTCTGAGGAATCCTACCTTCTTATAGGACAGGGAGAAAATAAGGCTGGGCATGATCAATTTCAAGATGACAGAAGCTACTGAACTAATGTTTTATAAGTTAGGATCAAGTCCTGGCTAACTGCTTATTTTTCTATGATGTAAGTATCTCACAGACTGGGGAAATGGGATAAGTCTTTAATACCTTAGGGCAGAGGGGCTCAGCCATGACTGCAAGCCAGATTCACTCGGGGAGCTTTACAAGTGCCTCATGCCCAGGACCCATTGCCCAGAGAGTTAACTGCGGCAGGGGAAGGTAGTGACCTTTTCTTCCCTGAAAGTCACCTTTGCACTTAGCCCCTCCTGGACAGCAGGAATCTCTCTCCTGTGTACAGTGACCTCTGACTCACAACAACCTTGAGAATTCAGCTCATCTGCGCTGGCCTGGGGCTTGAGTTTGGCTCAGTGCAGACTGAAAGGGGCTGTGTTATATGGACAACCATGAAGGCTCCTTTCAGGTGGGCCCTCCTATGACCTCGTGACTCCATCCTCCTGAAGAAATAGAATGGAGGAAACTTGCCTTCTTGGCTGTTAGACATTACCCTTCAGCGGAGGGTTCTCTGTAGCTGAAAGGTTCTCAACTCAAAGTTTGGCCTTCTAGAAAATGACTTAGTGACCCAAGCCTTCAATTCAAGCTGCAGCATGTGAAATCCACTTAAAATGAGAGCGGGCTGCTGCTTCTGCATGCTTTGAACAACCCCAGGAGGTGACTCGGCCACTCTGTCCTCATAGATTTGAGTTATTTTTATGACAATATCAGACAGAGGCTGTGCTGAGGAAGGGGCACCTCTTTCTAATTTGCAAAAAGTCGCCATGTGGCTAGTGGCCTCCTTCAGGGATGAAAAAGGAAGCCACAGGCCTGACACACAGCCCAGTATGCAGAACAGAGAACAATGAGGACAGGGTACAACTGCCAGTGCGGGATGCCCAGATGCTGTGGCAGTCCTCCTCCTCCAGGGTGTGTCTGAAGGCCCCCAAACACCACCGCATCTTTCGGAAGAGCCCTCACCTCTCTGTGCCCCCACCTCTCTGTGCCCCGGCATGGCGGGGCTGAGGAGTGGGGCCCCGGGAACCTCGGCCATTAGCAGCTTATGTGGTCTTGCAGTTCTCACTTGGATGAGAGAGGGGAGTGTGTGCAGAGACAGAGAGGCAGCTCTGATTGTCATTCCTTTCTTTTTCTCCCCCTCTTTCCTCTCTACAGAACATTTTCTGTGCAGATGCTTTAGTGATGAAGCCTTTTCAAAGACACCTACTTGATGCTGATCTCTAGGAAATTCTAGAATACATTATTAAACAGATGTCCTGTGAGCCTTGTACAAGGACCAATCATTCGGATTCATTATAAAAGAAACTACAGGATGTGTGGGAAGACCAGCGACCAAGGGACCCTGGGCCCCAAGTCAGTGGCTGAGTGAGCTGTGTGGCCTCTGGCCCAGCACTTCCCCACTGGGAGCCTTGCCTTCCTTGTTTAGAAGGACGTGTTTAGGATGGTTTAGAATGGTGACTAGGTGCTTTTCAAGATACATGCACAGAGGACATTTCATCTCTTTGTTCCTCCATCCAATGCTGGCTGTTCCTTACTCTGGGCACCATGGTGAGACAGCTAAGTCTTCTGTGTTCTCTCTGGCTGGTCTAGGTACCCATCCTTGGCACCCCTATACCTGAGCCTGCCCTCATCTGACCCTCTCTTCTTCACCAGCCCCATCGCAAGTATACCCAGCTTTATCCTCCACATCAGGGGCTGAGGTGACAACATGTCGGTAGGAGGAATCCTTGCAGGTGATCTGCTGGAAAAGGAGCACTTCCAGGTAATAAGGATGCACCCAGAGCCCTTGCCCTTCAGGCCTTAGTGTTCTTGAGAGGAGGAGCAGCTGACAAAACCGTGCACAGACTGGCCTTGCCTCAACCAGACTAAGCTCTGAGGTTTCTACCTCTTTATCACTAAGATGCAATGTATTATACTGGAAAAGCTGTCTTGACTTTCCTTAAGGGTAGACTTGCTTATTTAAACATTTCCAGAAATGAGCAGGAACTCCCAAGTAAGGAGATTAAAGCTACCAGAAGTTCTACACAAGCGGTTTTCAGGAACTGCAGAATGCGTGGATTGTTGAAATGTGAATTGGCAAAAGGCAAGGACAGCTTGTACTTTATATGAGACCTTCTGGGACTGGGCTACCACTGGGGGTGGGGGCCACATTTCTTAGTAACGGCAAAGGACAGCGGGACTCAGGCGGCTGCAGAGACAGAGGTGCCAGCAACTACCTGGTGCCTTACAAGTTCTTAAGGGCAATTTGAAGAGGCTGCTTTCAGGCTCACCTTTGCACACAGTCGGCTTCACATTTGCTCTGGCAATTTCAGCAACGATTCTCTGGTTCTGTGATTGATGGAG
This sequence comes from Homo sapiens, assembly GCF_000001405.40. Lineage (NCBI taxonomy): Eukaryota > Metazoa > Chordata > Mammalia > Primates > Hominidae > Homo > Homo sapiens. Next base: position 176,941 of record NW_013171814.1, on the reverse strand, counting down.
CTCCAACAGCGTACCAGTGCTGTCTCAGAGGTGGTGTCGGACAAGAGCCCTGCTCCCAGGGCTCTGGAGGCTTGCTGAGGAAGAGTCTTTCCCACCAGGAAGGGGCAAATACAAAGCTAGGCAGGGTGTGGCTGGAATCCTAAGCAGGGGAGGACAATAGAGCCTTATCCTTGAGTCCCAGAGCACTTTTGCCCTGGTGGCTCTTGTGTAGGGTCTGAATCTTTGTAAGGTCTGAATCCAAGCAGAGATTTTCCCAGGCCCCTCAGACGACTGGGGCTTATACTCTGCTCACTCTGCCCATCTCCTGGTTGGTAAGCTTGGTGTGTGTGTGTGTGTGTGTGTGTGTGTGTGTGTGTGTGTGTGTGTCCCCTCCTAGAGTTCTTTGAACAACAGCAAAGAAAAAAATCTATGTACTGGCATTCAGGTACATCCTGCACCCCCTTTATCCTCTCTATACAACCTGTCCAGGGCTCAGCCACAAGCCAGTTCTCCTGCCTGAACTCTGAAGACAGATCGCTTTATCCCCGACTCCCACACGACACCATCTGCTCCCGTTGCTCCTCTTGACAAGCACACAGAGCTCAGTCTTCCGACCTTCTTCCTGTTTCCCTAACTATTTAAATCCAAACAAATTAGACTTCTGACTCGACAGGATTGACCACATGCATTTAATTCAACTCCTGCTCTCTCATGAATACAAAAACTTGTAAACCCCCATAAGCACAGAGATCAAGAAAAGAGATTTCAACAAACTTTGCAAAGACAGAAAGTAAACGAAGGAGGAGTGGGCAACTTGGCAGTGTGGGGACAGGTGCAACCTAAGTTATGTGCAGAGAGGAATACTGATGAGAAATGCATGGATGGAGGCTGCAAATCTCCGAGGACTCAAAGCTTGCAGGCCCCAGGTACCAGGAGAGGCAAGGCTCAGGTGTTGGCAGGAAACAGCAGAACCAGATCGAAGTCTAAATATGAGACTCCCCAAGTCCCCTTCCCTTTCCACATAGCCAGGAAACTACACTTTGGTCCCCACCACCAGGCAAAAGATTCAAAGTTTATTTCTGGAGAAGCAGAATAACAGAAGCTGTGACCTGAGAACCCAGGCACTCAAGGAATGAGGGAGGAGAGAGTAAAAAAACGTGAGAACCGAGCAGCAATGAGCACACCTAGGTCCCGATCTTGGCTTCTAAGAACCATTCATTAAAAGGTACCAGGGCTCCTTAGATAACACTAGATTCCAGGGCTGGGGCAGAGAAAATACCAGATAAGCCCAGAACAAGTTCTCATGCCTGAAAGTCAAGAAGTGCTCAAAGAATAATGGGGACATTTTAGAAACACACAGAAGCCAGTTTGCAAGGGCTCCCACTGGGATGATTTGAGCATCAAAATAAATAATAGTAATGGATTATAACCCTTAGAATAAAATAAAAATCTATGAGCCAAAACATATATAAATAAACAGATAAAAGAAAAATAGAGAAGGAAAGATCTTTATAGCAGAAAGCCAACTAATAAATGTAGATGGAATTTTTTAAAACCACTATTTGCTGATCAGCATGATGACATTTCAGGCACGAATCATTAAGGAATGCTAAAATTTGTGAGTGAAAGTATTAGCAGAAACAGTATATTTACATAGTCTCAACTATCTCCTTGCAAGATACTTATTAATTACAAAGAGAAAAATAGTAACTTGGGGCCGGGGCACAGTGGCTCATGCCTGTAATTCTAGCACTTTGGGAGGCCGAGGTGGGTGTATCACCTGAGGTCAGGAGCTTGAGATCAGCCCGGCCAACACAGTGAAACCCCATCTCTACTAAAAATACAAAAATTAGCCAGGCGTGGTGGCAGGCACCTGTAATCCCAGCTACTTGGGAGGCTGAGGCAGGAGAATCACTTGAACCCAGGAGGCAGAGGTTGCAGTGACTTGAGATCGCACCACTCCACTTCAGCCTGGGCAACAGAGCATGACTCTGTCTCAAAAAAATTAAAAAAAGAAAAATAGTAACTTCATAGCAGTGAGGCCTGGAAGCTACTATCTTAACCAGTTGGTCAATGTCAACATCACGAAATCCCTGTGCCTCTCCATGAGCTGCACGAAGAGGGACACAGCGCCATTTCTGTGGTATTCCCTTAAAAAGTGCACATACTCAGCCGAGAGTGGTGGCTCATGCCTGTAATGCCAGCACTTTGGGAGGTCGAGGCAGGCGGATCATCTGATGTCAGGAATTCAAGACCAGCCTGGCTAACATGGTGAAACCCCGTCTCTACCAAAAATAGAAAAATTAGCCGGGCGTGGTGGCATGTGCCTGTAATCCCAGCTACTCAGGAGGCTGAGGCATGAGAATCACTTGAACCCGGGAGGCGGAGGTTGCAGTGAGCCGAGGTCGCACCATTGCACTCCAGCCTGGGTGACAAGAGCAAAACTCCATCTCAAGAAAAAAAAAAAGTACACAAACTCAATTATGAAGAAACATCAAACAAAATCAAATTGACAGACATTCTACACAATAACTGGCCTGCTTGTACTATTCAAAATGTCAAGGTCATAAAAGACAAAGAAAGATTGAGGAGATAAAGAGATATGACAACTAAAAGCAAAGTCTGATCTTGTATAGGTTCTAAACCAAAAAAAAAAAAAAAATACAAACAAACAAAAAAACAAAAACTTTTTCTTTAGCTATCAAGAACATTAGTGGGACAATTAACAAAATGTAAATGTCTACAGGTTATGTAACAGTATTCTGTCAATGCTAATTTCCTGATATGACAATTAGATTGCATTTATGGAAAAGAATGTCCATGCTTTTAGGAAAACATGCTGAAGTATCTAGGTGTAAAGTGGCACTGTGTCTGCAACTTACTCTTCAAGGAATTAAGAAAATAATAAAATTACATAGGGAGAATGATAAAGCGAGTATGGTAAAAAGTGAACACTTGGGGAATCTGGGTGAAGGCTATATAGGAATTCTTTGTGTTATTTTTGCAACTTTCCTGTGAATCTGAATTTTTGCAAAATAAAGAAAAGGAAAGCAGGATTCGTTAATGAAGTAATCATCTGATTAAACATTTAAGTAAAATTCGGTATACCTATATTGAGAGGACAGAGTATAGGAGAACAAAATTCTTCTCTCTCATAATAAGAAAATCAGCAGGAAATCACTAGAATTGATATACTTAAAAAGAACAGTATAATAATAGTATACTAGATATTAGAAATATTAGAGATTAGATATCTGTATTCGAAATAGGGTGGTACCACTAGAAAAAAATAGTAAAAACAGTGAAGGTATGTAGTTGCTTTGAGGAATGGAACGGGTCACTTGAGGACGCAGGGGGTAGAAAGCTGCTATTTTCTGTCACAGGCCTTTCAGTATCATTTAATTTTTGTAAGTTACAGACAGGTACTATTTTGATAAAAAATGAGTAGATGGTTCAAGTGTTTGGGGCCCACCTCCCCATGAAGGCATGAGGTCGCCCCAGCCTACATTTTCCCTTTTCTGAATCCCACCTGCACCTGTGGCCCCACATTATACTACGTTGGAGATGAATGATCTAATCAGAGCCACAAAGCATGCGAGGTGCAAGTGGCTACTGAGGTCATTTGCTCCAATAGTCACCTTAGCAATGTCACCACGCCACAGCAGTGTCCATCCCACCTGACACTTTAGCACCTCACAGGTAGGGGAACCCCAGCCCAGGCCATGTTGGCCACTCAACATAGAACTAGTGGCCAGCAGCCCTGGGCCTCATGGTGCAACTGGGCCCCCATGAGAGCTTGGGAGCCTGGGCCCCAAATTTTCAGGGCTGGTGGCCACAGTGGTGCCACGCTTGTCTCAGCAGACAAGGAGCCACCATTTACCCTCCCTGGATCCCGGCCAGGCTGGCAGACCTCTGGGATCCAAAAGAGACACACTCCAGGAAACCCACAGCGAAAAGCAACACCAAAGTCCCCAGGAGTAATGAAAACACTCCTTGAGGTTTTCACTCTGGAGAGAGAGCAGGGCCTAGACCGCTAGAGGCAGAGCTTCCTCCTGAACCCTTTGGGGGTGGGGTGCCAAAAGGAACAAAGAGGGTCTTTGGAGAACACAAGACTACATCTAATGCTTTAATAATCAGAGCTCTTTCCTTCAGGAGCACCCCAAAAGTGGGCAAGGGGGGTGAAGGCTTGGATCCAGAAGGAGGGCAAGGCCAGCACTCCTATTTCACAGGAGGAGGGTGAGGCTCGGGGGCAGGAAATGATGGCCTGTCCCTTGTGCCCCCTGCTCGAAGTGAGACCACTGATGCTCGGAGGGACAGTGGTCTCACTGCAAGCAGGGGTCCAAGGGACAGGCCGTCATTTTCTGTGGGGTTCCTGGAGTCCAAAATTGTTTTCTGGACACAACCACAGTATGTAGCCTTTCCAGGGCGTGTTTAGCTAGGCCTGCTACTCCCTTGTTGTTCTTACTTATGGTCGATGTAACATCAACTTTGGATTATTCTCTTTGCAGACAGAAGTTTGTGTTTGTTGCTTTATTCCCAGGGAGGCTTCCCCCTGCCACCCAGTGTGCTTCGGTGTCAGCGCCCGCCGCTGCAGAGGTTCTGCACGCAGGGAACAAACTCCTCTCCCTGTCGGCCTCTGCCCAGCACGCTGTGGATGGTTCATCTGCCACACACACAAAGCAGTGCGCTGGAAGGAAAGATCTGGAACACTGAGCCCAGGGCTTCGCCCCATCCAGGTGGGTTGCCCCCACATCTCCACCCCAGGTGTTGGCTTTGACCACCTGGAAATACGCAGCGTCACTGAGGACTCTGCTGAGGTTTCTATCTTTGGTGCAAAGGGAATGAGCCTTCCAGAAACCCTAATCCCCAATGGCCCGCCCAGGGCTGTCGGGACCCAGGGGTCCTCTGAGGCATGACCAGTGACAGGAGCAGTTGCTGGAGTCTGGGGGACCATGTTGTCCTTGAATCACCAAACCATTTGCAAATCCATGTCCTGGGTTGTCAAACAGGGCACAATTCTTTGTCCTTCATTTGAGCAAAATAATGGTAAAAACCAACCAACCAAAAATCTCAGCAGCAGATAGAAGGGGATAGGGGAAGGTGATGTCAGTGACTCCCTGAACTATCCAGAAGTAGTGAAAAGCCAGTGGCCTGCAAGTAGGTCGTAAGGCAGTGGTTCTCCAACTGTTGCACGCATCAGTATCACAGAGGGCTTGTTAAAATGCAGACCACTGGGCCCCTCTCCCAGAGTTTCTGGTTCACTGGGGTGAAGATAGAACACAAGACTTTGCAGTTCTAGCAAGTCCCCAGGTGATATTACTGCTGCTGATCAGGGGCCACACTTTGAGGACCTGTGCAAAGAGCTGCAGAGGTGAATAAGATACGCTTTTGGCTCCCGGGATCATGTGTGTTTCAGGGAGAGATGCATGTGTGGGTGAGGCATGCATGTGTACCAGTGATGTGGAGGGGCAGCTGTGCTCTAGGAATATATTAAGTGCTGGAGGAGCCAGGTGAATCAATAAACTAACGCATTGGAAAAGTCCCTTATCAGGGAGGGCTTCACAGAGGAGGTGACCTCTAAGCAGAGTCTTTGAAGAACAGGTGTGGGGCTGGGCACGGTGGCTCACACCTGTAATCCCAGCACTTTGGGAGGCCGAGGCAGGTGGATCACCTGAGCTCAGGAGTTCAAGACCAGCCTGGCCAACATGGTGAAACCTCATCTCTACTAAAGACATAAAAATTAGCCGGGTGTGGTGGCACGCGCCTGTAATCCTAGCTACTTGGGAGGCTGAGGTAGGAGAATTGCTTGAACCTGGGAGGCGGAGGTTACAGTGAGCCAAGATCGAGCCATTGTACTCCAGCCTGGGTGACAAGAGTGAAACACCATCTCAAAAAACAAACAAACAAACAAACAAACAAAAACCAGGTGTGGGGCAGGCAGGCAGGTGGATGAGGTGGGAAGGACACTGAAGGCAACTGGTGCTGCTGGATCAGGGGCTTGGCAATCAGTCACCAAGCTGAGAGCACAGACAGACTCGGAGTCACAGGAAAGAAGCCGGGGGTGCCAGCAGGCCCTGGGCTAAAGGAAAGTCCAGGGTTTTCCATAGGCCCTGAGAATCAGTGAAGGATTTTTAAGCAAGGCAATGAGAAGTTTGCCTTTCTGGGTCTCTCAGTTTCCTCGTCTGTAATGGGGTTGTAGGTGGAAGTTCTGGGTCTTTTCCAGCCCTGGCAGGCTACGAGTCAATGGGGAAAGGAGGGAAAGAGTGGTAGCATCCAGCTGGGGGCCCCACTCTGGAGGTAGCCCCTTGCAAAGGACAGGGACCCAATGGCCACTCACTCACTTGGTTTGTTTGGCCATCGGCTGCCTCCAGATCCCTGGCCCAGCCTGGGAAGTGGAGGCAAGCCACTGACGGTGTCACACACACTGTGAATCTCTCCTGGGCCTGACCCCCCAGCCCCCCTGGCTGTATAGAACAGAGGGGCCTGGGATTGTGCAGCAGCTCACAATGGAAGGAAGAGGGTGTAGGAGGGAGGTCCCTGGGCTGACCCTGGTATTGTTCTTGGGCCAGAGGAAAGCTTCCTCCTGCCTGGCCGCTGCAATGCTGGAAAAACGCCTTCCAGCCAGTAAGAGTCAGTGTGTCCTGGGGGGGCCGCCTGCCGGCGGGTCAGCCTGGGAGCCGAGGCCCATTCACAAATGCCTGCTGGAGAGCACGTAGCCCTGTCCGTCCCCGCCCCCTCCACCACCACTGCTCCCAGTGACAGAAGCAGGGGGAAACTAAAATAACTGGGCTTCTCCGCCCCTAAACTCACCGCTGCCAGGAAGGAGAATGAGACCAGAAATGGGACATTGGCTAATAAAGGAATAATGGATGCTTCACACCCTTGGCGACACCTTCCTCTTCCCCCAAGCCCCGGCGGCTCCTTCCACAAAGGACAGAGGAGGGAAGATGCTGGACCGGCAAGCAATCTCAATCAACCAGGCCTGGCCCAAGTCATCAAGGGCATCGCCAAATTGGCTCAGGGAGTGGGAGGATTAAACCAGACCCTGGAAACTGCTGAAGGACAGGGACGGCAAGGCTGCGGGCTGTGTGGCCCCATTCATCAAAGCGGGTGGACGTGTGCAGGGTGGGTCTGCCTCTGGGCATCCGTCGACAGGGCCACTCAGGCCAGCCTGGGGCCTGCTCACTGTGTACCGGGCACCCCTGCTGGCCTCTTCTCAACCCTGAGCTCATTCCTCCAGCAGGGCTAGGCCAGCAGCTCTTTGTCTGTGTGATGGCCTTGGCCCAGCTGAGACCTTGAGGAAGGCTGTCCTCAATCTGGCCTTCTTTGAGCCTACTGTCCCAGCTCCCTGTCCCATGCTGGCCTCAAGGCCCTACTCCCTGAAGGATTAAGCCCTCTGATACTCATCAAGGGATTCTGGATATGGTCTGGCCCAAAGTAGGGCATGGACAGATGACCTCTCCACTGGGGCCAAGTCCTACTTTTAAAGGGCTCTAGCCTTTGTCCCTAACAAATAACAAAACTTCTTCCCTGGTGCCTGGAGGGAGATCCTGGGAACTCCCTCTTGGTCTCCAGGAGGAGGGCATAGGCTCAGTCAGGCCCTGTCCCACGGCTTCTGAATCCTCCTTCCATCCTGCATTTCCTTGCTGGAGAGCATTCGGCTGAGTCCCTATTTGGTCAGGTCCCAAGACGTCCAGGGCCACCCCCAACTGCTCTCCCTACATACAGTCTCCCCTCTCGAGGACTCCTGGACTCCCCCACTCTCAACAGCCTCCTTTTCTCCTGACCATAATTCTCTTTCTCCCCATAGGTCCCTCTCCCCTCCCAGGCCACCCCCCAAGGCCCAGTTCCAGGTCTACCTCCTCCAGGAGGCACAAATGCATGGAGGGGCATAAAAAAGGGGAAAACCTCAAAATTGGCCTAGAATCAAGACCCCCAAAAAACCAAGAAACCTCTGTGGGCTGATGTGGTCTGATTTATCCAGAATAGTTTCATGCAGGAGGTGAAATTGGAACAGGGCCATGAAAGAGGGGGAAGATTTGAGCAAGAAAGAGGGAAGGACATAAGAGGAAAGAGAAATGGGTGAGCAGAAGACTCCCCCAACAGTCTTTTCTGTCTAAGGTCAAGGGCAGGAAGACAGTCACCCTTTAGGTCTCAGTCTCAGGAGGAGCTGGGGAAAGCCAACAGTCCCTGCCCTCCATCTCCCACCCGCCAAGAAACCCACAGAAGGAAGCTGTTGGACCATCTCCAAGCGCAGTTCTTATCTGCCAAGCTTGCCAGTTCTCTGCCTGCTTCCAGATGTGACTACCACTTCATGAGGCCACATCACATCTGCAGAGTGTTTTTTAAGTTCAAAAATCCCTGTCATTATATGAACTGGTTTATTGTATTTTGACTCTTAGCACAGCTTTGCAACGTAAGTTGAACAGGTATATGACCCCCAACTTTACAGCAGAAGAAATGGAAGCTGGAAGAAAATTATTTTGGGTGAATTACACAATGTTCTGTGTGCAAAGCAGAAGGGCTCTTGGATGACTAGTGAGTGAGCTTTAGGATTTCTGCCACCTGTTTTAACTCTCAGAGGTTTCCTTTTTTGTTCTGTTTATATTCTAGATCAGTGTTTGGCAAACTTTTTCTGTAAAAAGCCAGATAGTCAATATTTTAGGCTTTGCCGGCGATAGGGTCCACACAGCAAGTGGCTGTGGCACAAATGCAGTCACAGACAGGAAGCAAGTGAATGGGTGTGGCTGCGTTTTGATAAAACTTTATTTGCAAAAACAGGCTGGAGAGCTGGACTTGGTCTGTGGACCAGTTTGCCAATCCCTAAAATCCTAGCCGTGGCCTGGATCATTGAGGTGTTCCTATAGGGTGGGCAGACTTGCCCAGGCCCCTTGAAGCCTGCCCCACACAGCCCTGAAAGTACTCGCTGCCCACAGTCCCAGCTCCCTGCCTTCTGCTCCGCATGGAGTGAGCAGGAGGAGGCCCGCGTGGAAACCCCATCTAGACGCAGACAGTGGCCTCTTCCCGAGGAACTTTCCCAGTTGTCACCAACAAAAGTCTTCACCTCCAGAATAATCAGTTCTTTAAAAAAAAAAAAAAAGACTCACAAATAACAAAAAATAAAAATAGGCTCGCCTCACAGAGCACGCTGCCCCTTCCCAGTGGACCTGCTACCTGGAGGTCTCAGACAGGAAACCACGGATTGGAGAACTTCTGGTCCCATTTATTGTATGGGCGCCTATTTTTGTCCTGAGGGAGGAAGCACTTGGGGGTGGGGAGGTGGCTGGGGAGGGAAAGGGGCTCTCGTTTGTAAGACCCCCTCCTTGATGGCTGCTACAGCGTCTTGGGCCAGCAGGGATGGGGAAGGCCACTACAAACCTGTCTGATTAAAAAAGAAGAAAAAAATATTTCTCTTTCAAAGCTGTCAGTAGAGGCTTTTCTCTTTTTTTCTTTCCATTTTTATTGCCTTCAGCAGTAGAGAGAAAAACAGAGATACCCACTTTCTTGTTCTTGCTTATTAAGGAAATGACATTCACCCCTAACTTGCTGTACGTGACTACCGTCTCCTGGAATTAGAAAATGTTTTTCCAGCACCTCTTCCTCCTCATCGTCCCTCCTTAGAAAGAGGTACCAGAGGAGTCAGGCTGCCTGGATTCCAATCCCCCTTCTCCCAGCTGTGTGATTTGAGGCAAGGTATTTGAGCTCAGTTCTCCAATCTGTGAAATAATAATAGAATAAACATTTCCCAGGGTATTTGTGAGACTTCAGAGATAGTATATGCAGCCCGCAGCTCAGACAGCACTCAAGTCATGGTAGCCTCTGTGGTGGAGGCACAAGTTCTGGACTAAGATGCTGGGTGGGAGTCCCTCTGGGGCAGGAGCAAGTCACTCAACCCATATTTAATGAGCCCCTAGATGTGCCCCAGGGGAACGTACACTCCACTGGGAGAATACAGACGCAAAAGAAATAAAGCAAACATGCGACAGGCGCTGCAGGGAAGAATCGAGTGACGATTCTTGAGTGATGAGGAGGCATATGGAGTGTTCACAAGCCCTTACTGAGAAGGTTACATCCGACCAAAGACATCGGTCTGTAAAGTGAGGTCAATAACAGTACGTGCTCCATGGGACAACGTGAGGGTAAGATTAGAAAAAGCAAGGACCTTCTCAGTTCCTGGAACACGGAAAGCACTCTGTGAATGTTCGCTAGTGTTACTGTTGGTGCATTACGCTCCTTGTTGAATTCTCACTAAGGGGACATTAGGAGAATACCATGTCCCCGTCTATGGGACAGGTACCAGCCCCTGCACTTAAACTCAGTCCATAATGGCTATAAGACAATGCCTGGGACACAGAGAGATGCCTGATCCGTAATGTTGGCCTGGGTGAATAAGGTCAGACCTCACCTCCGTGGGACCACGGGTGACATGGAGCAACAGTCGCCGGTGCACAGGGCCTGGGGAGGCGAGGTGGGGCATGGTTTTCAGGACTCTGCTCCTGGGTGTCTCGGGGCACTTTACTAATCCTCACGCCTGTGAGTTAGCATGTCCTAGAAGTTTCCAGAAGACTTGGCAACAGCTAACACAGCCCTAGGGAACAATAAAGTTACTCCTTCTCATCTGGAGGTCTGGGAACCCGGCTACAGAGGCTTCAACCCCAGTGTGGGGCAGCCCCAGCCGCGGCCCCGGCCTCCCGCCCAGGACCCCCATTACTAAATAGCAGCAGCGCCACCTGCTGGGGCTGCCAGGCCATTCCTTATCGGCCACCATTTTCACTCCTCCAGGAGTGAGGGACACCTGAGTGTCATTTCATGGAGCCATGATTTTCATTTTGAAAGCTCATTTGTCCCTCGGATTCTTTAGAGAGGTAGTGGGGAGGATCTCTCTGTTATCATCCAGGGCCAAGCAGAAGAACGAGGAAGGAACTGTCCCTTCCTTTAGCCGTCTCCCGTGTGAAGGCTGGACTTGGACACAGGCTCAGGAGGCCAGAAAGCCACTTTCCGTCCCCTGAGCCTTCTGGGGACCCTCAATGGGGAATGCTTTGGGCACATCCCTAAGGCCAGAAATCCCACTTGACCGGGTGGCGTCCACTGTTGTGTGGGCACTAAGCCCCTTTCACAGCAAAGGGCTCCTGAGTCACACGCTCTGGACAAGGCCAGCAATGTGGGGGCAGGGGAGCCGGCCCTGCTAGGTCTGAGCCATCTAATGATTAACGGCCAACAGACACAGAATTTGGTTTCAAAATTTCCTAAGAGAAAGGCAAAACGAGAAGTCAGTGGGTTATGTAGTTCCTACTGTCAGACCAAAGACAGCAGACATAATGTTTGTCTGGGAGAATTCAAGGATAATGACCAAAATACGTCCTGATAGAAAGCCCTGGGCAGGACACTGGATAATTCAACAAACAACGTCTTTCAATGGGGTATTGTATATGACACAAAAGCACCAGGCCACTGTGTGATATAAGGAGGTGGCATTTCCGCAGGGCGCCGAGGGCCCTGTGCCCGGGAACCTGAGGAAATCTAATGCTCACCTAGGGGCCATCTAGGGCACAGGGACAACATGCCCGTTAGACCGTCTTTCTCACACTGGTCGCGCCGACTTCACACACATGGAGAAATTGCTCCCCAAGTCACACCTCAGAGTAAAGGGGTCCTGGGGGAGGGGGTGCCGGGGGGTGGTCTCAGACCAGAGATGAGGTGAAGGATATGCAATTCGGATTTCATCCCTTGCCTTCACATGGAACTTGGTCAAGTTAACTTGGAACTTAGTCAAGTTAATTCAGAACTTAGTAAATTAACTCGGCTTAGACTATGGATTACAGATTATGCGGCTCCATCTCCCCACTTAGCCAGCCCCCATCCTTCCAAGGGCGGAAGCCAACACTTTGTAACTCCCCCAGCCCCACCCCAGTGGGTGTTCCCCTGCAGCCCCGTGCTGCTGCCCTCCTGGAAGCAGTGTGTTCCCAGGGGTCCCAGGGAGGGGCGGGCCCTCTGGAGGAGTGTCATGCCTTGGCCTAGCAGGGGACATGTGGCCCAACAGGAGCTTCCCTACACCTTAGTGTGGCTGCCTCTTGCACCTCGCCATCCTCCCACTTGCTGCAGGGAGGAAGGGCCTGGGCATTGAGTGGGGTCATTTTCAGGACAGTGTGCATGTGCAGCGCTGACCAGGAGGCATGGCCGGTGAAGACGCCTTTGGCTGCTGGCGCTGGGACCAGGGGACTTCCCACAGCAAGCACCAGGCTGGAGCCTGCAGAGTGGTGCGCTGGTGCCCTCTAGTGGGAGCACACCACCATACAGCCACCGATCCTGGCGAGGCCTCCACTCCAGCAGTCCTCAACACTGGGGCCACACTCAGAGCAGGACTGTTAATGATGGGCCTGGGCTGCCCACAACACTGACAGAGTGGTAGCCTGGCCAACCCCTCCACTCCTGTGATAGAGATGCCAAAAATGCTACCAGGACACCAGCCTTGTGGATGGAATTTGGGGGTCCCCTAGAACTGCAGTCTGAGCCCAAGTGTGTGTCTCAGTGTCCGCCCTGCCCTATGGCTTCAACACTGAGAACCATGATTGAACCCTGAATCCATGGCCCTGTACTCAGAGCCTTCTGCTGCCCCCCATCTCCCACCCACTCCACCCCCGCCGACCCCCCACCACCCCATCAGTGTTCTTAGAGAGCAATGTCAGTCTCAACTGGCCTGAGGCTGCCATTGTATGGCATGTCATGCCTCGGTGTGGATGCCATAAAACCTGGCTATTGGCTAGCTCCTATCCCAGCGTACCTGCTCCTTTCCCTCCAGCCACCAGTGTGGGAAGGAAGACCTTGGGGACAGTTAACACCACCAACAGACCCTTTACTTAACTAGCTCACTAAATGCCTTTTCAGAGTGCAGAACTATTCCTGGCAGCAGGGGTTCACAGAGGTATAGGGTGAGCCCTGGACACAGACACCTACTGTCTACCCTGTTGCCCCACATCCTTGTGGGGGCTCCAAGAGCCTGAGTCCAGCAGCCCCAGAGATGAAGTTCCTGAGGTCAGCACTGCAGTGAGACTCACCCCTGGATTCATTGCCAGTTGTGGAAACACAGCCAGATGGAGTCACCAGGAATAGGGGCCTTGGCTTTGGCTGGAGAGGAGCTTGGCCAGACGCCTAGGTGTCAGCATCTGACCCCCAGTGGAGGCATCACCTCCTAAAACCACTCATTGTGGCATGCGCTCTGTGTGTAACCCACTGAGAGATAAGCTAGGGCTCCCAGGAGATCAACAGGCATTCAGTGTGGGGGCCCATGGCGCCCTCTGCTTTGTACTCAGCCACACATTCACGCCCCAGACTGCAGGAGCTGCAGCAGCACAGGGGAGGAAGGTGGGGTGTACTGGGAGAGGACCCAGACTTTGCCCTTCAGGGACTGTGACCTGGGCAAGGCACCAGCACTTGCTCGGGCATTTGCAGCTTTGAATGCATGTGGTAATCTGTGCATGTCTCATTTCCTCTACTAGGCTGTGCCTCTCGTGGGGAACTGTATCTTATGTGATCAATTCTCTCTCTCTAAAAGGCTAGGGCAGAGCACTTGTCCATGAAGATGAGTTAAGTGAGCAAGTGAAGGAAAGAGGAAGATTTGGCAGAGGCACTTGAGGCTTACAGAACAGCCATGTGCTCCCCTTCTTCCCGCTCCCCTGCAGAAGTGTCAGCCCTTGCAGTTGGGGCGGGGGCATGTGACTAGTTCTGTCCAATGGGCTCTGAGTGGAGCTGATATTTCTGGGCCAAAGCATTTAAGACATACAGCAGGGGTGTCCAATCTTTTGGCTTCCCTGGGCCACACCGAAACAACTGTCTTGGGCCACACATAAAATACACTAATGATAGCTGATGAGCTAAAACAAAAAATTGTAAAATACCTCATAATGTTTTAAGAAAGTTTAAAAATTTGTTTTGGGCCATATTCAAAGCCATCCTGGGCCACAGGTTGGCCAAGCTTGACCTAGAACACGACCCTCCAGCTCTCTTTGCCTGTGCCAGGGCCACTTGGATACCATGGATTGAGATGGCAGGGCCACAGAACGCAATCCACCTGGACCCTGGAGTCCCCAAGGAGCTACCCTGGAGACCAGCTGGACCCTCAGCAGAATTTCAGAAAGTTAGAAATAAAATTCTGTGTGTGATTCCACTGAGATGTGGGGTTTGTTTAGTATTATGCCATGGCCTATAGTGTCCTAATACAGGAGATGATGGAAAAATCCTGTTTTCTTTAACAACAACAACAACAACAAATGTGTCTCAGAAATCACACCGAGAAGAGCATAACCAGGTTCATGCTGAATTTCTGCTGGGAAGTGGTGGGAGAAACTCAGAGACAGAGGGACGACTGAGTGTCAAGACAGACACAAATCCTGCCTTTCTTGTACACTCTAGACAACACAACAGCACATCTAGAAAGGAGGTTCTTCAGCAGCACTCACTCTAGAGCACCTGGTGCTGGGGTTATGAGGCTGAAGGAAATGGCCCAGCCCTCAGGCAGCCCAGAGTCCAGGAAGGGAGTCTGGCAGTTATGTAAGCAGGTGCGACGTGGTGGGAGCCATGCCACAGAGATGGGGGCAGGGGCTCTGGGGAAATGGCAGGTGGATGCTGGACTCCATCCTGTGCATCTGAGAGGGATCAGGGGAGGTATCCTGAGCCAGAAAAAGGACAGGCAGAGAAGGGCTGAGTGAGATTTTAGGCAGAGGGAACCGCCTGCTGGTGAGAAAGCAAGGAGAGATGGAAGATCAGAACAGATCAGGGGAGGGACTGACAGGGCCACAGGATGGCAGGGGGAGCCCAGGACAGAGGCTGGGCAAGGGTGCTGAGAACATCACAAAGCCTCCTGCCTGCTAAGGAGTCCGAACAGGGACAGAAGGGGCCGGAGATGGGGGTCTGGGCCTCTGTGGGTTGAGAACATGCTGGGGACACAGCTGGTAGGATCTTTATGCCCCTCTTCTTCTGGGGTGCAGAAGTGGAGGGCAGGTAGGCAATGGGCTTGAGGCCAACCTCCCTTTGTCACCCTCTTTCCTTCTTGCCTCCAGGTAGGGAGGGGAGGCCAGCCCTGATTTTTGTCTAAGAAAGTCTCTAGGAAGCCCGCTTATCTATGTACAGGCTCAAGACTCCCATAGGAGGGCTGGAGGTCCTCAGGCTAGAGGTGGGCTTTCCCTCCCATTTGGGGGTCTTCAGCTGGATGCACAATATCTCCTAGGTGAATCTGGAAGTAGGAGGATGTTTTTGGTGGTCACTATGCCTGCCCCTCTCCAGTGACGGCCATTCAGTGGCAGAGGCCAGGAGTCCTAAATATCCCACATTGCATTGGACACGTCCATACTATTAAGAGTTGTCCCCACCACATATGCTAATAGCTAGGCCAGCTGACCCTCAGGACCCAAGGCCAGACGAGTGAACCAGCCAGCCCTATTTATGAGGGGCTTTGAAGAACACTAGGAAAACTCAGATAAGTCATCCCATTGTGCTCTCACAGGACCGCAAATTCCTCAAACACCAAAAGTCTGTGTTTGGGGATCAAGAAGCCTGTCTACCTTGTCCTAAGGGTACCCAAGTGAATTGTAGATACTCCAAGGAGCAGTCAAGCCAGGAGCATTATCAGCCAGGACTTTAAGTTTTCAACTCTTGCTGATAATCAGAATTTCCTACAATGCTTTAAAAATGCAGATTCTAGCTGGACACAGTGGCTCATGCCTGTAATCCCAACACTTTGGGAGGCTGAGGTGGGCAGATCACTTGAGGTCAGGAGTTCGAGACCAGCCTGGCCAAGATGGTGAAACCCCATCTCTACTAAAAATAGAAAAATTAGCTGGGCATGGTGGTGGGCACCTGTGGCCCAGCTACTTGGGAGGCTGAGGCACAAGAATCGCTTGTACCTGGGAGGTGGAGGTTGCAATGATCCAAGATTGTGCCACTGCACTCCAGCCTGGGTGCCAGAGAGAGACTCCAAAAAAAAAAAGGAAGGAAGGAAGGAAGGAAGGAAGGAAGGAAGGAAGGAAGGAAGGAAGGAAGGAAGGAAGGAAGGAAGAAAGAAAAGAAAAGAAAAAAAGAAAGAAATGGATTCCTGGGTGTGATTCAGTGAGGGTGTCCTCCAGCCTCCAGGAGCCCCCCATGATTCCTGCCTTTGGGGATCCGCACCTCTGTGTAGGCCCTTCCCATATTGTACCAGGGTTGGTCTGTGCAAATGACATACAGCAAATGGCAGTGTGAAGCTCTGTCACTTCTGAGATCAGGCTATAAACGAGTGTGACTTCTGCGATGGAGTCTTCTCTCTCCCCCCGTCACCACTTGCTTTGGGGAAAGACAGCTGCCATATTCTGAGGGCACTCAAGCAGCTTATGCAGATATCGTGGCAAGGAAGCCAGGGAGGAACCCAGGCTTCCTGCCCCCAGCCAGGGAGGAACTGAAGCCTCCTGCCTTCAGACACAGGAGGGGGTCTTCCAGCCCAGGTGTGCCTTCTGATGGCGGCATCCCTGGTCATCAGCTTGAGTGCAAACTCATGAGAGACCTTGAGTCTGAACCACCAGCTAAGCTGCTCCCAGAAAGTGTGTGGATCATAACTCTTTGTTGTTTTAAGCCAGTAAGTTTTGAGCAATTTGTTACACAACAGTAAATGAGGAACACAGTGGGCAGACAGTGTAGATTTCAGCACTTCCCAGGCAGTTCCGACATGCAGCTGAGCTCCAGCACCGTGGCCTCAGATTCATCTGCTGATAGTTCACTGAGGGCAAAGCACATCCAAAGTGTGTGTCATGGAAACATGTGGGGTGTGTGTGTGTGTGTGTGTGTGTGTGCTGTGTATATATGGGTGTATATGTGTGTGATGTATGTGTGTGCATGTGTAGTGTATGTGTGTGTAGGGTGTGAAGGGATGTGTGTGATGTGTATATGTGTGTATGTACATGTGTGGTGTGTGGTATGTGCAGTGAGTATGTGTAGGTGTATGATATGTAATGTGTATGTTTGATGTGTGTGGTGTGTGTATGTGTGTACGTGTGTGTGATAGATGGTGTGTAAGAGTGTGTGTGCGCGCGCACGAATATCCAAGCCCTTCTGCTCCAGCCTGACGGTGGAGACGGTGGGTGAAGGCCTCCACTACCAGCCGCCCCTAAGAGCTTAGCATCACATGTGGGCCCTGGAGAGCCCGGAATTCTCACTGATTTACCGTCCCTTGAGAAAAAAAAGAAAACTCTAGAATGTGAAACCTCAGAGGACCTTGGTCTGATGATGTTCAAAGTTTGTTTAGTAGTAGGATTGTTTCTTTACATGAAACCACGTTAGAATCCTGATTTAGAGGCACCAGCCAAACAGTTCTGGGTGGGCCCAAGTGGGGGCCCCTAGAACTGGCTGCTTCCGCCTCCCTATTCCCCCCAGTAGCACCCAGGGGCAACCCAGGAGAATCCTGAGGGCTTCACAGTTTGCAAACCTCTGATCTAATACAACTGTGTCATTATGCTGATGAGTAAACTGAGGCCCACAGAGGAGAGGTCACACACACGGCTCTGGCAGACATCCAGAAGTGGATTCTTCTGACCTCTAGTCCAATCTGTCTCCACTGCCTGTCAGGCCGCATAGGAGAAGAATCAACCAGGGCCTTGGTAACCTATGAGCCAAGGTTCATCATCTGAGCTTTTGCCCAGCAGAATTGCCCTCTTCACCAAGAAACAACTCACCTGGGGGTAGGAGCAGGAAATCACCCCCTCCTTCCTCTTCTTAACAGAGGGGGCCCCCATAGCCTGGTCCACCCTCAGAAGGTGGGGCTTCACTGGCATTGTTGAGTCCCGGGAATAATTACAGCAGAGACCAACACAGCACCCACTGTGCGCTGGGCATCATCCTCAGCACCTCAAGTGAAGGAATGTGCTTGATCTTCCCAAACGCCCCATAAAGTAGATATGGTTATTTCCCTCATCTTACAGAGGAGGAAACTGAGGCAGAGTGCGAGTAAGTAGCTAGCCCCAGACTCCTGGGCTAGTCAATGGCAGGGCTGGGATTCCATGGGGACTATGCCTGGGTCCAGACACCAAGCCCTTGACCGCCAACCTCCCACCCAGCCAGCAGCCCAGCTCTCCTTTCTCGTCTGAGCAGGAACCAAAGGTCCTCCATTTTGTACCCTAGAGGAGTGAAGAAACAGTCACCAAACAACACAAAGCGTCAGATCTGTTACTTTTCCAGCCATGACTCCCAAGCTTCTGGCTCAAAGGGTACCGAGTGGTCAACACCCCGCCTAGTGCAGGGGGCATCTGGTTTCTCACCTAGATCGGGGTCTCTCAAATGTACTTCTTCTATCAATGATGAATGCTCTTGGCATTTAGAAATGGAGTGATAAGGTGGTCACTTCGAGTACCTTACCCTTTTTTCTCTTGCGTCAAGGCTGGCTTTCCATTAGCAGTGATAATTTAATATAGATCCAGCCCAAAGGGTGTTTCATGAGCTGATACTCTGCCTGTGACTTATACATCACAGCCTCGGCCCTACTGATTGATTCTTTTTCCTGTCAAATTTATAGGAAAGTGCAAGAACTGTACAAAGAACATCCACGTCCTCCTCACTCAGATTCCCCAACTGTTAACACCTCCGCATGTTTGCCCTTTCTCTTCCTCTGTGTCTACAAACCATTATCATCAATCTCTTTCTAAACCATTTGAGGAGACGCTGCAGACACCAGGCCCATATCCCTCAAACATCATAGTGTGTATTTCTCAAAGTCAAGCACACTCGCCCACATGACCAACACCGCCTCCAAGTCAGGAAACTGACATCGAAGCAACACTACTGTCCCACCCACAGACCTAATCACATTCTCCAACTGTCCCAGCAAGGTCAGCATTTCCTTCTGGTTCAGGATTTCAGCAAGGAACACAAGTTGTATTTAGTCATTTGCCTCTTCTGTCTTCTACAATCTGGAAGACTTCCTCAGTCTTTCCCTGTCTTTTGTGTCCAAGCAGTTATAGAGAGTGGTCCTTATACTGATTTCCAAAAACCAGACTCAGGCTATGCTTTCTTGGAAGGAAGGACATAGTGTCCACCCATCCCATCACTAATGATGTTTCCTTGATCACCTGGTCACGTTGGGGCCTTCCAGGTTTCTCCGTGATAAAGTCATCATATTTCTCTTTGTAATGAGGTGACCTCTATGTGTGCCCTGGTTCATTGCCTGGAAAGTTTCCAGTCTGCAACACAGGGAGGGCAGTCCAGGGCCCAGTGGTCTCAATGAGCTAAGATGACAGGGTTCAAAATCCACGGAGTCCAAGACAATTTGATTTGCAAGGCAGAGTACTAAAGAGGAGAGACCAACATACAGAGATAAATCCAGAAATCTTAGCCTCTCAAGTCTTTGGCTGAGTATTAATTTGTCCATGTGTAAGGAAACTTCTGAGGCAAGGAATAGATAGAACAATCCACTGAGATCACATACGGCTGAAAATAGTTTGTGTTTCTCCAGCCAGGGGGGAACACCTCCTAATACACAGAGCATTGGGTGGCAATCTCAGAAGGGTATTGATTCAGCAGTGGAGCAAAATTTGCCCTACACTAAAGTCTTCCCACCCTAACAAAGCCTAAAAGCAAGTCTTGAAAGGATCAAACTGTTTTTATGTAACTTAACTGTGATCCAGAACAAAACCCAAAATATTTAAAGTGATACAAAAAAAATAGCACCCAATAATGTAAAGGTTCTAACATATGACATTTAACATCAAATTACCAAGCATGTAAAGAAAGGTATGCCCCATAACCAAGAGAAAAATCAATGAATAGAAATAGACTCAGAGATTATATGGATGACAGAATTAGTAGAGAAGGACTTAAAACAGCTATTGGGAATAGGTTCTATATGCTGCAGAAAAGAAAGCATGAGGAAGAGAAGATACATACATATATATATATATATATATATATATATTTATTAAAAAAGCCCACAATGACCTTCGAGAGATAAAAACTACAATGTCTGAAATGAAAAATATACTGAATGGGATTAACAGTAGATTTGACACTGGAATAAAATATTAGTGAACTTGAAGAAATAGCAATAAAAGCTATCCAAAATGAAACACAGAGAGTAAAGAAAGACTTTAAAAAATCAGGCAGAGCTTTGGTGAGCCATGGGAAAAGATGAAGAAGCATAGAATACATACAATTGGAACCCCAGGGTTGAGGGAAAGTAGGAGGAATCGTGGCTGAAAATTTTCCAAATTTGATGAAACTATAAACCTACAGATCCAAGAAACTCAATAAATCCCAAGTGGGAGAAACATGAAGAAAACCACCACACCAAGGCACATCATAATCAAATAGATGAGGTCTTAACTGTATGCTCTATTGTCTCTCATTGATAGGCCCAAGGCATGAACAGAGAAGAAACAAAATGGCAAAGGCACCAGGAAGAGATGAATGGATATAGATAAAATAGCAGGAGAAGAATCAGGAGAGAAGGGAAGGGTGGCACAGTGGAGTGTGGTGGTAGGTCATGGTCACTGGCAGCGGCAGACTCAGTCACTGTGGAAGGTCCACTGCTTTTACACCCCTGCAGCAGGCCCAGTCACACTCCTGAGAGCAGCTAGACTCCTGCTGTTTCCACCAAAAGTCCAGCACTATAAGTATCTAGAGACCTGGATTCACTGAGTGAATCCTCTTTGTCCTGGAACCTGGCCTGATTCCAGGAAAGAGGCCCAATCAATAAAAAAAAGAGCAAGCATAGCAGACACCTGGAGGCCAGCAGGGCAAGTCCACTGTTCAAAAGCCTAAAGACAGCCCCAGCCACATTAGAATCTCTTCCAGGCCTGCCAGTCCCACCTGAACACACCACAGGACACTTCACCTGCAGAGAGGTTTCAGGCCAAGGGACAAAAACTTCCAAGTTCACTGAGTTGCCAGGGCATGGTCTATTTCATCTCTAGGGCACATCAGGCCTGCCAGCAGGGCCTGCAGCATCACCGAGTAGGCTGTCACACACACGATCACAATGGGACACCCTGGAGAATGGCAGGTAGCCAGCCCTGCCTATTACTACCATACAGGCGGTTACACTCCTTGCTGGAACAAGCAGCCAGAAGGAGTGCTTTGGTTAGGTCCTGTCCAGGAAGAGGATCAGGACTCCAGGGGTGGGGGTGGGCTGTTAGAGAGCCTGCCCCTGCACCTACCTGCCAGGCTGGAAGGACCTTCTCGATGTCATTCAGGTTGATGCCATCCCCATCTTCCAGCTTCCCTTTGCCACACCTGGACCAGAAAAGACAGAAAGGCATTGGAAAGATGGCTCATTCATGCCTCCTGTCCCATCCGGCCAGCAGGAGAGGAGGGACAGTCAGCAGATACCTGGTGCTGCCCACCCTCAAGCCCTGCAGGGGCTGTCCCACCTAGAGGAAACAGCCCTAGAGAAGCTGTGTGTGTGTGTGGGGGGGTCCTCCCGTAATGCAACAGCCAACCTGGAGGGAGGTGGGAGAGGAACCAGAGTTCCCCTTGCTCCTTCCAGGCAGAGAAGCTAAGCTCCTTACTCATCACAACTCCTGTCAAAGCCCATCCACCTTGCCCCATTACACTGAACAGAAGATCAGTGGACAGAGACACCAAGCAACTTTCTCAAGGTCACATAGGCTGGCAGGGGCTAGCAGAAAACCCAATAGGGCTTCCTTCCTTTTTGGCTTGACTCTGGGTCAGTCCAGCAAGCCCACTCAGATAGTCTATGCTTTGTCTTCATGTCCTCTGTGAGTGGGCGTGCCCTCGGGCCAGAGAGGCTGGCCCCAACTCCCTGGCCAGAGGTCTGAATCTTTGGCATATTTAAGGGTGCAGATTCCGAAACCAGACTCCCAGGGTTTGAATCCCCGCTGCATCCCTTACCAACTGGGGACCCTGTACAAGTTGTTTAACCTCTCTGTACTCATTTCATCAAATGAGTTTCCTCATTTGTTAAATGAGGATAATAGTGTCTAACATCTTAAGGTGGCTGGAGGATTAAATTAATGAATGTATCTGGAGTGCTTAGATGCTTAGAACTGTGACAGCCCACAGTAAACGGTACATATATACACACATATATAGTCTAGCTTATATATATATATATATATATATATATATATATATATATATATATATAAATGTTTAGCTTGTTTGTTTATAAATGTGTGTGTGTATATTTCTTGTGTATGTATTATTATCTGTATTTACCATTAAATATATCTTAAACATACACACATATGTTTAATGGTAAATACTGGTAATAATAACAAAATTAAAATAAATAATGAAGTAAATATATTGCTACTACTATGACTACTTTCATTACCACTAATATTGTTGCTGTTGTTTAGGCAAAGAGGCAGGAGGGTGATTAATTAAGGACACAGATTCTGGAGCCAACCCAGCCTCATGCAAATTACTCAATTTCTGGGTCTCCTAGTTGCTTCATCTATTGAAGAGAAGATGGTAACAGTTCCTCCCTCTCTGGGTGGTGGCGAGTTTTAAATAAATGAGGCAAACACTTAGAACAGAGGCTGGAGCATGGCCGGTGCATAGTAAGTATTGTCAGTTACTATTATTACTGGTATTGACTGAGGAATGGTGAGAGATGTCCCATGAGTTGGGTCATTTTCCAGCTGCAGAGTTCATACGAATCTCACCTTTCAGAGTAACTAGTTCATTGTTTAAACATTTACCAAGCATCTCTTCTGTTTTGGGCCTTGTGAACCAAAAAAAAAAATCAGTTTTGGTTCCTGCCCTCAGACAGTGGATGGCCCTTAGAACAAATCCTAAACTCCTCTAACAGGGCTGGGTGCCGGAGCACCACTGGGGGCAGCACGAGATCAGTGTCATAAAAGTCCTATGGCCAGAGGCGCCCTGGAACCCAGAGGAGGAGAAACTAGCTGCAAACACCAGCAAAGGCCTGGGTGGAAGAGAACAGGGGGCTAACCCAAGCCCCATTTGATGGCTCATTTCTCCATTCACCAAACACTTCTGTGCCCGGCTCTGGACAGGGTCTGGGACCCAGGTGTAAACAGTGCACACAACTGCCCCTCTCGGTGTCTGGCGGGATAATCACCCCCCACAGTAGAGCAGCAAGTGCCCCGCTGGGGACAAGGGATCGTTGCAGGAACCCCAAGGAGCAGCGTCTAGAACTGTCTTGGGCGAGGGGCAGGAGGAAGGTGAGAGGTGAGCTGGCCAAGCACAGGGAATTTGGGAGGATGTCCCAGGCTGACACGGCGCAGGCAAAGGCCTAGAGTTAGGAGCATGTGTGGTGCCAGTTTGCTGTGGCTAGAGCATGTTAGGGGTCAGGGTGCAAGGGGTAGGCAAGGGGCATGGTGGAGCTGGGGTGGGGAATGGTGTGCAAGGTATAACAGGCATGAAGGAAAAGAAAAAGTTTCCCCCGGCCCCCGGCTGTCCCCACAACTGTGATGTGCTGGGGCTACAGGTGAGCAGGTGGAGAAAGGCCCGGAACATCCAAACATCTCTTAACTCATCAATCTGCCTGGTGCAGACAGGCTGGCCTGTGAAAGCACCAACTGCGTGTAGTCTTCTGTGTTCTGCACCCGCCTGGGCCATAGGGGAGGAGGGCACTGGGGACTTGGCTTGACTAGAATGGCTGATACCACCTCCCCAGTGTCTCCTGTGGGTAAAACACACCTCAGGACTCTCTCGCATGCACTGAGCTCCAAGCACACGCTGGGCACCAGCCTAGCACACTCCAAACACAGCTTTCTGTTCTCGCCTCAGCGCCCCTGGGGGTGGGCAGGTGGAGGCCTGCAGGGAGGGCTGCTGTCCCACGAGGCCTGCCCTCGTCAGGGCTCAGATCTCCCCAGAGGCCTGCAGGTTTGGAGGGCTGAAGGTGGCTACAGACCAGCTGAGTCACTGCTGCCAACAGGGTTTCCAAGGCAACAGCCTTCTCTGATTTCTGTCCCTCCATGGAAACACAGGCTGCAGGGAGCCTTGGCAACTGAGTGGTACCTGCATCCCAGGAAGGCTGCAGTGGCTGGCGCATGGAGTGTGTCCCCACTACAGCAGGACTCTAAGGGGGTCACAGTTCCTGGTCTGGCCATGAGGTGGCCACAGACACTGCACTCAGACTCCCTGGGAACCTGGGAGTGACAGGCTTTGGCTAGTGAGCCAGATATCCATGGGAGACCCCAGGTGACTCTCAGCAAATCTGGAGGCTCCTGGTGAGAAAGTGAGACTGGCCGAGGAATTTAGGCCCACAGCTGGTGACACAGGTGTGGCTGGTTACTCTGGCTTCAGAAGGGACAAAGTCCCTCGGCATAAGGGGAATTCCTCTCCTTCATAGTTATTCATCGCTTTTTTGCTAGGAAGTTAGTTCATCTCTGGGGACTGGTGAGACACTTTGGCAAGCTTGCCTTCAACATGCAGGCCCCATTGGGCACCTGTAGTCAATAAGGCAGCACCATCGCTTCGATCTCCCCAGGCCTCAGTGTCCCCACTGACGTCACCAGCTATGTGCTCCCGGGGCACACAGGAGAGACTGGAGCTGCCCAGGGAAGTCTCCCTCCTGAAGCCTTTCCCAGATGGTTCAACCTGTAAAGTGCTCTCCTTTCTAACCCCTTTTGCATTGACTTTATTTAACCCTGCACCAGGCATCACACTTTATACCTGTCTATATATGTCTTTATGGTGTCTATATGTCTACACTGCATAGTCTAGTCTGTATGTCTACACCGCATAGTCTAGTCTTTCTTCCCCTACACAGTCTCCATCATGAATAGGTTCATATTTCCTTTTCCCAGTAGAATAAACAGTCCTTCTGGGCAGGGACTGTATTGTATACTCGTGTGTGTGTGTGTGTGTGTGTGTGTGTGTGTGTGTGTCTACTTTCCTGGTACCCAGCACCATGCAGGGACCCAGCAGGTCTAGTGACAGACTGGCTACACTGAACTTGAGAAAAGCAAAATCCTGCTCCTATTCCTGTGGCATACCCAAGCTCCGCTACACTGTTGCAACAGGACACTGGGCAAGCATCACCTTTGCTCACAACCCCTTCCTGAAGCTGACCCACTGAGAAAGGTAGGTAAGGCCATCCTTCCTAAGCACGGAAGTGTGGAGGCCCAGCCCTGTGCAGCTCAGCAGTCTGGAAGGAGCATGGCCTCCCTGCAACTGAATGAGTGGGCTGAGCAGGCAGTGAGCAGGGTGGATGGGGTAAGGTAGGGTCGGGAGCCTTGCAGCTGTGTCTCTCCTATGCTCCATCTTAACCAGTGCCTCCATGCGCAAAGCCATCTCTCCCTCTTCACCCAAAGAGAAATGGAACCCACAACAGGGAGGGCAATGAAAAAGAGGCGTGTGAGAGGCTGGTGTCTCCTGGGAGAGTCGGATGCAAGTGATGGGCCTCTCCCCAGCAACACACACGTGTGCATGCACACATACAAATTTGCAGAAAATTTTAAGGAGGTTAAGAATACCCTGATGTGGTGAACTAGGGGTTGGATGGTGTCAGAAGGCCTGGCCTTAAATGATGGCTCTGTTATTCAGGCAAGTTACTTTGCTTCTCTGAGTGTTATTTTCCTCATCTCTAAAGTAGGAATGAGCCCATTTCTTTCCACGGGTTGTTGCTCATTACACTATGATGGGACCAATGTTGCCAAGAGGAGAGGTTGAGTGGGACAAATATAGCAGCAGGAAGACATGTGAGATGTAGGATAGTGTCCAGTAAAGTCACTAATACTTAGACCTGAAGTGAAAGGGAGACAAGAGTGAGCAGGGGAGGGCTGGAAGGAAAAGTAAGGGTCATCAGTATCATAATAAAACACAAACAAACAAAAACCAAGAAAGAAAAAAAAGCACAAGTGCTGGTGGGGATGTGGAGAAATTGGAATCTCATACATTGCTGGTATGAATGCAGAATATTCAGCTGCTATGGAACACAGTTTGACAGCTCCTCAAAGAGTTCAACAGAATTACCATACAACCCAGCAATTCCACCCCAGGTATACACCCAAGTAATTACAAGCAAGGACTCAAAAAGATACAGCAGTATTTTTGACAATAGCCAAAAGGTGGAGATGACTCAAGTAAGGATTGATAGATGCATGGGTAAACAAATTGTGGTATATCCATACAATGGACTAGTATTCAGTCATGAAAAGGAATAAAGTTCTGATACATGCTATAATGAATGAACCTCAAAAACATTATGCCAAGGGAAAGAAGCCAGGCCCAAGAGGTCACATATGACTGTTTCTGTAAGTATGCAAAATAGATTAATTAATAGAAACAGAAAGCAGATTGGTGGTTGCCAGGGACTGGGGGTGGTGATGGGATGGGGAATGATTGCCTAGTGGGTATGGGGTTTTATATTGGGATGATGAGAATGTTTCAGAACTAGACAGACATGGTAGTTGCACAACAGGTCTAGCATACTAAATGCCAGTGGACTGAACACTTTATAATGGTTAATTTTATGGTATGGGAATTCTGCCTCATTAAAAATTATATAAAACTATAAAAGAAGGAGCAGCCATTTGTCCCACACCTCTGTGTCTCGCTGGAGTCACATTCCCGTCCTGAGGTCTGCCCAGGCTGTGACACCACTTTTGAAAAGGGAAGGCAACCCTGCCACACAAAGTCATAGAGGGTGAGAAAAGCCAGTGTAAAATCAGGCATGACACCAGCTGCTCCCCAAGTGTGGTCCCTGGACCAGCATCAGCACCCGCTGGGGAACTTGTTAGAAACACACAGCCTCAGGCCGGGCGCGGTGGCTCATGCCTGTAATCCCAGCACTTTGGGAGGCCGAGGCGGGTGGATCATGAGGTCAGGAGATCGAGACCATCCTGGCTAACAAGGTGAAACCCCGTCTCTACTAAAAATACAAAAAATTAGCCGGGCGCGGTGGCAGGCGCCTGTAGTCCCAGCTACTCGGGAGGCTGAGGCAGGAGAATGGCGTGAACCCGGGAAGCGGAGCTTGCAGTGAGCCGAGATTGCGCCACTGCAGTCCGCAGTCCGGCCTGGGCGACAGAGCGAGACTCCGTCTCAAAAAAAAAAAAAAAAAAAGAAAGAAACACACAGCCTCAGTCCACACCTACGGAATCACAGACTCTGGGGTGGGCCTGTCCTCTGTGCCACCGCCCAGGTGATTCTGCTGCGCTGGCGTGGATTACTGACAAGCAGGGCCACTGTGGGTCATCAGGAGCAGGTGGGGATGGCATGGCTAGAGGGGGCTGGGCAGAGGGAAATGGAGGGATTCCAGGAGAAGCCAGTGAGCCTGCAGCTCTGGGACGCATAAGAAGAGCATCCCGGGGCATCAGCCACCTGAGTCCCCTGTGCAGCAGAGCAGCCTCCCTGTGGAGGCAAAGGCCACTCCCGTCCCCTGCCCCACCCCACCCTGGGTAAGAGCCCCAGCACCCCTTACCCTTCGCGGTCGATGTGTGGCAGGGGCTGCTTGGGCGTGTGTCGGACTTTGCGGTGGAACTGGGTGAAGTCCAGCTTTTCCGGCTGCAGGTCCCAGGTGGCACCACTAGAGGGCGAGGGAGGGTGAGAAACGGAGGCAAGAGGGCAACAGCCCAGTTACTGACGGAACCAGGGGGCCAGGCTGAACCTGGCAGAGCAGATCCGCAGAAAGGAGCCGCCAGGGGCCAGGCGGGGAGCCCCACTCAGAATGGAGCCCCAGGTGCCACCCCTCACCTTCCTCACCCTGCCGTGGGAAAGTGCATGCTTATGAAACAAGTGTGGGCCTGATGCCCATTGCACAGCGGCCTCTGCAACACCTGAGTTTGTTTTCGTGCCCACATTTGAGGAAGGCCAGGGAGAGCAAGGGGCCAAATGCCAGTCTCCAGCCTCTGACAAGCAGCTCAAAGTGACGACCCGGCCACCCTGAGGTAGATGAGGCAGGCTAGTGGGAAGCGGGGCCCAGCCTCTGCAGCCCCATCCCGGGGGCCCTCCCCATGCCTCCACTGTCTCCCGTTGACACTCACCGCCTCCTCTCTCCGGCCTTCTTTCCACCCCATCCTTCCTACATCCCCTACTCTGCTTCTCTCTGCCTCTTGCTCATGAACCATCAGCGTTCATTCCGTCCCCAAGGAAGCCAGTTTCCCCGGCTGGACCTCACACCACAGGGAAGGAGGGAGGAGGAGGTTACCTGAAGGAATCGAAGGTGTTGGCCGCCCAGATGTCCGTGCCCAGCATGTCCAGAGAGTTGTCTTTGCTGCCATTCTGGAAGAGATGGGGGTGAAAGGGCTGACATTAATTGCTCGGCCAGGATGCTGAGAACACGGGGCCAGGGCCTGAGGGGCTGGGGGGCTGGAGTGAGCCCCCAAGTGAGTATGGTGGCTGGTGCACCCAGTCAGAGTCAGGGGACTGCCTGGGGGTCTCCTGGCCTCCCCCCAGGCATAGGCCCTCGTTTCACTGAGGTTTTATAGATGTATACAGAAGGGTCCAGGCCCCTGCTGCCCCAGGCCCATGGCTCTCTCCTCAAAGCCTCCACACCCAGCAAGGGCTCTGTACCACCCAGAGCCACCATCACCACTGCCAGCCTGATGGCTGAGGCTTCTCCCCAGGGAGGGGCTCTGCAGAGCCAGGCCCACTGGGGAGCCCATGGAGGCTGCCTTCCTTCACAGTTCAGTCCTACTCCCCAGAAGCCCCCACCGACCAAGGCTACACCAGCAACTGGATTTCTCTGAGTCGAGCCGATCCTCCAGTGTTCCCTATGTGACCCACCCCAGAGACAGAAACCTCTTTACTCAATGCAGCTTCTATGATTTGGTTTCTCTGCTCTCTGGCTGGTGAGCTCCCTGGCAAATTCTCCAACCCCTGACCGCACCTGATGCCCTCCAGCCCTTCTTACCCCTGCAATCTGGTTTCCATCGTCACACTCTTTAAAACAATACTTCCACATCCACCTGAGCTGAACGTGTGCACGCCGTATGACCCAGAAATTCACTCCCAGGTATAAACACACAGAAATGTGCCCGATGCTCACCAAAAGACATGTACAGAAAGCGTATACAGCAGCATCCGCCATTACAGCTCCAAACTGGAGACCACCCACATGCCTGTCATCAGCTGATTCGATAAATAAACCGTGGTATGTTCACATATTGGAGTATCACACCGCAGTGAGCACAAACAAAGTAAAATAACATGCAGCAATATGAATAAATATCACAAGCATACAGGGAACAAAAGAACCCAGATGCAAAAGAGAACCAATTATGTTCAGGAACAGGCAAACTAACGAATGTATAGTGAAAGAACTCAGATAGTAACTGGAAGAGGAAACCAATCTCTCTTCCAGAGAGAGACAGAGAGAGCGAGCAGCTTTGATTAACTAGAAGGAGAGGGCACAAAAACCGGAAAGGCTGGACAGTCCAGCCTCCAAGCAGAAGGGGCCAGGCACTCCAGCCGCCACAGACAGGAGGCAGGAGGTAATGAGAGCCTGGAGGAGAGGTGGAGGGCTTATGGAGTCGAAGGGACAAGAGGACTGTCTGGGGAGAACCACCTGGGCTGTCTGACTCTGGGCAAGTCCCTCAGCCTTCCTGGGTCTCATTGATAACATGAAGACTGGTCCCTCTCTCTGGGCACCAACAGCCTGCAGCCTGCAGGTCTAAGTAACTTGAAACTTCCTCATTCCAGGCTGCCCTGAGAGCTTGCACAATCCTTTCTAGCAGATCAGCCACATTTATTCAGGGCCGCCATGGCCCTGGGTGCTTCTCCCCATGCCTTTCCTGTCCCATCCCCGTAATCCCCTTTGCTCCTGACCATGGCCTGTCAACTGGGCCTTGCTCCCCTCTTGCCCTCTCCGAATGTGCCCCATCTGTCAAAGATTGGCTCAGCCAGGAAGCACCTCTGGCCTCCCAAACTGCAGTCACCTCGCTCTGCCCTGAACTTGCTATCTGTGTGGGTGACTTACAGTAGCAGAGCCGGCCTCTTGCAGTTCTCACTTCTATTTCCTGTAGTGACCTCTCTCCCACAGGAGATAGCGGGCCCTTGATGGCAGGGACCCCCTAGGTCCCCCAGAGCTGGAAGCTCAGTGCTCCTGACATATACTGCAAGAGATTTTCACCATCTTCTTTAAACATGCGTTTTCTTTTTGCCTCAATAAACTGTGTGACCTCGGCAAAGTCACTTCACCAGTCTGGACTTCAGATTCTTCATATTTAAATAAAGAGATCCCAGAATGAAATACCATGCCCTGTAGATGGGCTCCTTCTGACTGGCATGCGTGCTGCTACCATCCCCTCTCCTGCCAGCGGCAGATATCACTAATCAATTACAGCATGGTTGCCAGTCCTCCAAGCAGGTGGCCCCTAATGTTCTAGGATCGTCCTCTCTCCCTTTTCTTCGAGTTGCCTCACATCCTCCCCATTCCAACTCCTGGGGCCCTGCTTGCTCCAAGTGCAACTCTGAAACTCCAGGTCAGCTAGAGAGACTCACCTTCTATCACACAACCCCCAAGGGGACAGCCCCTGCCTCCCGAGATGTTGACCGGCTTGTTCACAACCCCCTCCTGGGCCTCGAATGTAATTATCATTGGGGATAGCAGCCAAAAATAACATAGAAAGCAAAGATAAAAAAAAATCATACATGCAAACAAAACTCTTGCTTCCAAAGCATCTATTGCAGACCTCACTCAGCATGCAGTTCATTTTCCTCCTTCAGCCCAGTGACCTGAAGCCTCTCCTCCACACGTGTCTTCCCTAATCCCTGATCTGTTAAATACCCAATGTTCTCTGGCGCCTATAAATTCAGCTTCAGTGGATCACCTCTTGGTCACTGCTCTCTTACATGAATGTTAGACCTTCCCCAAGTAGACTGTAATCTTTTCCACTGGACTGCCTCTTTCTCTTTGTGCCCCCACAGTGGCCAAGCCAGGCACACAGGAGGGCCAGCTTGGATTCCTGCCAACTGATTGAGGAGATGCCACTTTGTAACAGGAGGAAGCACGACCCTACTGCCTCTGTGGCTGAAAGACTGAATCAAGATTAGGATGTCAAGAATGATTTACCGTCCTAGGATCCGAGGCCCGTAAGGCCCTTAGAGAGTAAGAAACATGGATGGAGAGATAGAAAGAGAGAGCAACTACGTAGAGAAGGTCATGGCCAAACCTAGAAGTGCAAAGCATCTTCCAGGAAGATGGTGATTCACCTTGAAGGCAGTTGAAGGGCAGTGCAGATGGGCACATAAATCTCCCTCCTGGCCTGCAGGTTGGCATCTTGGCTACTACTCCTCAACTGGCAGGGAGCGAGGACAGGTCACAGTAACAGTCACTGGCAGCAGCTGTGAGGGGGCCAATGCCCCTGTGCAGAGAGCTGGTGGAACCTCTCTGCCTGGAGGAGGGGGCACTACCCTTGGGCTAAGGGAGGTGACTGGGCAGGGCAAACTTGGGCATTTCCAAAGCAGTATCCCTGGCGGGGGACCCACCAATCTCTGGACTTCCAGATTCTTGGGGTCAGGGAAATGTGCTCCCAGCTGATGGGAGGGAAAGAGCCAGGGCAGAAGCTGTGCCTGCATGTATGTGTTTATTCTTTACAGAGGAAGCCCACCCTTCCGTGCATCTGCAGAACAGCCCTGTGATCAGCTGCTGCCATCTCCATGTTGGGGGTGAAAAACAGAAGCCTGGGGAGAGGGGCCATGGCCCAGCTGGGGAGCAGGTGGTGGAGTCACGGTGGCAACCAGTGCTCCTCCAAGAGCCATGGCAGTCACGCAACCAACACACGTCACAGGTGACAGACTCTCACATTTTCCTCATTGAATCCCCACAGCTCCTTACAACAACTCAGGGAACATATCCCTGAACGATATCAAGAGCCTACATCCATATTTAAATGCCAAGAAACCTAGCGATATCCCTGCCATTCCCAGAGGAGCCTGGGGAGAGAGGCCATGGCCCAGCTGGGGAGCAGGTGGTGGAGTCACGGTGGCAACCAGTGCTCCTCCAAGAGCCATGGCAGTCACACAATCGACACACGTCACAGGTGACAGACTCACACATTTTCCTCATTGAATCCCCACAACTCCTTACAACAACTCAGGGAACATATCCCTGAACGACATCAAGAGCCTACATCCATATTTAAATGACAAGAAACCCAGCGATATCCCTGCCATTCCCAGTACACACCGTATTTCTTTAGCCACCCCCGCCCTGTGGCTCAGCCTCCTGACTCCTGTGTCTCCCTCCCCAGGCTGGAAAACTCGGCACCAGGCTGCTTCTCCTTCCTCTCTCGCTCTGCCCCACAGGTCTCTGCCCCAAGCCCACCTTGGGCCTTTGGGCCGGGTCTCACCTCTCCTTTGCCACAAGGCTTGAGTCTTGTTAACTCTCACACTGACCGGCCTCCTGCCTCATTCCCTCCCCCGTGATGACTGCAACTCTGATTCTCAGAGCTGAGGAACAAAAGTGCCAGCAAGGTGAGCCCTTTACAAACCAAGGAGCCGGACCCCATCTTTGCACAGCTCCAGGGAGCCCTGGGGGTGCAGCTCCAGGAACGAATATCATATGGACAGCACCCCCGGAGCTGTGAAGCTCAGCAGCCCTGGAGGAGGCAGCAGGTGGAGGTGACAGCACTGAGAAGAATGAGGACCCCAGCCGCTGAGCTGGACACATGGAGGAGAGCAGTGGGCAAGGCATCGGGCCTCTCTGTCTGAATATCAGGAAGGAGATCGCCATGAAGACTCGGGGCCTGGCAGACGAGAAGCTGAGTCTCTGGAGAAGTAGGTATAGGGCAACACCTTGGACACAGGGGCCGCACTCCTTATTGCCACTCTACTTGATATAAGAACTGCAGTGCATATCAAGAATCTGGACACCTCCTTGGGGTTTGTTTCAATGGCACAAGACAGGCATATAACCACTAAAGGCAAACTTTCATCAACAGGGGCTGGAGAAATAGCCTAGCACGTGGAGAAGACATCCATCTCCTTCCAGCCTTAGCCCAGAGCAGGAAGAGTCTCACCTGCAGAGCTTTCCTTTGCTGTCCCTTGATGCTGAGGTGGTGGCCCAGGCAGTGCCCAGGGGGCCAGGCCTCACGCAACAGAGTTATTAACTGCCAAGCTAAACTGGACAACCAGGAGCCCAACGTTTTCACATGTCCTTCCCCAGGGCCCACTTGCCCTGGGCTGAGCACCCAAGTGGCCACTCTGTCACCCAGCCCTGCCACGTGGCTCTGGAGCCAGACAAATGCTTACAGCCATACAAGTGCCACATATGCATACATGTACACATGCCACAGGGCCGCATATGCATACATGTACATATGCCACAGACACATATATACACAATACTACACACATGCATATACTAGACAGACACATCCACACACATCCACATAATACACACCATACATGCATATACATACCAGACACACATACATACACACACATGCATGGTATGCATACACACATCCACACAATGTGTGCCACACGTACATATACACACGTACACACCACACACATACATGTATATACTACACACATACATGCATATATATACCACACTTATACAATATACACATCCATCCACACACATCCACACCACACCCATATACACACCAAACACACATACGTGCACACACCACATATATACATGTGGTATACATGTATAGTACAACTATATGTGCACATCACATGCTACATGCATATTATATACACCACACATACAGGCACATGCCACACACAACATGCATGTAGACCACACACATATACATACAAGACACATATACACACCATGCACACAGGCATATACACACACACACATATCCACACCCACATACACACCATGCACACACATATACACCTCACACATACACACACATCACGCACAAACATACATGTACCACACACACATACACATACATGTGTCAGCTGTTCTACAAACCCTCGAATGTCCAAAGAAGCCAGAGAAGTCAGAGAAGCAGGAAGGCAGGTGCCTGCAGGCAGACCCCTCACAGGCAGACTGTACCTGAGTTCTGGAACTTCTCACCAGGAAACAGACCCACCTCTCTCTCCCACCACCCTCACCTCTGGCTCACACTGAGGACCCATACAGAGAGGTGGCTGTCAAGCTGAGGACAGAGAAGAAGGGGACCCAAGCTCGGCTCATCCCAGGCAAGCGTTGGACTTGCCTCTCAAGGGCACACGAAGCAGCAGCATGTATGGAGTTATATTTCACTTTAGGCTACTATACTCTTCCTGGACTCAGTGAAAACAAAAGAATGTTCTCTCCACACCCTCCCACTCCCATGAGTCTTCCTTCCTGCTAGGATCTAGTTGAGGACTCTTCCTCTCTGCAGCTCTGCAGCCTCCTCAGCAGCCCACACCCTGTGAACCTCATAGCACATGCCGTTCACAGCACGTACCCTGCACACTCCCGTGCAGAGCTGATTCCTCTCGTCATTGTTGTACTGCAGAGCTCCCCGGGGTGCTCTGGAAGCACCAATCCCCTGGCTCTAAATGTCAGTGTGCATCAGAATCACTGAGAGAAGGGAGGGTTGGTGGTTTAAATTTAGTGTAGCTGGGATGGTTCACAGACGATGCTTTCAGAAAGCCTCATTCCTCTAAATGGTCCTCATTCCTCAAAATGTTCAAGTTTTAACAGGGAAAAAAATCAAAAAGATTATATAGTCAAATGTTTGGTATATACTGAATGATAAGACTGCTAATACATTATTAAAATGTAGAAAATTGTTACGATGTTGAAATTTTTATTGCAGAACTTCTTCAGTGGATGTTAACTCTTCACATATGTGGAAGTGGAGTATGCAATATTTCTTTCCCAAGGTTTTTGGCTAGAAATCTACCTCACTCTTCCTTTTCATTCCACAGAGAATTTTGCAGGACTAGGGTTCCATGGAACCCCCTTTGGGAAATACTCAGCTAACACACTTTCTGTTAACTCTCTCCCCTTTCGATGGTGGGAACCGTGGCTCCACTTCCTTGTTGTATCTTCCTGCCCATTCACCCCTCGTCCTAGCCTTGGGACCCAGAGTCATTCATTAAATATTTCTTCGCACAGACTCAGTGGCTGGGCACTGTCAGCTACCCATCAAAACCTCAGTGGCCTCTTAAAGAACATTCTGCAGTTGGCAATTCCATGGTTGGCCCTGGTAACCACAGCTTCCCTCTGAGCACAGCATCCTCTCCAGCCCTGACAGCATCCAGGCCCTGCCCCCCCGGTTGCTGAAATGCCAAGGTTCTGAGAAGCCTTATCAAAAACAATCATCCTTTTCAGTGGGTTGTTCTTAGCACTTAAACACTGCTGAATCCTTCGTGACAGCCCCTTTTATTGGCAATTAGGGGGCCCCATACCAGGGTGCACCATACTGCTGGCAGAACAGATCACAGAGGGATAATGAGCACTTTAAGCCATGTGGAAAATCAAATGGAAACAGCTTGCTTGTGGGAAGGGAAACTGAAGTTGTCTCTGGGAAGGCCTCAGAGACATCCCCAGCTCAGGGGAGGTCAGACTCCTAAAAGGGCCAAGAATAAAGATGATGACAATAGGAGATATTGACCCAGCATGCAGTATGTGCCAGCACTGCCCAAGCGTGGCACTGTTACTACAACCCTAAGAAGCAGATAGTATGATCACCATCCCCATTTTACTGATGGGGAGACTGAGGCACAGAGCACCTGCCAATGTTCATGGAGCCAGTTACCAGGATGGGAGCACAGACAGTGTGGCCCAGAGGCCATGCTCTAACCACTGTACACTATGCATGCAGTTATTCTATTCAGTCAAGTAAACTGAACCCACTGCAGAGATTTCCATAAAGCAGGAACGTATCCCTCCCCTGCAAGCATCTGTATTCTCCACACCTATCTTTGTTAATGATTGGGAAGGCAGTGCTGGTGGAGGAAGTGCATCATCTGCAGTGAAGAGAGAGGGATTGTGGAATGTGAGTGGGTATGCGATGAGGCTGCGGTCTCCACACATGCATGAATGCAACAAGGTGAGAGTGAGTTGCTGTATGATAGAAAAACATACAAAGTCAGATGCAGTGAAAACAACAAATCTTCTAGCTGCTGGCTTTTCTTTATGAATACACAACTGTGCAGTGATTTTTGCTGTGCAAGTGCATATGTGGGGGCATGTGTGTAATGACAATTCCAGGCTGTGAGTGTTTAGAAACTAGGCTGAATGGGATAGGACAGCGGGAGGATGCTCTCTATTGTTGGGACAGTCATGGGGGAAGTTTCCCCTAGAGAATTCTAGGGCAGGCTGGTGTGGATTTCCCTAGCAGGCCTGCTACATCAGGTGACACTGGGGCAGAGGTGGCCAGCCCTCAGCCCCGGCCTCCTGAATGGAAACCCCCTGATACAGTGCACCCTCAGTCACTGAGCAGCTGGGCTGTGCAGGACCCAGCTCTGGGCATGAGAGAGATAAAGGTGGTGCAGTCTCCACTCCCCAAAGGACTCCCAGTCCCAGTCCACACCCTTCTCAGTGCAGGATGTCCTTCCAGATTCCATGAGGGCAAGAGGCAAGCCCGACCCTAATACGGTTCTCTCACTTCATGGACACGGGGTTCCCTGGGGAGCTAGCTGTGGGACAGGGGGTCTGGTTTGAGCTGAGAGTGGAGAAAACAGGATTCTCAGCCTGCAACCTGCTTTCTGCTTCCTGCGGCCTCATTCAGTCACTCCGGCTTTTTTTATTCTTCTTTTTTTTTTTTTTTTTTTTTTTAGTCTTGCTCTATGGCCCAGGCTGGAGTGCAGTGGTGTGATCTCAGCTTACTGCAACCTCGGCCTCCCAGGTTCAAGCGATTCTCTTGCCTCAACCTCCCGAGTTGCTGGGACTACAGGTGCAAGCCACCATACCCAGCAAATTTTTGTATTTTTATTATTATTATTATTTTTAAATTATACTTTAAGTTCTAGGGTACATGTGCACAATGCGCAGGTTTGTTATATAGGTATACATGTGCCATGTTGGTTTGCTGCACCCATTAACTCGTCATTTACGTTAGGTATTTATCCTAATGCTATCTCTCCCCCTGCCCCCCACCCCACACAGGCCCTGGGGTGTGATGTTCCCCGCCCTGTGTCCAAGTGTTCTCATTGTTCAGTTCCCACCTATGAGTGAGAACGTGTGGTGTTTGGTTTTCTGTCCTTGTGATAGTTTGCTCAGAATGATGGTTTCCAGCTGAATCCATGTCCCTGCAAAGGACATTAACTCATCCTTTTTTATGGTTGCATAGTATTCCATGGTATACATGTGCCACATTTTCTTAATCCAGTCTATCACTGGTAGACATTTGGGTTGGTTCCAAGTCTTTGCTATTGTGAATAGTGCCGCAACAAACATACGTGTGCATGTGTCTTTATAGTAGCATGATTTATAATCCTTTGGGTATATACCCAGTAATGGGATGGCTGGGTCAAATGGTATTTCTAGTTCTAGATCCTTGAGGAATCACCACACTGTCTTCCACAATGGTTGAACTAGTTTATGCTCCCACCAACAGTGTAAAAGTGTCCCTATTTCTCCACATCCTCTCCAGCATCTGTTATTTCCTGACTTTTTAATGATTGTCATTCTAACTGGTGTGAGATGGTATCTCATTGTGGTTTTGATCTGCATTTCTCTGATGGCCAGTGATGATGAGCATTTTTTCATGTGTCTTTTGGCTGCATAAATATCTTCTTTTGAGAAGCGTCTGTTCATATCCTTTGCCCATTTTTTGATGGGGTTGTTTTTTTTCTTGTAAATTTGTTTAAGTTCTTTGTAGATTCTGAATATTAGCCCTTTGTCAGATGGGTAGATTGTAAAAATTTTCTCCCATTCTGTAGGTTGCCTATTCACTCTTATGGTAGTTTCTTTTGCTGTGCAGAAGCTCTTTAGTTTAGTTAGATCCCATTTGTCTATTTTAGCTTTTGTTGCCATCACTTTTGGTGTTTTAGTCATGAAGTCCTTGCCCATGCCTATGTCCTGAATGGTATTGCCTAGGTTTTCTTCTAGGGTTTTTATGGTTTTAGGTCTAACATTTAAGTCTTTAATCCATCTTGAATTAATTTTTGTATAAGGTGTAAGGAAGGGATCCAGTTTCAGCTTTCTCCATATGGCTAGCCAGTTTTCCCAGCACCATTTATTAAATAGGGAATCCTTTCCCCATTTCCTGTTTTTGTCAGGTTTGTCAAAGATCAGATGGTTGTAGATGTGTGGTGTTATTTCTGAGGCCTCTGTTATGTTCCATTGGTCTAGCTCTCTGTTTTGGTACCAGTGCAATGCTGTTTTGGTTACTGTAGCCTTGCAGCATAGTTTGAAGTCAGGTCGCGTGATGCCTCCAGCTTTGTTCTTTTTGCTTAGGATTGTCTTGGCAATGCGGGCTCTTTTTTGGTTCCATATGAACTTTAAAGTAGTTTTTTCCAATTCTGTGAAGAAAGTCATTGGTAGCTTGATGGGGATGGCATTGAATCTATAAATTACCTTGGGCAGTATGGCTATTTTCATGATATTGATTCTTCCTATCCATGAGCATAGAATGTTCTTCCATTTGTTTGTGTCCTCTTTTATTTCATTGAGTAGTGGTTTGTAGTTCTCCTTGAAGAGGTCCTTCACATTCCTTATAAGTTGGATTCCTAGGTATTTTATTCTCTTTGTAGCAATTGTGAATGGGAGTTCACTCACGATTTGGCTCTCTGTTTGTTATTGGTGTATAGGAATGCTTGTGATTTTTGCACATTGATTTTGTATCCTGAGACTTTGCTGAAGTTCCTTATCAGCTTAAGGAGATTTTGGGCTGAGACGATGGGGTTTTCTAAATATACAATCATGTCATCTGCAAACAGGGATAATTTGATTTCCTCTTTTCCTCATTGAATACCCTTTATTTCTTTCTCTTGCCTGAGTGCCCTGGCCAGAACTTCCAATACTACGTTGAATAGGAGTGGTGAGAGAGGGCATCCCTGTCTTGTGCCAGTTTTCAAAGGGAATGCTTCCAGTTTTTGCCCATTCAGTATGATATTGGCTGTGGGTTTGTCATAGATAGCTCTAATTATTTTGAGATACATCCCATCAGTACCTAGTTTATTGAGAATTTTTAGCATGAAGGGCTGTTGAATTTTGTCAAAGGCCTTTTCTGCATCTATTGAGATAATCATGTGGTTTTTGTCGTTGGTTTTGTTTATGTGATGGATTACATTTATTGATTTGCATATGTTGAACCAGCCTTGCATCCCAGGGATGAAGCCCACTTGATCATGGTGGATAAGCTTTTTGATATGCTGCTGGATTCAGTTTGCCAGTATTTTATTGAGGATTTTCACATCGATGTTCATCAGG
Source organism: Homo sapiens (assembly GCF_000001405.40). NCBI lineage: Eukaryota > Metazoa > Chordata > Mammalia > Primates > Hominidae > Homo > Homo sapiens. Next base: position 137,736 of record NW_013171814.1, on the reverse strand, counting down.
GATATTGGTCTAAAATTCTTTTTTTGTCGTGTCTCTGCCGGGCTTTGGTATCAGGATAATGCTGGCCTTATAAAATGAGTTAGAGAGGATTCCCTGTTTTTCGATTGGAATAGTTTCAGAAGGAATGGTACCAGCTCCTCTTTGTACCTCTGGTAGAATTCAGCTGTGAATCTGTCTGGCCCTGGACTTTTTTTGGTTGGTAGGCTATTCATTATTGCCTCAATTTGAGAGCCTGTTATTGGTCTATTCAGAGATTCAGCTTCTTCCTGGTTTAGTCTTGGGAGGGTGTATGTGTCCAGGAATTTATCCATTTCTTCTAGATTTTCTAGTTTATTTGTGTAGAGGTGTTTATGGTATTCTCTGATGGTAGTTTGTATTTCTGTGGGATCAGTGGTGATATCCCCTTTATCATTTTTTATTGCATCTATTTGATTCTTCTCTCTTTTCTTCTTTATTAGTCTTGCTAGCAGTCTATCAATTTTGTTGATCTTTTCAAAAAACCAGCTCCTGGATTCATTGATTTTTTGAAGGGTTTTTTGCGTCTCTATCTCCTTCAGTTCTGCTCTGATCTTAGTTATTTCTTGCCTTCTGCTAGCTTTTGAATGTGTTTGCTCTTGCTTCTCTAGTTCTTTTAATTGTGATGTTAGGGTGTCGATTTTAGATCTTTGTCAATTTTAGATCTTTCCTGCTTTCTCTTGTGGGCATTTAGTGCTATAAATTTCCCTCTACACACTGCTTTAAATGTGTCCGAGGGATTCTGGTACGTTGTGTCTTTGTTCTCACTGGTTTCAAAGAACATCTTTATTTCTGCCTTCATTTTGTTATTTACCCAGTAGTCATTCAGGAGCAGGTTGTTCAGTTTCTGTGTAGTTGTGTGGTTTTGAGTGAGTTTCTTAATCCTGAGTGCTAATTTGATTGCACTGTGGTCTGAGAGACAGTTTGTTGTGATTTCTGTTCTTTCACATTTGCTGAGGAGTGCTTTACTTCCAACTAAGTGGTCAATTTTGGAATAAGTGCGATGTGGTGCTGAGAAGAATGTATATTCTGTTGACTTGGGGTGGCGAGTTCTGTAGATGTCTATTAGGTCTGCTTGGTGCAGAGCTAAGCTCAAGTCCTGGATATCCTTGTTAACCTTCTGTCTCGTTGATCTGTCTAATATTGACAGTGCGGTGTTAAAGTCTCCCGTTATTATTGTGTGGGAGTCTAAGTGGGAGTCTACTGTGTGCTCCTGTATTAGGGCCATACATGTTTAGGTTAGCTAGCTCTTCTTGAATTGATCTCTTTACCGTTATGTAATGGCCTTCTTTGTCTCTTTTGATCTTTGTTGGTTTAAAGTCTGTTTTATCAGAGACTAGGATTGCAACCCCTGCCTTTTTTTGTTTTCCATTTGCTGGATAGATCTTCCTCCATCCCTTTATTTTGAGCATATGTGTGTCTCTGCACGTGAGATGGGTCTCCTGAATACAGCACACTGATGGGTTTTGACTCTTTATCCAATTTGCCAGTCTGTGTCTTTTAATTGGGGCATTTAGCTCATTTACATTCAAGGTTAATATTGTTATGTGTGAATTTGATCCTGTCATTATGATGTTAGCTGGTTATTTTGCCCGTTAATTGATGCAGTTTCTTCCTAGCCTCGATGGTCTTTAGAATTTGGCATGTTTTTGCAGTGGCTGGTACTGGGTGTTCCTTTCCACGTTTAGTGCTTCCTTCAGGAGCTCCTGTAAGGCAGGCCTGGTGGTGACAAAATCTCTCAGCATTTGCTTGTCTGTGAAGGGTTTTATTTCTCCTTCTCTTGTGAAGCTTAGTTTGGCTGGATGTGAAATTCTCGGTTGAAAATTCTCTTTTTTTTTGAAAATTCTTTTCTTTAAGAATGTTGAATATTGGCCTCCACTCTCTTCTGGCTTGTAGAGTTTCTGCCAAGAGATCTGCTGTTAGTCTGATGGGCTTTCTTTCGTGGGTAACCCGACCTTTCTCTATGGCTGCCCTTAACATTTTTTCCTTCGTTTCAACCTTGGTGAATCTGACAATTTTGTGTCTTAGGGTTGCTCTTCTCAAGGAGTATCTTTATGGTGTTCTCTGTATTTCCTGAATTTGAATGTTGGCCTGCCTTGCTAGGTTGGGGAAGTTCTCCTGGATAATATCCTGAAGAGTGTTTTCCAACTTGGTTCTCCCTTTTGCTTTCAGGTACACCAATCAAACATAGATTTGGTCTTTTCACATAGTCCTATATTTCTTGGAGGCTTTGTTTGTTTCTTTTTATTCTTTTTTCTCTAAACTTCTTTTCTCACTTTATTTCATTGATTTGATCTTCAATCACTGATATCCTTTGTTACACTTGATCAAATTGACTATTAAAGCTTGTGCATGCGTCACGAGTTCTCATGCCATGGTTTTCAGCTCCATCAGGTCATTTAAGGTCTTCTCCACACTCTTTATTCTAGTTAGCCATTTGTCTAATCTTTTTTCAAGGGTTTTAGCTTCCTTATGATGGGTTCAAACATCCTCCTTTAGCTAGGAGAAGTTTGTTATTACCGACCTTCTGAAGCCTACTTCTGTCAGCTCATCAAAGTCATTCTCCATCCAGCTTTGTTCCATTGCTGGCGAGGAGCTGCAATCCTTTGGAGGAGAAGAGGCGCTCTTGTTTTTAGAATTTTCAGCTTTTCTGCTCTGGTTTCTCCCTATCTTTGTGGTTTTATCTAACTTTGGTCTTTGACGTTGGTGACCTACAGATGGGGCTTTGGTGTGGATGTCCTTTTTGTTGATGTTGATGCTATTCCTTTCTGTGTGTTAGTTTTCCTTCTAACAGTCAGGTCCCTCAGGTGCAGGTCTGTTGGAGTTTGCTGGACGTCCACTCCAGACCCTGTTTGCCTGGGTATCACTAGTGGACACTGCAGAACAGCAAATATTGCAGAACAGCAAATACTGCTGCCTGATCATTCCTCTGGAAGCTTTGTCCCAGAGGTGCACCTGCCTGTATGAGGTGTCAGTCGGCCCCTACTGGGAGGTGTTTCCCAGTTAGGCTATACAAGGGTCAGGGACCCACTTGAGGAGGCAGTCTGTCCATTCTCCGAGCTCAAACACCATGCTGGGAGAACCACTGCTCTCTTCAGAGCTGTCAGACAGGGATGTTTAAGTCTGCAGAAGTTTCTGCTGCCTTTTGTTCAGCTATGCGCTGCCCCCAGAGGTGGAGTCTACAGAGGCAACAGGCCTTGCTGAGCTATGGTTGGCTCTGCCCAGTTCGAGCTTCCCCAGCTGCTCTGTTTACCTACTCAAGCGTCAGCAATGGCAGACGCCCCTCCCCCTCCAGGCTGCTGCCTCACAGGTCAATGTTAGACTGCTGCGCTAGCAGTGAGTAAGGCTCTATGGGCATGGGACCCGCTGAGCCAGCTGCAGGATATAATCTGGTGTGCCATTTGCTAAGACTATTGGAAAAGTGCAGTATTTGGGTGGGAGTGTCCCATTTTTCCAGGTACCATCTGTCATGGCTTCCCTTAGCTAGGAAAGGGAAATCCCCTGACCCCTTGTGCTTCTCGGGTGACGCAATGCCCCACCCAGCTTCAGCTTGCCTTCTGTGGGCTGCGTCCACTGTCCAACCAGTCCCAGTGAGATGAACCAGGTGCCTCAGTTGGAAATGCAGAAGTCACCTGTCTTCTGCATCAATCATGCTGGGAGCTGCAGACCAGAGCTGTTCCTATTTGGCCATCTTGGAATGGGTCCATGAGCAATTTTTGTATTTTTAGTAGAGACAGGGTTTCACCATGTTGGCCAGGCTGGTCTTGAACTCCTGACCTCAGGTGATCCACCCGCCTCAGCCTCCCAAAGTGCTGGGATCACAGGCGTGAGCCACCACGCCCAGCCTCACTCTGGCTTTTTGGACCTGTGTTTCCTCACTGGTCCCACGACTACATGGACTACATTGGTGACTCTATATTGGAATATATGAGAGACACTATGAGGGCTTTTACATTACATGAAATGTTCTGGACCAGAGGACCCCAGACTCATCTCCTGGGCCAAAACAGAGGCTTCCTATGGGCCAGATCTGAAACTCCTCTCAGGCCCAAACTAAAGCAGACTTTGAGAATGGTTGAATCTTCTCAGAGAGCAACTGAGGGGGAAAGCACAGGGGGAGGTGTCAGGGGGCAGAACCCAAAGAGAAACAGGCCTATCATGGCAACACCATGTGTGTGTTTGTGTGTGTGTGTGCGTGTGTGTGTGTGTGTGTGTTCAGAACGAAGGACGGCACCCCAGACACAGCTGGGAAAGGGGGAAATAGACCCCCAAGGGGCCTTTGAAGCAGGAGAACAGCAGGGCAGAGCCCAGCAGAGACAGCTTTCTGGGTGGCACTAAAGCTGAGTCTGGGAGAGGGAAAGGCCATTCCTTTCATGCTGGGACATCTGTGTCTGTCTGTCCATCCTGTCTTTTCCCCCATGCTCCCTTTTTCTTTGAATTAAGACCCAAAGGCCAGAGAGAGATAGGAGACAATGATAATGCCTGTGGCCAAGTATATTTCTCCTAGGCCAACCCTCTGCCCACTCTCAGCTAATTAAGGTTGTGATTTAGGTTTTAAATGGACCATGCTATTTGAGCCTGTCCTGGACAGGGCCACACCAGAGGCCATTTCTGTCTGGCTGCCTGTCCAAAACCTGCTGAAATAATGGGATCCTCCTCAACTGTCCCCAGCTCCTGCCAGGGAAAGGCTTCCAGGAGATGGGGAAAATCAACACCCCCCATTCCAACACCATCCCATCCTCCAAGGTTGCCTCACAGGGAGGCCTTCTTTGAACTCCCCAGGCCCCAAAGTTCTGTCCTTTTCTGCCAGTACCAGACTCAGAACTACAGAAGGTCATGACAGGAGAGGCTGAGAGCTCATCTGGTCTGGGGGGTGACCTAGGAGTCCTGCAGAGATGTTCTAAGAGCCATGAGGTGGGCGGGTGGGGGAGAAAGCAGGCAGGGCTCCTCCCCTTGCCCCCTAAAAACAGTTCTATCCCTTTCCTGTTTCTATGTGGAATCTCCATGTAAGGTTCTGAGGAAATAGAAATACTTTTTACAAATTACTTTTTGTATTTTGTAAATTACACTTTTTATACTTTTTACAAATTACACTTTTTATTTTTAGGTGGTTGTAGATTCATACATACTTGTAAAAAATAATACAAAGAGACCTCTTGTGCCCTATACGCAGTTTCCCTCCATGGGGAAAGTATAGTTCAATGCCACAATGTAACTTGTCTCTTCATCCTCTTAATACGATCCTTCCCAGAGCAAAAGTTTAATTATGATGAAGTCCAACTCAGCATCTCCGGGTATCAACATTGATACAGTGGAGACACAGAACACTCCCACCATCACAAGGCTGCCCCTTATAGCCACATCCACTTTCCTCCTGCCCCTACCCCTTCCCTCATCCTGGCAACCACAAACCTCTTCCCCGTTTCTATTACTTTGCCCTCTCAAGAATGTTATATAAATGGAATTGCAGAGTATGCGACTTTGGAGGACTGGCTTTTTGAAAATCACTCAGCATGATTTCCAGAGACTCCTCCAGGCTGCTGCATCATCAGGCATTCATTCCTTCTCATTGCTGAGTGTTTAACCATTCATCTGCTGAAGATCACCTGAGCTGCTTCCAGGTTTCTGTGTATTGTGAACAAAGCTGCTACAAACAGTTGAGTACAAGTTTTTGTGTGAACATAAGTTTTCATTGCTCTGGGATAAACACCCAGGAGTGCAATTGCTCAATCAAATCATATGGTACTTGCAGGTTTCGTTTTTTTTTTTTTTTTTTTTTTTGAAACTGCCAAACTGTTTTCCAGAATGGCTATACCATTCTACATCCCTACTCCTACTGCAGGAGTGATCCAGTTTCTCTGCATTCTCACCAGCATTGGACGCTGTCATTTAGTTTTTCTTTCCTTTTTGTTTTTATTTTATTTTCTTTTTTTTTTTTGAGACAGGGTCTCGCTGTTACCCAGGCTGAAGTACAGTGGTTTGATCACAGCTCACCGCAACCTCCACCTCCCAGGCTCAAGTGATCCTCCTACCTCAGCCTTCCGAGCAGCTGGAACCACAGGTATGTGCCACTATGCCCAGCTAATGCTTGTATTTTTTGTTGAGACGGTGTTTCACCATGTTGCCCAGGCTGGTCTCGAACTCCTGGCCTTAGGCAATCCACCCGCCTCGGCCTCCCAGAGTGTTAAGATTACAGGCATGAGCCACCGCTCTTGGCCGTCACTTTTTTTTTTTTAATGCTGCCAAGTTGAAGTGGACATTGTCACTTTAAAAAAAATTATTTTAACCATTCTGATTGGAGTATAGTGATGTCTTGTTGGGGTTTTATTTGCGTCTCCGTCATGGCTAATGATGTTGCATATTTTTTGTGTGCTTATCTGCCATCTGTACATCACCTTCAGGGAAAAACGTCTTCAGTGAAAAATGTCACTTTATTTTGTCCATTTTCTAATTGGATTGTTTTTTAATGATGAGTTTTGAGAGTTCTTTATATATTCTAAATACGAGCCCTTTGTCAGATATGTTTTGCAAATATTTTCTCCCTCTCTGTAACTTGTCTCTTCATCCTCTTAATAGGGTCCTTCCCAGAGCAAAAATTTAATGATGATAAAGTCCAATTTAGCATCTCAGTGTTAACATCCATTGATTATTTCAGTTTGTTTGTGATATGACAAACAATTTTTAATTGAAACCAGGACATTTTCATGTTAGCTCATGAGAGAGTCATATTTAAACCTCCTGCTTTAACTCGTGTTTCATGGTACCACTCTGGCAGGGGAAAAGGGCAGGGGACAGCCTCATTATTGCCAGGTGGAAGTGGAAGTCCAGGTTGCCCACTCAACCTCCTCCGACGCCGCAGGGGTGCTTGCTGTCACCGCTGGGTGGAGGTGGGAGTTCCGGATCCCCATGTGGTCCCCCTCTGACATGCAGTGGGGCTGGCCTCATCATCCCTGGGAGTCTATGAAGTCTGACTCACTATTTCTGACACCACCCCAGCAGGAAGGAGAGGGACACCTCGATACTGCCCAGTGGGGGTGCAAGTCAGGTTCCTGCTGTCTCCAGTGACACCATGGGGCGTGGGTAGGAGCCTTCTCACCAGTTGGCGGGGACGAAAGTCACAGCTCCCCACTGGCCTTCTCTGACACTACTCTGGTAGGGGGTTGGAGCCCCTCTGATAGCCCAGCAGGGGTGGGATCTGAGCTCCCACTTGGTCTTGGCTGGGATGGATGGGGGTGGGGATGTGTTCTGTGGTGTTTGGCTGGGGTACAGCAGTGACTGTCGAAAAGTTTTTTGTTTTGCTAGATCTTTTCCTATCATTTTCCTTCTTCTCTATCCTATCTTTTTCTCTTTTCTTAGTCCGTTTCCTGTAGAGAGCAGCTTTTTATTGGGATTTTTTTTTTTTTTTTTTTTTTTTTTTGCCTGTGTCCATTAGCATTTCCTAGTGCCAAGTATGGGACACATGAGGCAAAAAGAAAACAAGCTCCTCGCTGTGTCGTTCCTCAGGTTCTGGGCACCCTAGCAGGTCTGCCTTCTTCCCTCCACCTCTCCGAGTCTTCTTACGTTCATTTTATACAGAATGTCTTGGGTTTTTAGTTGTATTTAGCAGGAGAAATATAGATAAGAACATCTATTGCATTTTCCAGAAGCAGAAGTTTAGGTCTATATTTTCAACAAGACATTTTGATGGCCTTACATCTAGTTCACCTCCTCATTTTATAGAGCAGAAACTGAGGCTGCAGTGAGATAATGTATCTTATCCACGATCCAATAGTAAGTTTGGATCCAATAGTAAGTTGGAAGCACAGCCCAGGCTGAAAGCACATCTCCTAAACCCAGGTGCAATGCTGCTTCCGCGACATCATGGCGGCTCCCACTTTGCCTGTATGTCTCACCTCTCCTGCTACAATGCAAGGCCCTGTGCGGACACCAGCCTACTCCTCCCCATACTCACATGCTGCCATCTCCTCCAGAATAGCTTATTTCCCTAAGCAGATTCCAGCTTCCCTGAGTGCAGAGACCAGGCCATGTGGCTCAGAATGTATACAGCAAGCACCCAATGCATGGCTGCTGATGGTTCTCCCTATAGGAGCTAGTTGTCAGCATTGTTTAGTAAGTGTGGCATCCTGTTCCTCCAAGTGAGCTGGAGCCAGAAGGCACTTTGAGGATGAGGACAGATGGCATTTTCTGAAAGACAGACATACACGCTGGTGAGCACAGAGGTTGTGCCATGTTTGTTTCTGGGAGGAATGTTAAGGGGAATCACAGCGCACACTTCTAGTGCTCCTGGGCATGTGACCCAGGCCCGAAGGACCACTGTGTCATGTCCCAGACATCTTCTCACTGCAGCTTCAGCATCTGTTCTCTCCACTCTACCCTCCATGCAAACAGCCACCATGGCTATGTTCCTCACCATCCCAGTGCCCAGTGCCCAACCTGGAGTACCGCAGCCCTCAGTGATGACTGGCTGATTGGAGCCGATCAATAGGTGAAAGAACAAATAAATAAACAAAGGAATGACCCAACCACAGCAAAGGCAATTCCTCATGCAGGAAAGGGGATATTTAGCTTAAAAAGACTTGCCGTGCTCGGCTGCTGAGGAAAGTAAGTAGGCAAAAGACACAAGCAAAAGAGTTAAATAAAAACCGTCAGCTGGAGCAATGAGAAGGGGGCTTGCGGCTGAATCAAAGAAAGAACTTTTTTATTAATGGAGCTGCCTAACAATATGCTGAGATGCCTTCTGAAGCAGTGAGCTCCCTGCTGCTGGAAATGCTCCCTGCTACTGGAAATCAACCTTTGCTAACATGGTGGGGACTTGGATCAGGTGACCTCTGAGCTTCCTGCCATCTGAGAGCCCATGATGTTTCAGAATTCACTGGAGGCCTTAAACTCCAGTGCATGGGAGTTTGTTGGGGCTCAGAAAACAATATCCCAAAATGAAGGCCTCAGCAGCAGCCTCAGAAGCAAAAGTCTTTCTCTGACTTTCTGCCCTCCTGCCTGTCAGTCTCACTCTCCCCTGAAGCTAGCCATAGAAGTTAGACTCCCTCTTCCCCACCACGAGAAACCACAGCCTCTTTCTCCCAAAGCCAGCCATGAAACCTAAAGATAGAGCTCTAATTCTCCCTCTGCCTTTCTTTTTAAAAACTGGCCATAAATAAATTATCTGATCTGCTTTGTTTGATTATAGGTCATGACACCCCCATTCCAGAGAGGGTCCTGCCCCAACTCAGAAGGAAGGAATGCTGCACAGACAGGCCAGGGAGAGTCTAGACAGACAGGCCTTGCTGTGTTTCCCCATTTTGTCTATTAGCATTAGATCATGCCCTTTTGGTCCAATCCCATTTCTACAACTGTCCATACTTTGTTGAACTTAACCATAAAAATAGATAATTTTCCTTGTATCTTTGGGTCTTCATTCTGCAGCCTCCCATGTATACATGTTAAATAAATGTGTATGCCTTTTCTCTTATTAATCTGCCTTTTACAAGTTGATTTTTCAGCAAATCTTCAGAGAGCTAAGCGTTACCCTAGGCCCCCACAAGTTTAATCCTTGAGTTCCATCAAGGATTTGAGGTGGTGAAGAAGAAGAGGGAAAGAAAAGTTCAGCCCCAGCCTCCGGGAAGCTGCTACTAGAGATAGGGCATGTGACAGTCATTCCAGCCAGTCACCAAATAATTCTGGTTCCCCTCATTCCAGGCACAGAGTAGCATTGTACTTCTTAATGTGCTTATGGTTGGATGAGGCCACATGACCCGTTCTGGGTAACAAGCTCAGAGCGGAAGTGACAAGTGTTGTATCTAGGCTGGAGCACTGAACTGCCAATGTATGATCCTCCAGAGCTCCTTTTTCTCTGTCATGGCAACTGGTTAAAACGGAACTGCCCCACCAAGCTGTGCCCTGGTTGTTTAATGTTACTAAGATTTGGATTGTTTGGTTGTTGGTTGTTTAATGTTAATGTTACTGAGATTTGGGGTTGTTTGTTACTGCAGCATTATCTAGGCTATCCTGACTGATACAGGGGAACAGACTTTGCCTGTATGGAACACCAGAGAAAGATACAAGAAAAAAGTTCAAGGCACACAACAGGGGCTGGGTTGGACAGAGGTTCCAACATCTGAGCCCACACACAGACCCCTCTGCATTCACCATTCTCAGCCCCCCACTTGAGTAACACCCAATATGATCCTCCTCTAGCTGTGCTGCCTCCTAACTATTACTCTAACATCCCAACACTGTGCCCTACTCAACCTTTGCTAACATCATGTCTTCTCTCTTCATCTTCTTCTCTCTTCCCTTCCATCTAGTCAAACATCCTACCCATTCCCAAAGGCATAGGTCAGGCCTCATGTCCTGCAAGACACCTCCCTACCCACAGAGACCAACTGAACCACTCTTTGGAATCACCACAGTTCTTGTGGCCAGGATGACATCTCTTTGGGGATCTTACGTGTATGTTGTCATCTTGTTCTGTGTAAACTAGTTTTTACCCTACAAACTGGCAGTGATCCAGAAGCTCCCACTCAGACGCATCTGCTGGGCTCACAGCAGGGACTCAATAAATACGAACTAAACAGAGAGCAGCACTATGAACATATACCTGGTATTTCTTACGTATCCAAGGAAGTGCTAAAAAATGTAGGCACTTTTACTAAGATATCATTTGCACTAATTATTTTTTAAATTAGCACAGAACCAAATCCTATAATTACTGAAGGGTAGCAAGTTGACTTGCAGAAAACTCCTTCCATCTTTTTCTGGGGCCAGAGGTAATTAGTGTATTTGAGGGTCTCCTCCACCTACCATCTGTTATCCCCTGGGTCGGAGTCAATGTTGGTGCCCATACAGCTGGCCTGAAGGTTGGCAAAGGTATCAGGGGATGGGGAACAGTAGAGAAATTAGGAAGACCCAGACCTGCTGTGGCAGTGATTTGGATCCAGTTGGGTGTTTCACGGAGTTACAGAATGCAAACAGAGATTTCTGGAGAGACTCTAAGGAGTCTGTGTAGTTGTTTTTCTGAATAGGTGCTTGGAGCCAGTGTCACTCCTGGGTCAACATCTGGTTCTCCTGGAGCTTGGGACAAGGCTCTTTGACTCTCTTTATGCTTCTGTTTGCTACAGGGCGTCAGGATGAAACAAGAGAGTGCCCTTCACTTATTCCAGGGAATGTTGGGATCATAGGCCCTCAGTCAAAACTCAAAGTCATCATTTGTGACACACCCCCATCTTTCCCAGGGCTTCAGGTGAACCTGCCTGATAGGCAGTCGTGCTCATCAGGTTCCTAGCAAAGATTTCATCACCTTGCTTAACAGCCAACACGGTGGGCCAACAAGTCCTTCCGTCAAGGGAAGTCCTTCCCAAGTCTAATCAGAGGCTGTGCTGTTGTGGTGCATATTAATTTCCTGTTCTTGGCACACCTGTGCAGATGGAAAACAGCTGCTCACTCCTGACCCCATACAACCTTTCCCATGCATTTGGTTTCTTTCCTGAATTCTAAATCCCATGCCAACACCTTGAAAAGCTTTCTGAATGTACTGCTGCTGCAGTCTCTCATTTCAACAATCCCTATACATTTCCCCCATTACAATAAAAAGCTGGAAACGTCTGACGTCCTAACTAAATGACTAGGTGATGGGTGAGTCTTTTGGGAAGAGGATGCCAGGATGTCAGGCAATCCCAAATACAGCTGAATCCCAGTTGCCGGCAGCTGGTCAGCCTCTTCTGAACTATCTGTAGCCCTTTTTATGCTCTACACTCTCTGGGCTCTCTTCCTCCTCTCTCGTGGGACCCAATCTCTTCTAGGTTGCCCCCACTTTCTGCCTCTGAAAGGGTTCAGAAAAAGCAAGGTTTTCTTTTTGACATTAGCTAAAATAACAAACAGGATGAGGCTGGAAGCCTGCTGGGGATGAATCAATCATCCCAGTGTATGACTAATCTGCAAATGGGGCCACATCTGGGCCCTGGGCCCTGGTGCAGGGCATGGTCTGTGACCCACCACCCAGAGGTTGCTTGGCAGAATGCAGGACCTCTGCATCTTCCTGCCAACTCTACTTTCCTGGACATGTGCAGCCAACGTGGGCAGTCAAGAGGAGCACCAGAGCAGCCAGCCACCGCATCTCCATGTAGCCTCAGTTTCTCCCTGAAACTAATTGTCCCCACGGGTGAAAATGGGTTAGCAGTGTTCTCCCATCATCCTGATGGCCCCAGAAAGCTCATCAAAGTTGGTGTGGCAGGAGGAAAAGGGCCCACTAGGGAATGACTGCACAGACTGAGCCTGGGCCAACTCAGTGCAGTCTCAGGCATCACTATTGAGTGCCTACTGAGTACAAGGCCCTAGGCCAGAAGTGGTTGAGGAAGTAGAGCCCGCCCTGACTCCCGTCTTAGGGTTGACCAGCTGGCTGAGGCACAGGCAGGTGTGCGCGGAACAGCTTGGCAACAGCATGAGTCAGTGTGAGGGTGTCTGCCTGGGCGCGTGAGTGCAGCAAGGAGCCAGCCGGGGTGCTCATGGGTGGTGTCCCCGAGAGCTGGTCCTGTGCTCTTGCCTCTGGTGGGCCAGGCTGAAGGGAGCCTTGAAGGATGAAGGGAACAGCAGCATCCCATCAGAGTGGCACTCAGCAAAGGCACCCTTCAGTGGGCAGCTGCCTGGGTCCTCCTCCATCAGAGAGCCCCTGCATGACAGGGGTGACAAGGACACTGCCACAGGCCAGCTACATGGGGCTTTCCTTGGGGTGCCGTCACTCAAAGGAAGCCGCCCAGCTTTGATCCCTCCAGTAGGGGGCAACAGGAGATGGCTGCTTCGTGGGCAGAAATCAGAGTTTCCTGGGAAGGAAACCCAGGTGGGTGTCCCCACGGGCAGATGCATGGACGTGGGTATGAGCCACCATGGGCCACGTGGCCAAGGGCAACACTCTAGAGAGGGTAGAGCAGTGAGAAGCAAGGAGCCGGCCCCCACACTGTTGGGCTACCACACCAGCCCCAAACGCCCATCCAGGCTGGTGGCAAGAGAAAAATAAAGATTCCTCTTGTTTATGCCACCCTGTTGTTTGTACCTAATAAATTCAGTCTCTGATGTCTAAAAATAAAGCCTGTCATCACTGAACCAAGGTGCTGCCAACCACAGGAGACCTCGTGTAAATTCAGGCCCACAGATGCTCCTGCCTCCCCCTGCAGCACCCAGGTCTGAACCTTGGCCATCCATCCAGGAGGTGCAACTCCCCCTCACCTCCTCTGTGCACCTGCCCAGGTTTCTGAACTCCAGGCTGCCCCCTGGGCCCCATCTCATGCCGTGCAGGGTGCATTTTTTTACACCTGTGTCTTGTCCTTCCCACTTAGCAGTGACGCCCTTGAAGGCAGGTCCCTGGCTTCAAGCCCACCGGGAGCTCAGCACCAGGTCCCTGCAAACACTCCTGGTTGACAAACCTCTAAGAAATCGCTCCTGAAAGACCCTCTCCAACCTTCAGAGGTTTCCGTGGCTGTAAGCAATTTCATACAGCACAGGTGGTGCATCCCACGCCAGACTCAGGCAAACCCAGCATTCTGACTGAGCCTTCCCTTCCGTCCCAGCCGGCTCTCCAGGCATGGGCGTCACAGACTCTGCACCCAAGACCAACACGGCACCAGGCACACATGTCTGTGGCAGGGGGTGTCCCTCAGTGGCCCAGCCCCTCTTCCACTTCTCGGAAGTAGACATCTCTCCCTCTTCCCTCTGAGATGATCAGTCGGCCACCGCAGGTCAGGGGTGATGGGAATGCCAGTGCCCCTAAGGCCTGTAGGAGGTCCCTCCCACAAAACCTTGCCTCTGGGCATGTCAGGTGATTAGGTGGGGTTCTATGCAGAGACCCTGTCCTCCACCCTCCTTGGGCTCCTCCCCTGTAATGAAGCTACGTCTCAGTTCCACCTGTCAAGAAAGGATTTAATATGAGCTTTTCACAACTTCACTTTTAAGTTGAGTTATATTTCGTTTTGTCAAACACTGCGTACCCCGAGTCAACTGCTCAGCTGCTTCTTGAAGGTGAGATTGGGGTGAGCTGCTCCTTGCGGTGTTAGGGTGCCTGGAGCAGGGACAAGCCCATACCTAACCCCACTCCACAAGCCCCCAGCCCTGCTCCATGGACCCATATTATCTGGCGAACCCCTACATGACCTCCTGCAGGTGGGGAAGGCAGACCCGAGAGGACAGCTGGGTGTGGGAGGTGAGGCAGATGAGGGGAGAAAGGGGGTAGAACACTTCCTGAACCCCTGGAGACCCTATCAGGAGTGATGTGGAGAAGGGGACCAGAGGGGAAAGACAGCAGACAAGCCCCCAGAAAGATGGTAAAGAGGAGAGGAAAAAGGACTCTTCATTGGAACATTCCAGAACCAGACACCTGCTGACCAAACAGCAGAGAGCTCTCAGTGACAAACCTCTTATTTCCCATCCAAGAGCTTCAAGCACTTCCTGAAAGCCTCTCTCTGGTGCTTGAGTCCCCAAATCCAAGTTCACCATTGCTGCTGAAGAGTGAGGGGAATCTCCTTTTAGGAGACCCCAGAATAACTGGCAGGAGCTAGAGACAGTGCCCCTGAGGAGCAGGGCCTAGACCAAAAGCTAGGGGGTCAGGGAGCATAACATGGGGTCCCAGGCAGGGAGGCAGCAGAGACAGAGGCACCCCCTAGAAGGCCACCTCCTGCAGTTGGGCAAGGTAGCAGTGCCGTATGGGGAGGAGGGCAGACAAGTGGCACCTCCGTGGGACTCAGTTTCCTCATCTGCAAATGGCACGGAGATGTTAGAAGGACCCTCAGAGGCCGTCGAGGCTCCTTCTGGGTTTTATGTGAGGAAGCTGAGACCCAAGAAGGAAGAGTTTGCCACCAAGTTTGCGGCAGAACAAAAACGAGACTCCAGGTCTCCCATCACCCCCCACCCCCTGGGCTCTTATTATGGCCTCCTTCTTAAGAAACAAGACGTACAAGCACATTTTGTCACGTGAAAGAACCATCCTGGGCAGCCGTCCCTCCACACCATGGGGCAGCCACGCCCTACAGCCTAAGAAAGATCTAGAACCAAGGCCACTGACCAGCTTCTCTCGGGACAGAATAGAGGAGTTGGGTGAATCTGCCAGGAGACCAAAGCTGAACATGATTAAGTGGACTGAAGCTGAACATGAGCAAGCAGGCCCAGGGCAACCCATGACTGCAGCGGCTCTGAAACCAGGCATGGCCCCTCGCAGGAGCCTGCAGGGGCTCCCTCCGCTTTCCAGACAGGCATAGTCTGAGGCTGGACTCGGGATGGGGACACATGTTTTTTTCAGCCTCTAATCCCACAGGCTCCTGCAGGCAGGGATGAGGTATCAGTGAGAACAGCTGGACCACCATAGGGTTTGGTGGAGGGCCAGGGGGTCACCAGGGCAGCTCTCAAAGAGCAGCAGCTGCCTCCCTTCCCTCCCAGCCATGCAACCCACCCACAAGCCTCTCAGGACCTCACCGCAAGCAGCAGGGAGAAAGGTGGCAGGCTCTGGCGGGGTCCCAGGACTGTTGGTTGGCTGAGGGGATGGACAGGTCTCTGACAGCTCCCCCACAGGCTGCCCCTCCCAGGCCTTCTGCAGATCTGGAGCAGAAGTGATATCCAAAGCACCCACCAGCATCAAAATGCCGAGTCCCATTGTTTGTGGGGCTGCAATGTCGGTACCTGAACCCTCAGTGCAGTCATTTGAGAGCCGTGTAATATTCCACTGTAAGGATGGATCCCAAGGCACCTCTCCATTCCCCTCAGTGAACATCTGGGCTGCTTCCAGATATGTGTTAATATATAGAACGCAGCTACTAAAAAGAAATCTCATCAATCGATGAGTTTGGGGGAGTGGGAGCTTCCCTGTGGGCAGGGAGTTAGGGAGGGCTTTCCAGGGAACAGATGCCCCCTCCCCTCTCCCACCTCTCTGCACTCTCCATGTCACCACTCCTCAGGAGCCACTGTGGGCCGGCCCAGGAACCCAGGCAGACAAGACATAGGACACCCCCAGACAGAGCGCAGAGCTGGTTCCCTACCTGCTGTGGGGGGGCTCGCCCTCGGGAGAAGGAACAGCTGCTGTCCAGCGGTTCGCTGCAGTCCGCTGTCCACTGCAGAACAGAAAGGAGCGATCAGTGACGGCAGGACAGCCAGGCCCATGCTCACTCTGCCAGGCTGCAGGAGTTGTGCCCTGGCCTTCCCCATTAGCATGACTGTGGAATCCTATTTGGCCATTTCAATGCAAATCTTTCTCAACCATCAGACCCAATTTGGCATCATCAAGCTCCACATCAAGATGAAGCTTTGGTGTCCGCTTGGGGGAGGCAAACTCACTTCCCTTCACCTGAGCCCAGCACAGTGACAAAGACTGGCTATATCCCAAAGTCAGCCAGATATGACAAAACTTATTCTGAGTTTGGTACAACCAGCACCATGTTTGACCGCCTGACCTGGCTTCAGCCACACTAACCCTCTATTACATCACGGGTGTGGCCAGAGATGGCAGTGAGGCAGGTATGTATTGGTCTTCCTAGAAGCCTAGCTCCAAAAGATGATGGGTTTGGCACCAGGAAAGAGCCCAACCTGGCTATTAGAAGCATGGCTCAGACAAGCCCTGCCACTCACATCCCCTGAGAACTCAGAGGGCTGCTGTGTCCCAAAGTGTGGTCTGACAACCATCTGCACAAGAGTCCCCAGAGTCTGCAACATGGAGGTCCCTGGGCCCCAGGCTTTACCCACTGAATTAGACTCTGTGAGGCCAGGGCCAGAGGATCAGCATTTTGACGAGCTCCCCAAGGGATGCATTGGGAGTCTGGGAGCCACAGAAATCCATGTGATCTCTCAGGCTTCATTCTGTCATCTATAAAATGAGGAGAGCCATGCTGGGTGACTGGCTGGGAGGCTGGGATGAAAGACCTTTGTGAGCTATAAAAACACTGTATAGATACAATGCAGTAGCAGTCATATAGCCCTTCCTGTCAAATGCTATCCAGGTATATGATAGTGTTTTTACTATTGTATTAAACATTAGGTAGCCTCCGGAGCTGAAGTTGTTGAATATTGACCTTAACCTACACCCTGCATGATACATAAAGAGCAGAGGAGGGCCAGGCAGCTCACACCTATAATCCAGCACTTTGGGAGGCCAAGACAGGAGATCACTTGAACCCAGGAGTCTGAGACCAGCCTGGGCAACATAGAGACACCTTGTCCCTACTAAAACAAAAGCAAAAACTAGCCAGCTATGGTGGCATGCACCTGCTGTCCTAGCTACTTGGGAGGCTGAGGCTGGAGGATTGCTTAAGCCCAGGAATTTAAGGTTGCAGTGAGCTGTGGTCGTGCCAATGCACAATGCTCTTGGGTGACAGAGTGAGCCTCAAAAAAAAAAAAAAAAAAAGAAAGAAAAAGAAAAAGAAAAAGAAAAAAAAGAAAAAGCAGAGGGAAGCCCAGTCTCTGTATGTTTGATGACATGGTCAGAGCTGTGAGTGTGTGCCAGTGCAGTCCTGGCTTTCTAAAACCTTGGCTGGACATGCCCTCCTGAGCATGGCTCAAGGGTATGACCTTTGTCCAGGATGGATGTTATTCTTACAATGTTGTTGACATAGGCTGGGTAGAAGTGTACCCTAGAGCAGCACTATCCAACTGAAACAAAATGAGAGCCACACATAGAAACCACAGGCGGAATTTTAAATTTTCTAGTAGCCAAATTTTTAAAAGAAACAGGTAAAATTAAATGAAATAATATATTATATTTAATCTAATACATCAAAATATTATCACTTCAACAGGTAATCAATATGAAAAGTTGTTAATGAGATATTTTACATTCTTCTTTCCATTCCGTGTTAGAAATCCACTTAGAGCACACCTCAGTTTGGATGAGCCACATTTCAAGAGCCATGCGTGGCCTGTGGCTACCATAAGGGTCAGTGGAGCCCTAGAGAAGTGGCAACGGTGTCAGAGGCACTCCTTGCCCATCCCCACTATACTGCAGAGGGGCTGACCCCTGCGGACCACAATTCCCAGGCTCCCACGTCAGCTGGCTTCTGGCTGGGCTTGGCCAATGGGAGACAGGAAGAGGGCATTTCTCCCATCTCTCTATGCCTCAGGCAGCATTACCAGCAGTGCCTGGGTCTCCTTCCTGGCTCCAGCCTCACCAGACAGGCTTCTATGCATGACCGGGAACCCTGGACTCTGGCAACACCTTCTTTCTTTGAGCCTCAGGTCAAGAGTTGGTACTAGCTACCTGAGGTTGCCATTTTCTGGGCTGTGGAGCTTCTCAGGTAGGAGTAATCAATTCTTTGTATTAAATTCCCTCTGCTTGGATCATTGCAGTCTCAAAGTATTTCCCCCAAGATATTTATTAATTGTGGCTGTCAGTGGGGAGAGAAAAATGAGAAACCATCAGATGCCACTTTAGCCAAGTGATCAAGGTTAATATCACCAGTAACAAAACATATCTGCATCATGGACTCCCCAGTGTGGTGCATCGAGACGGGCACATCACTTCTGGGGTATTCTTGACAAAATGCACCCTCTCGACATAATCATGAGAAAACATCACGCCACCCAAATTAATGAGCTTTCTACAGAAGCATTGACCAGAACTCTTCAAAAGTGTCAAGGTTGTAAAAGAAAAGAGAAGACAAAATATCAGATTGGAAGGGAAAGAGGAGATGTGGCAATTACATGCAAATTTGGATCCTGGAACAGGAAAAGGACGTTCGTGGAACAACTGGTGAAATCTGAATAAAGCCTCTAGTTAAGAGCATTGTACCAATGTTAATTTCCTGCTTCTGATAATGGTTCTATAGTTATGTAAGGTGTTCATATTACGGCAAGGTGAGTGACAAGTGTTTGGGAACACCCTGTTCCATTCTGCACCTTGGCTATAAGTCTAAAATAATTCCAAAACAAAAACTAATATGTATGTATTCATACATACGTAAAATACATGCATACATAACTATAAGTATATATGTACATTTATTTATTTATTTATTTATTTATTTATTTATTTATTTATTTATTGAGATGGAGGCTCATTCTGTCGCCCAGGCTGGAGTGCAGTGGCGCAATCTTGGTTCCCTGCAACCTCCACCTCCCAGGTTCAAGCGATTCTCTTGCCTCAGCCTCCTGAGTAGCTGGGATTACAGGTGCCCGCCACCACGCCCAACTAATTGTTGTATTTTTAGTAGAGATGGGGTTTCACCATGTTGGCCAGCCTGGTTTCAAACTCCTGACCTCAGGTGATCCACCCACCTTGGCTTCCCACAGTGCTGGGATACAGGCATAAGCCACCATGTCCAGTCCACATTTTTAGAATAATGTATACAGATACACATAAACATATGTATATGTATATACATACGTATGTATAATGTTTAAAGTACTGTAACTATAATCCCTCTGCTTTATATATTGGAGTAGTTTCTGCTTCCCTGGTTGGAGCCTGGCTGACAGGTGGGAGACATCCAAGGCACACAGTGCCCACTGGCTGGAGGGAACATGAGGCCATGCTTGCACTCCTCATCCCATCCTAGGTGACCTCTCAGAAAAAGGCTTCTCCCCTTCCAGGCATCCTGAACATTTTAACCCCAGCTGCGTAGTGCTGGTGTGATATTCCACGGCACGGTGACTCACGGGGGACACACCTTCTCCAGGGTCAGCACGGGCCTTGGCAGGATGGGGCCTCCTGATGGGCACGCACAAATCAGACCCTGAGGCTTCGTGCACATCCGTATGCAACCCTACCCTCCTTGGTGAGCTTTCCAAGCTCCAACGAGACTGCTCTGCCTTGTCCAAGGCCATCCATAACTGTACATTTGCCAACCAAAAGTCACTTCCTGAGTGCCTTCTGTGTGGGGCCCTCAACAAAGAGTGTCCCCACACAGGAGAGGTCAGATGACATGTCAAATAACAGCAATGAGAGGGGGGTGGGGACGGCACGGCTGAGATGAAGAAGAGTGTGCTCTCGGCAGGGGCTGTAAGGGAGGAAAAGCAGGCAACCCAGGGTTCCCAGAGAAGAGTGAGGTGCCCAAGAGGGGCAACAGGCTCAGTAGAACGTGGCCAGCTTAGGGCAGATGGCGGCTGTCAGGCTAAAGAACTCAGAGACACTTCCTCCATATGCAGGGGTTGAAGGCTTCTGTTAGGGGAGGCTGAACTGGCCCAGGGGGGAAGTGGGGAAGGAGGGTCCCACATTGGGGTTCATTAGCAGTGGTGGTAGAGATGGAAATGAAGCAGTGGATCTCAGAGTGTGGAACAGATGAGCAGCAGGCAAAGCGGGTGATCTGTGCACAAGAAAGCCAGCAAGATGGTGGAGTCCACAGAGCCTCATTCCAGAGACCCAACAAAGCCGGAGGCGGGCACAACCCCCAGCAGGAGGAGGGACTGTGGCCCTGCGTGTGACTGTGTAAATGGGGAGGAGTGAAGTGTGAATGATCACACTTAGCACAGCAAGCTCTACCCACTGGGCTTGTGGGGCTCCATCTCAAACCCCAGCCCAGCAGTAGCCCCAGAGGCAACCTGTCCAGGGCTACTGCCTGAATCCCCTCCATCAGAGACACGCTTCTTCCCTGGCCCTAAAGGCCCTCTGGTAGCCCTCCCTTCCCTATTCCGAAGTTCCTCCCCATCCCTGCTGGGATTCTGCTCTCAACACCAGCTTCTTGTGGCACAGGCACCACCACCTCCTGCCTCCCGTTTGCCTTCTCTGAGACACCGCCTAGAAAATCTCCAGAAATGGACCTCCCCAGAACCTGTCCTGATCTATAGGAGATGAGTCAAGAATGAAGAAGGGTCCACCTCTCCAGACCCGCTCCTCAGTCCGGGCCAGGGCTTGAAATCCCACACATTTCCCTTTCAAGGCAAACAGGCTTACAGCTTTGAGCCTCCTGAACCTTTAAGTTCTCTTGGGGGTAAAGGTGGTGTCTTACTTGAAAAGGTCATCAAACAGAAAGGCAGGAAACGTGGGAAGTTTGTTAGATATGGGAACGATGAGCATCAAATTCACAAGAGTGGTTTAAAGGCCTCAACCACAGCTATTAAAATTCGTGTCTTAATTTAAAAACCTGGAACAAACATGACACAGGGTTAAGACTTAATAAACATGAGAGTACAGGTGTTTGTTCTCCACTCAAAATAGATGTGCATTTTATTATTCTCTGTTATCAGTCCATCTTAAGTATTTCACAATAAAAAACAATGAAAATAAGCTATTTGTCTTTACATCCCAGGATGAAGAGTGTTTTATTGTTTGTTTGTCTTGTTTTTGAGACGGAGTCTCACTCTGGCCCAAGCTGGAGTGCAGTGGCACAATCTTGGCTCACTGCAACCTTCCCCTCTGGGGCTCAAGCAATTCTCCTGCCTCAGCCTCCCAAGTAGCTGGGACTACAGGCGTTCTCCACCACACCCGGTTAATTTTTTTGTATTTTTAGTAGAGACAGGGTTTCACCATGTTGCCCTGGATGGTCTCAAACTCCTGAGCTCAGGTGATCCACCTGCCTTGGCCTCCCAAGTGCTAGGATTACAGGTGGGAGCCACCACACCCGGCCAGTGTTTTATGAGCAGAGATTGGGAAAGATTGGGGAGACCCCAGGGTACTGAGCATTGGAGGAGGAGGAGAGAGAAGCAAGAAGCTCAGAGTGTGGGAGGCTGGAGGTGCTAAAGCTAGACCAGGCCCCCATTTCAGTGGTGCCTAAAACTCCTCCAAGAGACCAGCCCTACCAGATATCAAAGTATCTCATAAAGCTAGAGCCCGGGCTGGGTGCGGTGGCTCATGCCTGTAATCCCAGCACTTTGGGAGGCTGAGGAGGGTGGATCACGAGTTCAGGAGATCAAGACCATCCTGGCTAACACGGTGAAACCCCGTCTCTACTAAAAAATACAAAAAAATTAGCCAGGCGTGGTTGCAGGCACCTGTAGTCCCAGCTACTTGGGAGGCTGAGGCAGGAGAATGGCATGAACTCGGGAGGCAGAGCTTGCAGTAAGCAGAGATCGCGCCACCGCACTCCAGCCTGGGCAACAGAGCGAGACTCCAACTCAAAATAAATAAATTAATTAAAAAAAAAAAAAGCTAGAGACAAAAAAGCTGTTGAACCAGTACAGGAATAAAAGAGCAGATCAACTGATAAAACTGCACCCACAAGCAAATTAATGTACAAATGGGAACCTCATATAGGTAAGGATTGTGTTTTGAATTGAGGGAGAGACTCATCAATAAATACATGGTATTGAGACAACCACCCAGCCATTGAAAAATTGACCTTAGATATCTGCCTTGCACTATTCTTGGAAAACACATTCCAAGGTGATTAAAATCTGAGATGCAAATTTTAAACTACATCAAAATTTCAAACTTCTAAGCGACAAAAGAAATCATGAACAAATAAAGACAAGTGAGAAGCTACTTGCAACATGCACAGTCGCCCACCCCCCCAACCTTGAGGGATCCATTCCAAGATTCCCTAGTGGATGCCTGAAACCGTGGGTGGTAAAAAGCCCTACATCTGTTTGTGATCCTGTAACAGAGATGTCTGCTCAGTGACTCTGGGCTGGGCAGTGACGCGCAGGTAGAGGATACAGCCTAGAAACGCTGGACAAAGGGATGATTCATGTCCCGGGAGAGACAGCATGAGATTTCATCATACTGCTTGGAATGCCATACAATTTAAAATGTATAAATTGTTTATTTCTGGAATTTTTCATTTGACATTTTTGGACTGTAGTTGACCGTGGGTAACTAAAACCATGGAAAGCAAAACAGTGGATAAGGGGAGCCTGCTGTGTAGCAAAGAATTAATCACCAGACTATATAAAGACTTCTCTTAAATCTAGGCACTGTTCTAAGTCCATTGCACTTACTAACATTTACTCTTCATGGCTGCTGAGGCACTCTTACCTTCTCTAATTAGCAAACATGGAGACTGAAGCACAGTGTGGTTAAGTAACTCACCCAGGAATACACAGCCAAAAAGTGGCAGCATGAGCAAAGGACAGAAATAGGGATCATTCAAAGAGCCAGGAAAAATGACTGATATTAAACACAATATGTCATCTTGGATTAGACAAAGATCACAGCCAATTTTTTTTTTTTTTTTGCTCTAAACAATATTACTGGGAAAATTGCTGAAAGAGCTATAGGTTTAATCACAGCATTCTATCAATGTTCATTTCCTATACTGTATCATGTCCTTGTTCTGAGGAAATACACACTGGAGTGTCAAGGGATACAGGGGCATCATGTCTGGAACTAACTCTCAAATGATTTAGAAAGAAGTTTTACATACAATTATATGTATAAATTATATATATCATAAGATATATTTAGAGAGAGAGTGTGGGTACAAATGTAGTAAGATGTTAATCGGATATGCAAGAATTGTTTGCACTATTATTGTAATTTCTATGTATATTTGAAATTATTTCAAAATGCATAGTTATTTTAAAGGTCATCTTACCCAGGGCTTCTTAACCGAGGGTGGCGTCAGACACCCAGGGGGGATTTTGGGGGTCCACAGGCCAGGTCTTCCCCAGTGTCTGAATGCATAGGTGGTGGTGGAATGTGACCTCTGTGTGTAAAACCTGTGCCAGGTGGGGGCTGCACAATGCAACCAGGGCTCTCACCAATGCCTTCATTTCCCTGAAGGGAGACTTGAGGCTGAAGGGAAATGGCTTCCTCCCAGTCTCACAGACCCCAGTCAGAATCCTGCCAGCCTGAAGACCCAACTTCTCAAAGACAGGAGTGTGCATGACATCTTCCTTTCTCCTGGGCACATGGGCTTACTGACATGGGGAGGAGAACCAAGACCCTGATGTGGGACCCAAGGCTGGCTGGCAGCTCATTCTCTATCCAGTGATATTTTAGAAAAGACCTGTGCTAAGAGGGACAGGATGCTGCTGATGGCTGAGATTTGAGAGAGAGAGAGGGAGGCTTTTGCTCCCATCTTTTCAGGAACAAACAACTTTCCTGTTGTAGAGAATGCTTGCGTGATTAGGAGCTTGAGTTCTTGAAGCAGAGAGTCCTGAATTCAGATCTCAGCTCCGCCACTTACTCTATGACCTTGGGCAAATCGCTTCATCCCCAGGACGAAGTTTCCCCCATCTGTAATAATAATAGGTCTACCAATAGCAGAGAGGGTAAGTGGATGGTACGTGGAGACAGGCTGCCTGTTTCAAACCCCAGTCTTGCCATGTACTTGCTGTGTGGCCTCAGGAAGCTTAAGTCAACCTCTCTGTGCTTCAATTTCCTCCCTTGTAAGATGGTAATAATAACAACATCTTCAAGACTAAATGAGTTAACATGTGAGAAACAATGCAAACAGTCTCCTTTGTTACTTCCTCCTCATCTCCCCAACTTCTTAAGTCAAGGCTCAATCTTTGATCCTCTCCTGTAAACTTCCTCACCCCCTGGGCTTAAAGCAGCACCCAGCTCATTATCCTCCTCTGAACACCACCAATGTGCATCGAACTGGTGGACCAACATCTCCTCTAAGGTGACTAATACTATCTTAAACCTTTCATGCCCAAACGGGACTCTTGACCTTTGCCCCCCAGAGCTGCTCTTCCAGGGTCTTGCATAGCTCATTTCTGCAAAGTCTATCCTATTTGCTCAGGCTAAAATCTTCAGGGTCAATCACAGTGTCAGCACTTTCCAAGCATACCTAGACTCTGAAGGCATCTCATCACCTCCAGTGACCACACGGCCCCAGTCTCCATTGCCTCTCCCCTGCAGCAAGGAGACGGCTTCCTGGTCTCTGCTTCCTCTCTTGCTGACCCCCTACCATAGCCTATTCTCTACATAGCATTCAGAGGGATCCCGTTTGACTGTGTGGTATGCCCCACACCAGAGTTTTGCCCTGGCCACTCCCTCTGCCTGGATACCCTTTCCCAGGTGGCCTCACTCTCACCTCCTTCAAATCCTCACTCCCTCCCTCCCTCCCTTCCTTCCTCCCCACCCTCCCCCCCAACCCTGTCTTCTTTCTTTTTCTTTCTTTCTGTTTTTTGTTTGTTTGTTTTGAGACAGGGTCTCACTCTCTTGCCCAGGCTGGAGTGAAGGGGTGTGATCTCAGCTCACTGCAACCTCTGGGTCCTGGGCTCAGGTGATCCTCCCACCTCAGCCTCCCCAGTAGCTGGGATCACAGGCATGCACCATCATGCCCAGCTAATTTTTGTATTTATAGTAGAGACTGAGTTTCACCATGTTGCCCAGGCTGGCCTCGAACTCCTGGGCTCAAGTGATCCACCTGTCTCAGATTTCTAAAGTGCTGGGATTACAGGCGTGAGTCACCTTGCCCAAATCCTCACTCCTAAGCGAGCCTTCCCCACTCACTTCCTGCCTCCCTCATGCATTCATCACCTTCTAACATCCCATTTCCTTCTCCCTCTATTGTCTGTCTTTCCCTGTGAGAAACTGAGACAGAGATCATGGTTGTTTTGTTCTTGACTTTGCCCCCTGAGCCTACAAAAGAGCCTGAATGAATAAATGTTAGCTTTCATTCTATTATATTTTAACACCTAGCAGAAAAAGAGCAAATTTAAATAGTTACACTTTATGCTAAAAACCACCACCAAACAATGTCTAGGAGATCATTAAAACCTACAGATCATAAAACTTACATGTATGCTAGAAGTACAACTTTGTAAAAGATGTTTAAAAAATGATGCACAAAAATTATATTAGTTGCCATAAAATGATTTTTTTCCATTTTTCACTTGCCTCTGTTTTTCCAATTGTTACTTTGAGAAAATAAAATTTTATCCTATTAAAAAGTAATTGGTGGCCAGGCACAGTGGCTCACGCCTGTAATCCCAACACTTTGGGAGGCCGAGCAGGGTGGATCACCTGAGGTCAGGAGTTCAAGACAAGTCTGGCCAAAATGGTGAAACCCTGTCTTTACTAAAAATACAAAAAATTAGCCAGGCATGGTGGCAGGCACCTGTAATCACAGCTACTCGGGAGGCTGAGGCAGGAGAATCGCTTGAACCCGGGAGGCAGAGGTTGCAGTGAGTCAAGATCACACCATTGCACTCCAGCCTCGGCAACAAGAGCAAAACTTTGTCTCAAAAAAAAAAAAAAAAGCAAAAAAAAAACGGCCAGGTGCGGTGGCTCATGACTGTAATCCCAGCACTTTGGGAGGCCATGGGAGGGGATCACAAGTCAGGCATTCGACACCAGCCTGGCCAACATAGTGAAACTCCGTCTCTACTAAAAATACAAAAAATTAGCCAGGCGTGGTAGCACACGCCTGTAATCCCAGCTATTTGGGAGGCTGAGGCAGGAGAATCACTTGAACCTGGGAGGCAGAGGTTGCAGTGAGCCGAGAGCATGCCATGGCAATCTAGCCCGGGCGATAGTGCAAGACTCATCTCAAAAAAAAAGAAAAAAAGAAAATAAAAAGATTGGTAATTCAATTTCATTAGAAATAAAGACAATGTGGCCGGGCGCGGTGGCTCACGCCTGTAATCCCAGCACTTTAGGAGCCCGAGGCAGGTGGATCACCTGGGTCAGGAGTTCAAGACCAACCTGATCAATATGGTGAAACCCCATCTTTACTAAAAATACGAAAATTAGCCAGGTGTGGTGACATGTGCCTGTAGTCCCAGCTACTCGGGAGGCTGACAGGAGAGTTGCTTGAACCTGCGGTGGGGGGAGGTTGCAGTGAGCTGAGATCGCGCCACTACACTACAGCCTTGGTGACAGAGTGAGACTCCATCTCAAAAAAAAAAAAAAAAAAAAGAAAGAAAAAGAAATAAGACAATGTGAATTAAAATGACAAGATGTCCCAATACACTGGTGGCAGTATGGATAATGGAAGATCTTTGGAGAGCACTTTAACAACAGCTATTAAAATTAATTTTACTTCTCAGCATCTAACTAAAGAAACTCCATTATTTGTGCAGAAGGAGGCATGTTCAACAGTATGTGTTGAAGTATCACGTATTTCCAGGGGAAAATTTAGAAGTAACCTGAGTGCCTACCATTAAGCAAATGGTTAAATAAATCCATGCTATGGACAACTGGGCAGCCACTAAACGGAACACAGCAGATGTGCAAGCCCAGAAGAATCTCTGGGGCATGTGGGCAGGTGAAAAATGCAAGTTATTGAACAATATATCCACTGGCTATGATATATGATTTGACAATATTGTATTTCTTCAAGTCATACCTATGTCAGGAAAGGCATTAAAAAAGGCAAGGAAATGAACTCACTCATCTGATGGGAGGTAGGAGTAAGGGAGCAGAATGAGGTGGTAGCACAGAAGATTTTATTGTTAATATTTGAATTCTTATGTACCATGATAATGTATGCATAAAGGACTTGTATAATTTAAAATAATTTTAGCTCAGGAGAATTTAATTATTAATATCTGAATTCTTGTGCACTATGGGAATGTATGCATAAAGTACTTGTATAATTTAGAATACATTTTTTAAATAAGGGGAAAATATATAATAAATCCCCCATGCTGAACCACCCCGCAGTCCTCCTATAAACTCACTTCTTCTGTTAAGCCTTTCATGGGTGGTCCACCATTGAGTACTTCCTCCTGTGAGCAAAGACATCAGGAAAAATGAATTTAAGGGCAGAAGGAAATGAAGAGATGGGATTTTAGAAAAAGGGCGAGGGAACAGTGAACAGGGAAGGCAGAATGAAAGGAGAAACGTAAAGAGAAAGAGGAGAAACTTGTTAGGAAAAGCCATTGAGCCGATCTGAACACTCTCACCCTATCCTATTCATTGCCACTGCTGCACCCCTTTGTAAAGATCACTGCATTTTAGATGAAACCCAGGGTTTCCAAGTGCCGGAAAGCATCAAAATAGGGCTATAGGAAGTGATCTTCACTCTCACTGGCTCTTAATTTGACCCCTTAACAAGAATTTACTGGAAACTATGCTGTCATTAAATGTATCTTCATAGGGTTCCTACATGTTATCTTTCCAAGAGACTGGATCGGGGCAGCAGGCCATGGAGGGGGAGAAAGGAGACAGCCCTGCTCCCACTGTGGCAATCAGAGTCATGCACAGGCTTATGAATAGTTCAGGCCCAGGCCCCTCACCTTTGCCTGCATCTCTAGCAGTGGGGCCTGTACATCAGTATTTCTCACAGCTCCCTAAGTGAGTTCATGCTCGCTCAGAGTTGCATACTGCTTCCAAGCTTTCTGGTGATCCACTAGATCATCCACGAACATCACATGTGCCAAAATTTTCCCCACTTACAACATCCTAATCTCTTCCCCAAAAGATTAGTGGTCAATGAGATTTGGAGACCTAATTTTCTTTCTATAGGAAAGAAATCTATATTAACCACCCAACACCCAATCAGTCATGGCCTGTACGGAGCAGGAAACCAGAAGTAGGTGGGGTGGGGATGGGGCTCCAGAGCCCAGCTCAGCCACCACCCAGCAGTGGGGTTTGGCCATGCTCCATTTCTGTGCCTCAGTTTCCCTCCTTTAGAATAGGGCTAAAATCCCTCCTCCTCCCAAGGATAGAGTGACTGTGGGGACTTCCAATCTATTGGACAGCAGGTGCTCCTGAAACATGGGGGAGGGGTACGATGTAAAATACGGGGGAGGGGCGTGGTGTCAAGCATGGGGAGGGGCGTGGTGTCAAGCATGGGGAGGGGTGTGGTGTCAAGCATGGGGAGGGGCGTGGTGTCAAACATGGGGAGGGGCGTGGTGTCAAGCATGGGGAGAGGTATGATGTTAAACATGGCATCCAGAAAATGTTGGCAAACTTAAAACACACATTGTCTTGGTTATTCATCTAAGAGACAGGAAAACTGATCTATCTATCTATCTTATCTATCTATTATCTATGTATTATCTATCTGTCTGTCTATCCATCCATCCAGCCAGCCAGCCATCCATCCATCCATCCATCCATCCATCCTTCATTTCTTTCTAGTTGTTACTGGGAAGGACGAGAGGAACACAAGTGTACAAACATCATGAGATATTTTCTCCCTGAGTGTCAACTGTCACTTCTCAGATCCTAAAAAATGACCTCACCAGCTGAAGAGCAACATTCCTCTCCACTCCCTCAGGTCTTCTCAAGGTTTCCAAGCTTCTTAACAAATTTCCTCCCCAGAAACATCAAAATACCACACAGGCAGACAGGAACATTCCCTGAGTGTTTGCTGTTTTTTTTTTTCTTTTTGGCTTCCATTTAAACTAGTCATCAGATTAAAAAAAAAAACAAGCCAAAGTGCTTTAGCAGAAATATTTCCCATAAAGCTGTGTTAATAGAGAATTTTTTTAAAAAGTATCTTATGTAGACACAGCTAACCCTGGCCTTCCTGAGAGTGGGCCACAGCCGTCCCTCTTCCAGAGTCGGTACCCCAGGTGTGTGTGTGACTGTGGGGATCGGGGAGGCAGGGGCGCGGTAGGGGCAGGATTGAAACATCCTCCCTTTCCGGCAGCAGCAGGCAGGCCTGCAGGCCCCAGCATCCTGCCAGGTGTCTGCATTCTTCGAGGGAATTCCAGAGCATGAAGAAAGTTTAGAGAATGCATCCAAATGTCACACCACACAGGTGTTCTCCACACCACACTTCACAGCAGACGTCAGTCTGAAAGCCCCTCCACAGCCTTGCCTTGCCCGCCACACAGATGGGGGCATCCAAGCGTGAGTCAGGCCCCACTGATCCCTGGAGCTGGTGCCAGAAGCACAGAGCCCAGACTGAAAGCGCTGGGAGGGCACCTCCTTTCAAAACTATGTCCCCGCTGGCTGCTCTGGGCACAGAAATTCTACCATCAGCCACGCATACCTCTGGGGTGAAGCTTTGAGGCTTCCTTGGCTCCTCCAGGTAGAGCAAATTTCAGCTGGAGGAACCTTTGGAGGATGCCCTGCTGCAGGCCTGGATGCCACACAGCTGAAAAGGCAGGCAGCCCACAACAGGGGGTACCCAGCCAGCCCATATGCCCATCCACAGGCCCTGCTCCTGGGGAAGTCAGCTCTAGGGGCTTCCAGGGGACTGCAAAAGTTGGTTCACTTAGTTCCTGCCCTAGACAATCTAAAGAGGTTAATTTCCCTTACAATTTTCCAATCTATCCTAATCCTCCTCCTCCTTCCACTTCAGATCATGGTACTATTAGCTGTGCAATAAGCATAGTTTGTATATTAAAAAAAGGATTATGCAAATAAGTTAATGCACCACCAGACAAGACCCTCCATGCGGTCAGCTGTAGACCGCCAGGCCACCCAGCCACCACCTTGCTCCCACATTCCTCAAGGACTTTTCTCCTGTATCACAGCCACCCTTTCCCACATCCTTTTGTCCTTTCTTGGTGATTTCAAGATCCATGAAGATGGATCTGAGTTTCACGACCCGCTCTCCTCCTGGCCTCTCCCTCTCCCCCACACACTCCCATGCTCACACCCAGCCCTCTCCTGACCCATGACTGCATTCCTCCACCTCTGATTTCAAACACCCCACTCCTGGACACACGCCACACCCCCACCATCTTTCTAGCTCAGTCTCTTTGCTACCAGGATTACAATTCTTTGGGTGGCCTCCAATCCACTGACCCTACCACCTGTCAGCCTCCACAACCACCTCAGGTACCCACTCCCGTCCTGGCCTGGCTCAGCATCCAGGTGACTCACCATCATCACTCCTGTGCCTCCCTCACCCCTCTCTCCTCCACTGTATTCCCTGGAGAAACCTCCACCCTGGTTAAAGTCATCTTTGTAACTCTGCCTCTGCACCTTCGTGGCCGCAAGCAGCTGGAGAGAAACCACAGCTGTGCTGCAGGAGCCATTTTAGATGCGCGGCCCCACACCTGCCACTCCCTCCTGTCATTGTGGATGAACCGCTGGGGGCTGGGGATAGGCCAGGGCTCCAGCAACCCCTGACTTGCCCCTGGATTGAACACACAGGTCAATGCTCCTATTTTGACCTTATTTCCCCCAAATACCACCACATGTCTCTCCCCTTTACAGCTAAACTCCTCAAAACAGTTGTACTATTCTCCTAGTCTCCAGGCCATCTCCTTCTGTTCCTTGAGCTGGCCACAGGCAGGCTTCTGCCTTCACCGCTCAGTGGAAACTTCCCCGTCACGGCCCCCTGCTCAGTCAGCCATTCTCAGCCCCTCTTACCTGGCCTGGCAGTGGCCCGCAAGGCAGTCTCCCCATCCCACTCCCTCGACTCCCCTCCTGGGCTCCAGGAGCAGCCTGGTTCCCTCCTGCCTCACTGGTCTCTAGGCTCACTTCTCCTCACATTCTTTCTTCCTCATGTGGGGCCACTCCAGGGCTCAGGACTCGCACCTCCTGACGACACAGTCCTCATCATCCCTCTGACTCATCTCCGCAGCTCTCCCTCCCTCATCCTCTGCTCCAGCACCCTGGCCTCCTGGCTGGGCCCGGACTCTTCTTCCAGCCCAGCCCTGGCACAGGCTGGTCCTTCTGCCCAGATGTTCCTATCCGGATATCTCCACTACCCACCCCTCCCTCCCCTCCATGCCAGCTTCCCTGACTACGCTACTTAAAACTGCAAGCCCCTCCTGCTCCTCCTCACTCCCCGTTCCATTTGCCGCTTTACTTTTCTCCATCGCAATGATCATCCACGAGTAGAATACACAGTCCATGAGGGCAGGGCTTTTTTGCTCAATCCTAGATACGAGTCCTAGAATAGTGCCTGGCACAGAATAGAAGCTTGTTAAACACTCATGGATTGAATAACAAACAAATTATAAGCTTGCATTACTTGTGATTTTAGAACCTCAAGGACACTAAAGAAAGCATCACATCTATTTTTTTTTTCTCCCTCAGGACTATTTTCTGTCCCCTGCTTCCCAGTGGGGACAGGGCATGGGATTACTGTGGCTTCAGCATTTCCCAGAGTGACTCCTGGTCTGAGTTCCAGCAAAGCCAAAAGTTTGTTCTGGCTTCTAAAAAGCTAGGGGTCCCACCCAAAAAGTGAGCCAGGTGGTTGGACTCAGCCTTTTCCCAAAGCAGGGTGCACCCAGGTAGCTCACCTTCTGATTGTCCCAGGAGTCCCAGGCTTGGAGATGGGATAACACGCACGAGAGGTGGATCCCCAGAACCCTGACTCCAGATAAGACAGGGGACTCTCCTGTACATGCTTGTGCAGGCAGCACTGATTCTCTGCAGCTTTTGTACTTCTTACTGTCTTTGACCTTCCAACATTCCCGAGGCAACAGCATAATTCCCATTTGCCAGATAAGAAAACACAGCCCCACAGACATTGAAGGTTCTGCCCAAGGTCACACTGGCAGCTAGAAGCCAATCTGGAAGCAGCTCTTGAACAAAAATCTGCTGAGGATTTGTGGTGTTAGGCAAAGATATGCTTGATAGGGTCCCTATCCTTAATGCATTCATACTTTATGAGGGAGAAGCCAAGACTTTCAAATCTCAGCTCACAATCTTTCAGATGAGTCCATCTCCCCTCCAAGGTCAGGGATGCCACAGACTGAGGCAGGAGGGTGCAGGACCAAACATGACGCTGGTTGGATTGCCTCATATGTCTAAGTATGTCTGACATACAGAGCCCTGGGTGAGAATCCCACGAGACTTTGGCTACTAACAATCATTCCTTTGGCTACCAACAACTACTTGTATTTGAAATCACAGAAAATATTCACAAGTTATAGTTCTTTGATGGTATGCATTATGGAGAAGCGAAACCTCCAGATCTCTCCTAGAACATAAGCTTATTGAGGACAGGGAACAGCGTTCAGCACATAGTCAGTACTCAAGAGACGTATGTTCAAAGACATGTGGGCCTGGCTGGGCCTCAAAGCCTCATTGGATAGGGAGGAGTGGAGGTGGGTTAGAGGGACGGGGTGCACAGCCAGGGCACTTCCTGCCTGGATCCCAAAGCCCACCTGCCAGATTCTGGGTGCTCTGCTGGGTGGGACCATTCATGCCTTGGCGGTCTAGTGTCAGGCAACTGGATGCTGCCCAGAATTAGGGGCTCCTGCATCACCCCCTCTGAATTTCCCAAGCTGCCCCAACCCCGGGCCCGCGCTCACCTGGGAGATGTGGGACTGGGTCCTCTCGCTCTCGCCATCACCCTCCGTCTTGTCAGCCAGCAGCCCCTGCACCTGGTACTCCAGCACGTAGCTGTCGATGAAGCGCTCCAGCTCCTCGATCTCCTGGGAGCGGCTGCTCCCTGCCTCCGAGGAGGCTGATGCTGCAGAGGAGTTTTCCATCCCTCCAGCTCAGGGGCCTGGGCCGGGACTGGTGGGAAAGAGGACAGAGAACTCCGTGAGACGCTGCTGGAGGAGACGACGATGCCCACACCTGAGAAACACCCTCTGCTCCTGGAAGCATCTTCTTATCCATCATGGCGTTCTGTTCTTCCAACAACCCTGAGAAGTCAGCGAGGGGCTGGCTTGCCCTCAGCATAAACTATGTGCTGTAATTCCCACTGTGTAGGGCAGGAGACTGAGGCCCAGGGAATGCAGGCCACTTGTCTGATTGGCCAGCACAGGCACTGTGCAGTGTCAGAGTTAGTGTCTACCTAGGCCTTAATCGCTGGGAAAGGCAGAAGATGAGCTCAGCCTACAGGCCAAGCCTCACTTCCTGACTCAGATTTAACAGAATCTACCACAAAGCAGGATGAAATAAACAACAGAACCAAGATTGAGGGTGCACAATGGGGCCCGAGACACAAACCTCTGAGGGGCTCAGGTCCTCCAAGAAAATGACTACTTAAGAGGAGACTTTTTCTTTTCAGTCACCAGACTGTCCCCTAAATTAGTTGAAGCCTATGGGCCGTAACTTATAAGCAGGATTTTGCAGCCTTGCTCTGGTGCAGCTACTGGAACACACCTATGGTGAGTCTGCAGGAACGTGACTGGATTTCACTGGCAGAACGAGAAAGGCTTGCTGCATTGTCTATGCTGATATGGCCTAGCCACAGACACTGCCTGGTCACCTTTACAGGGGCATGACTAACCCATTAGCCCTCGCGCCCTCTCTCTGGGGCAGCGCGGCATAGATGACCAGCTATGGCTGGAACACTAGTTAAAGTCCACCAACAGAACTGCAATCTCTGGAGCTGATGTGCTCAACCCAGCCCTGCAGGGGCCCAGGTCTGCTGGGACCTCACCGCCACCGCCCTCTCTGCTCCCCGCTCCCTTGCTTATCCCCCGAAGCTCCCACCTGACCCACCTGGGAGTGAGGAAAGCTAGAACCTTTCTCACCTCCAGGCCAGGGACCCTCCCCTTCCTCTGATGGGCTCCAGGCTAGATGGGAAGGGGATTTAAAGCTTGCCTTGTGCCTCTTTTATTATCTGGAGACCTGTGATTTCCATGGAAGATCCTGATCTGCCAGAGAAAACAGAGTCTGCACATGCTTTTAGTATCACAACTAGTAGAACAGACTTCTACCAAACCACTACCACAAGAAAGCACAGAGAAGACATGAATCCTGCACACACAGGGCTCTGAAGCCATATAGAGCAGCGTGAATGCTGCTGCCAGTAATAAAGGCGAGGTCCTAGCAGGTTTAATGGAGCATTTGAATTTCAAAACTTTGAACCTCAGAACCTTAACCCTGAGAACTTCTTTGGAACACAGTTATTTGCCAATAATCTAGGGTTTGTTGAGTGTTTTCACTGCAGCGAGTCCAAAGCAGGGCAAGGAATGGTGTGCTGGGTTCCAGAAATGCTGCTGAGAGCATGAATGTTGACTCTCCCACACCCTCACTGCCTTCTCCGAGGGTGAGGGAATGGAGAGGAAGAACTGCCCGGGGGAAGGAGAACCGCCCTGCTGTGCACACATCTTCCTCTGCTTTCCCAGCTCATTTTTAGGCTTTTGGCCGCTGCAAGGGGCCCAGCCTCCCTCGGACCCCAGGCCTGCTGCAGGGAGCTCTGAGGTGCTGCAGGGCCTCGCTCTGGGCCCCTGAGCTCAGCAACCTTGGAGCTGTGGGTCTGTTCACCCATCCTAGAGGGAGGAATCAGCGGACTGGAGGTTTCAGGCCAAGGCGGTGCCCTTTTCAGAATGAGGGAACCAGATGTGGAGGCAAGGGTGGCAGCAGGTCCTCAGGGAGTCAGCTGGGATTGGGCTATGCACATCTGGTGGCAAGGGCCACAGGCAGGGGCATGGGAGGTACTGTCCATTGCCTCTTCCTGCACCTGCCACTCAAAGCCTACAGGACCTTATACCTCCCCACACCACCAGCACCCACCTTACTCCTCCTGCTCCACAGCTGCCCACACCTAAGTCATCCCCTGCTTCAGCCCCTGGCTACTCTGCTCCTCATCCTGGGCACATGCTAGGTGTGGCAGACAGAATTCTAAGACAGTCATGGGTATACACCCTCTCCCAGTTACTCTCCAGGAGTCTAGATACCCTTGGGAAGGGATTTTGCAGACAAAATTAAATCCCAAATTAGTCGACTTTAAGATAGAGAGACTATTCAGGAGGGCCTGACCCAAGCACTTGAGCCCATTAAATCTGGGACTAGAGCTCAGCACAGCAGAAGAAGCCAGAGATCCAAAGCATGAGAAAGACTCAATGCACTGTTGCTGGCTTGAAGGAAAAGAGACACATGGTAAGGCATGTGGGCAGCCTCTAGTAGTTGAGAGCAATCCCTGGTCAACAACTGGCAAGGAAGTGGGCACCTCATCCTACATCTGCAATGAAGTAAATTCATCTGAGAACCAATGAGCCTGGAAGCAGACTTTTCCCCCAGAGCCTCCAGCCAAGAATTCAACTTGGCTAACAACTTGACTTCAGTCTCATGAGACGCTGTGCCAGACTTCTGACTTACAGAACTGTGAGATAATGAATGCTATTGTTTTATGCTGCTGTTTGTAGTAAACTTTTAGGAAGCAATAGAAAATGAACACAGGACGCTCTTTCCTGCCTCTGTGCTTTTGCTCACACTGAACCTGTCACCTGGAAGCATTTTCTCCTTCCCTCCACCTGCCAAATCTAGAGGTCCTTATATGCACAGAAGGCCAGAGCATTGCCTTGGTTTCATGGCAGGCTACTAAGCAAAAGATTCACCCAGGGTTGGCTATGGGTATGAATGCTGCAATTTCTGCTAATAGTAGGAATGACGAGTGTCTGCTGTGCCTTTGTCATGTCCCAGACACGTCAGCACTTGATCTGCCTCCACTCACTTCACCTTCGCAGCAACCCTATGGAATCGGCATAATTATGCTACTTAGAAGAGAAAACGGAGGTTCAGAGAGATTAAGTAACTTGCCCAAGTTCACACAGGAGAGTTCCAGGTCTGCACGACTATGCCTATACCCCAACTGCCTTCTCTCCATCCCCACTCCTGGTGGCCTGCTCAGTCCCTCAGGCCACCTCCAAGTTCCCCAATTCCATACTGACTCGCCAGTGAGCAGTGAATTCTTCAAGTGCTGAGCATGTGCTTATTCCCCAGCTGGGCACAGGTTCCGGAGAGCTGGCCCCAAGCAGGCTCCGTGCCTGGCCCCGGGAAGCTGGCCTCCGCTGGATGGGAATAAAACCGCCGATGTCCAGAGAGGGCTGAAAAGGAGCCACCTGCAGGAGAAGTCAATACACAAGGCCACGCCCATTATTCCTGGAAGACGTCAGATCTTATCAAGGGCTCCCTGGCACACCTAACAGGTGCAGTCGGAGAACCGGGTTTTGCAGGAACTCTACACGGAGCCGTTTCCAGGAGGATTGAGTGCCAGGCTCTGCCTGCAGCAGCAGCCTCTGGCCGGCTCTGCGGGGCTCTCCCAAACATGCCCGAGTGTCTCAGGGCTGTGTCAGGGTCCCATGAGGGAGCCTGGGCATGGTCATCACCCCAAACCCATAATAGTTGCCGAGAAAGGGGACAGAATTGAGACCCATCCCAAACCTGCAGCCTTTTGGTGCCCCGAGGAAGGAAGAGGACTCGCTCTGCGGGTGCCTCTTGTGTCCTCACGTCCTCTCGGCCATTCCTTCTACTCTAGTGTTTGCTGCCCAGCCAGATTCACATGGGGTAGCCCAGCGGCGCCTCACCTCAGCTGCCCCGGGGTCTCCTGTCCAGGCTTCCTCTGCAGTCAGGAGATGCCTGCAGGAAGCCCCCGGCCCCTGGCACCTGCAACCCGGAGTATGAGGAGCTAGCGCCCCATGCGGCTGCCCTCAATGGGACAAATACTCCCCTTTTCAGTGTCTCAGACAATTCCAGGCATGCTCCACGTGGTCCCTCAGCAACTCCGAGTGGGGTGAGCCCCGTGGCCCACAGTGGCCGCCAGATCCCTAGCCCCCCTCACTTGTCGGTCCTCCCCTCCTTTTCACTCTCTCCCAGGGATTTCAGCTCCTCCAGGAACTCTCGTTTTCCAGGGGGAACAGGAGAATACATCACTTCCCTGTTCCGCAGCGGGGCCCAGAGAGGGAGTGGGGAGGCCCCAGCTTCAGAAAAGCGGGGAACATGCAAAGCAGAAAAGCCCCAAGCTTCATCTCAGTCACAAGAGAAGAAGGAGCAGAGAGAGGGAGAGAGCATGGCCCTCCTCTGCCCGTCCACCTCCACAGCTCTCAGCCTGGAAGTACAGCCCGGCACTTAGGCCCCCAATTTTTTATTATGGTCAAATATACACAACATAAAACAGCATTCAGCTGGGTGCAGTGGCTCATGCCTGTAATCCCAGCCCTTTGGGAGGCTGAGGCAGGAGGATCACTTGAAGCCAGGAATTTGATACCAGCCTAGGCAACATAGCAAGACCTCGTCTTTCCAAAAATTTTTTTAAAAATTAGCTGAGCATGGTCGCACATGCTCAGCTACTCAGGAGGCTGAGGCAGGAGGATTGCTTGAGCCCAGGAGTTTGAGGTTACAGTGAGCTATGATCGTGTTGCTGCACTCCAGTCTGGGTGACAGAGTGAGTTTCTGTCTGAAAGCAAAAACAAAACAAAACAAAACAACAACAACAAAAAAAACAACCAACCAACCAAACCAAACAAAACAAACAAATCAAAACCTTATAATCTTAACCATTTTTGAACACATAATTCAGTGGCTTTAAGTACATTCATAGTGTTTTGAGCCATCATCACTATCTATTTCCAGAACTTTTTTATCAACCCAAACAGAAACTCTGTGCCCACTAAACAATGAACTCTTCCTCACCCTTCTCTCTATGAATTTGCCTATTCCAGGTACCTCCTATAAGAGGAATCATGCAATATTTGTCCTTTTACAACCGATTTATTTCACTTAGCATAATGCTTTCAAGGTTTATCTACATTGTAACATGTATCAGAATTTCATGCCCCTTTATGGCTGAATAAGACATCGTATCACAATAGTACACTGCATATCTAGACCATATTTTATTTATCCATTCATCCACTGATGGGCATTTGGGTTGTTTGCACCTTTTGCTGTTGTGAATAATGCTGCTTTGAATATGAGTGTACAACGATCCCTCTGAGTCCCTGTTTATTCTTTGGGGTATCCACCTAGAAAAGTTCCAACACATTTTTAAGGCAAGACGAGTGTGGAGGAAAAGGGTAGAGCTTTCTCTGGCTGGTGGAGACACAGGGCAAGGGATGGTCTCCTCCAGGCTTGTTTTGCTGCCTTCCTGCCTGAGCTTTGGGGGTTTCAGCCTGGCTCAGTGTCTCATTCCCAGTAGGATCCTGATGGGAAGTCCCCAAACAGCTGGGCTGCTGGCTAAGCTGAGAGAGCCAGCCAGGAATTTATGTTTTAATGATCAGTGAAAGTCAAGAAAGGATGGAACCAGAGGCAGAAGGAAAAGGAAAAGAGGGAAGGTAGAAGAACACAAAAGACACGCCTCTCCCCTCCTCTCCCGGCTCTGCTCCGATTCCCTGCCAGGTGATGGATGAGGAGGAACTAAAAGGCAAGCAGCAGGAGTAGGAAAAATGCTGAGGTTGCACTTTGCTGTAAAGGGCACCACAGGGGCGGGCAGCCCTGAGTCTACAGCTGGAGGGGAGGGCCGGTGTGGGCACGGCTTTCTGGAGGACACAGAGGGCCCGGGCTGCAGCAGGACCTGCCCCAGAGCTCCTTCGCCTGTGCTTCCCAGAGAGGACCCAGGGCCGCCAAGCTTGGCCACATCTGTGTCTGTCTGGGGAAAGGGATGCATGCAGGCTCTCTTCCTGGGTCTGCATCTCTGTTAAACAACCTCATCCAGACTCGGCCGCCAGCCCAGGGACTCCCCACCTCCTGCTGCAGCCAATCACAGTCCGTGCTTGTCACAACGGCCCAGTTAGCCTGGCTATTTTTAAGGACAAAAATGAAAATCACCCATGTTCTTTGACAAAAAGGTGCCTCTCTCCACACTAGCGTCCCCTCCCCACCCTAGACGCAAACAAACTCCCCTTCGCCTTCCTCCCCTTCCTCCCCATCCCTTGCTGCTCTCAGCCCAGCACTCTGTAGCTTCCTTAGGAAACTAGTGTTCTGGAAGGGGTTTCTGTGAACACCGTGGGGCAGCCTGAGATGGTCGGTTGCCAGTCTCTCCCTCTAACCCCTGGCCAAGTCTGACTTTGAGTCTGACCTTCAGAGGCAGGAGGTCTGGAGGAAAAGGTAAGGCTGACATTGGAGAGCACCCACAGGCTAGAGACAATCAGTGGAGCCATCCCAGCCTTCTCAGTATCCTTTCCTGCCCACCCAGTGACAAACGGCATGAGGAGCTATCAATTTAGCCAATCCTTTTAAGAACTGCGAGGCATTAGGGGCATTACCTCCTCCTCCAATCCTCAGGGATGAGTTCAGTGACCTGCAAACCAGATGAAATGCATCTGCTCCAGGGCCTACCAGCACTTCTCAGGGAATCCATCATTCGAGGCCCGCACAGAGGCAGCACTGCACCCCACACTTCTTCAGGCTCTTTCCTCTCCACCCCCAGCACCCAACTCACTCCAGCAGCACACCCTTCTGACACCCCACTGAGGAAACCCAGGAAGACCCCAATTTCTGCTTCCTGGCTCATCTTTTGGCTTGTGGCTGCAGCAAGGGGTCCAGCCTCCTGTGGAACCCAGGCCCGCTGCAGGGGGCCCAGGTGGGGCTGCAGGGGGCTTGCTTGGTGACCGTAAGATCAGCAGCCTTGGGGCTCACAGGTCTGTCCACTCGTCCCAGCAGAACAGCAAGTCTGCAGTGGAGGTGGCATCGGAGCTGTGGTGGGCAATGGGGCCCAGAGTGTTGTCCCTGCTCTCCTGCTGCTAAATCCACTCATCACAGCCACTGGCGTCTTCACCCCACCTTCCTGTGGCCGCTTCCCATGTCACCTGGTGCTGCAAAGCACTGTGCTCCCAGGTTGCTCTCCAGCAAGCAGCTCCTGGTGACTATTATAGGCAGAGCTGGCTGCTGGCTTTCGGGCCCTGGTCCCCTCCATCCCCTCTCTCCTTCCCATCCCCACAGAGTGGGAGCAACACCTTCACCCAGAATGCACAATTGGGGCTAGAATTCTCCCTTGCAGGCTGTCAGGTGGCCCCCAGGGCAGGGCCAGTCCAGAGGCCATGCTGCCTGCTGGAGTGGGGAGGAGAGAGGCCAGGGTGCCCAGGCTCTCCCCGAGGAAGCCATGGGAGCCTGCTCACTGCCAACCGCGTCCCTCCAGCCCCAGTCCAGCCCACACTCCCCTTCAAGACTCCAGCGAGAATGTACTTCCCCGACAGTCTGCGGCCCTCAAGCTCTGGCCTGATAATTCAACCATGTTGGTGTTTGCCAAAGAAAAGCAGGAGGAAGCAGAGGCCTCCATGTGCAGGAGCCCCAGGTCCCCAACCCCTGGGAAATGGGAAAGTTCAGAAATGCATGAAGTCGAAGGCATGTGACCTTGGAAATTGGCAACATTTTCTGTCACAGGAGTCAAGGACATCTGACGTCCTCTAAACGTCTGATCCCCTGTCACCCCACCAAATTAACCCTTTTGTCACTCAAACATCCAACAGGGTGTTAGCTAGCATGGTGGTGTTCAAACTGCAGGTCTCAGCAATTTCATGAGCTGCAAAACAAATTTCCTGGGTCACGATCTCAGCATTAAAAAATGTATAACTAAATTGAAAATATCAGCATGTAGCACACATTGTAACTATCAATTTGTGGGACTTTTGTTTCACCTACCCATGAAAAACATATTGGCCGGGAGCACTGCTTCCGAAACTTTAATGAGTACGACAATCACAGGGCATCTTGTTACAATGCAGATTCTGGTTCAAGGATGGGAGTTGGGGCCTGAGACTCAGCATTCCTAACACGCTCCCAGGTGAGGCTGCTGCTGCCAGTCAGAGAACTACACTTGAAATAGACAAGATCTAGAAAATCTTGCACGTCTTCTTTATCCATTATTCAGATACTCTTGCTCTGGCCAGAGGGCTAGAAATGGGTGGAGTCCCCAGGCCAAACTTCTGGCCAGCTGGTCAGCTATCTGGTGAAGGGGCGGCTCCTCTTATGGCCCACGCAGGGCCCAGGGCGGAGCTCAGAACCAGGCATGACCTCCACAGGTTATTATGATCAGTGGACACTGGGGCCACCACCTCCACACTGGACTCTCAGGGCCAGGCGCATGACATGACAGCACCTGCTTACAGTCCTGCAACACCCAGCATGGAGCTCAGGCACATCTGCCAGGTCTGAACAAGTTGGAGGTAGTTCCTGATATCTATGCTGCCTGCCCTCAACAGCTCTTCAGCTGCTGCCACGCAGGTGAGGACACTGGGACCTTGGGGGCTGAAGGGGGAATGACGTACTGGGAGCCACTCAGGTATCTATGGGTAGAGCCAGGCTGCAATGCAGGATCCAAGCCTTTACATCCCTCAACAGCCTGCCTTCTCCAGGGACCCCTGCTGAGAGTCACCTTCCTTCCCTTAGTGACTCCTAAGCTCTGTGGACCCCAAGCGCAGTTCTGGGTTACAATCATCAACATCAGGCAGTTAGTGACATGACAGATACTCCTAAATAACAGATGACACCAAAATCATCCCATTGTCCTCATACCCTCCTGAGCCCCCACCCTGTGCAAAGCCCTGGACCAAGCCCTGTGGTCTCATCAGAACTTCATGGAAACAGAGCTGGGGCTTGGCACTTACTCCTCTGTCCCCAAGAGTAGCCTCCATGAGTCACTGAGGAGCTGGACCAGTTTTCATGAGGTGGGCAGGGCATGGCTGGCCGGAAGGCAAGGGAGATGCCATGGATTCTTTCCTGCTCAGCAGGCCTGCAGTGCTGGCACCCAGAATGGGGGCTGAGATCGGAGGCCCTGGAGAGGGAGGAAGGGAGAGCAGCCCGCAGGAGTGTGGAAGGTACAGGCCTCAGTCCCCGGGGGGTGCCTCATTAGA
Organism: Homo sapiens; assembly: GCF_000001405.40. NCBI lineage: Eukaryota > Metazoa > Chordata > Mammalia > Primates > Hominidae > Homo > Homo sapiens. The sequence goes on along the minus strand of NW_013171814.1, from coordinate 95,547 downwards.
TTCCTGGCTCCTGATGAGCACTTCCTCTCGGAGGAAGAACACTGAAACAGCAACCCACCCGGGCAGGTAGGCCTAGCCCAATAGGCGGGAGGGCATCCAGGTGGGCATCCAGGTGGGCATCCAGGTGGGCATCCAGGTGGGCATCCAGGTGGGCTCTGTGACGTGCAGGTCCTGCTTTATCCCTGGGTGCCCCTGTTTCCAGGTCTGCCCCCAAAGCCCATAGAAGCCTCCACTGGGCTCCAGCACTGACCACCCACCTGCTCCCTTGGCACCAAACCCAGGCTGCCTGGTGACACCTTCTCCTCCGCCTCTGGGCTGCTACCCAACTCTTGCCCTGCTCTTGAATTTTTTTTATAGGTTTTTGCCTGGTATTGATAAGACTGCGTAATCCTTGAGGGCCCTGCTCCATCCTACACCTGCTTCCATTGCAGGCCCAGAATGGGTAGACGGGCCTGTGGCTCCCCCAGCCCGCCCACGCCCTCTCCAGCACCGTCCTTCCCTCAGAGTGGGCCTCCTCAGCTCTTCCGCCCACTGCCAATGGGCCCGGGCTTTCCTCCAGCCCCACTCCCAGCTCCTAGAATGTTAAAGCCAATGGATGCTGGGAGTTGACTTGCTCCAGCCCCCCACACCCTCAAGGTCACCCAGTCCCAGAACCAGGACTCCAAACCTCTTCCCATGACATTCAAGAGCCTCCTCGAGACAACTCTTCCCAACTAAGACATACTGAGCATCTGCTGTATACACCCTAGAGGCACCAGGGACAGGGAAGTCATAGCTGAAACAAACCAAAACTGTGCAGGGCCACCAGACAGCTGGACAGCCATATCCCTGGCTGGAGTCAGGTGGCTTCCTCACTGCCCCCACTCGTAAAATAGGGTGACATCATGCTTATGGGTCCCGAGTCTGGGTTCCAGTGCTGGCTAAATCACCTTTTCTCTGCGTGCTGTTGGGCGGACTCTGGGCCTGCTTCCTCATGTTTAAAGTAGGCTGATGGTGAAAGTGCCACCTCATGAGGTGCTGTGAGAATCATGTGAAAGAATGAATGAGAAAAGTGCTCAACACCGCTAGGCATACATCAAGCACTCAATTATCAGTTGCAATTGTCACTCGACTTCACAACTGCTATACCTCACTCTGTCTTCTGCATTCTCTCCTACCTCTGCCTCTCCAAATCTCCCCTTTTCCCTCAAGGCCCACCTCTGGGCACACCTCCTCCCTGAAGCCCTCCTTGACTACTCTGGATATCAATGACGACTGCTATCTCTGAACCCCAGATCTCTGCAGATCTCACCACTCCCTAATGCCTCCCAACTCTGAACACCCTGAGTCCTCCTTGGGCCTCAGTCTGGCTCTCTCCTGTATTCCAATCCCTGGGTTGACCTGTTTTGCCAACCTGCAGGAACTCACAGAGATCCATTCTCTCTTCTGTGGACTCTGAAGGTAGATGGGTGAGCCCCACCACCAGCTGTCAAAAGCTTCTGGGTTTATTGGCCAAGAATGAAAATTAACTTGGAGCATGCTAGGAAGGGAAACCAATAGTGCCCTGCTCTGAACCCAGCAATGTGTCCACAAGCACCTGGGGTAAGGCTAGAAAGGGCATCCAAGTGTGGTGGCAGCAGCGCTCCAGGCCTTCCTTCTCAGGCAACGTTCTCTCTGGCATCTGTCTTGGGGTTTCCAGGGTCCCCAGTCAGCTTTCTCCCTCTTGGCAACAGCTCCCTGAACTACAGACCAGCTGGAGCAGAGAGAGTACCGAGCTGTTTCCAGAGCCTGGTGGGAGTGTCCACAGCCCAGAACAGGCTGTGCACAGGCTAGATCTCAGCAGGCTGTGGCCTTGCAGGCCTGTCCAGGTGGTCTTGTGCTATGGTTGCAAGGCAGAACTGGCTCACGTTCGAGAACAGCAACCCTTTCTCTCTACTCATCCTCAAGAACAGCTCAAGCCCACCTCTTAGATGCCACCCTGACCGGCCCAGGTCACAGAGACCCCTCAGAATGCTCATAGCAGCCACTCACTGGGCCCTTGGGCTTCTGCCTGCCCCCACCCCCCCACCACTTTCGATGACCGCCTTGTCCTGCAAGGAGCACAGTCACAAAGCAGAGATTGCTACCGCCTGTGCTGGGGCCACGTCTGGACCATGGTGTGTTCTGGTTAGCCAGTTAGATATTTTAAAAATATTTGAGCTAACGTTTATAAATCAAAATATTTCACATAAAAAGCCACAATTTCTGACTTTTCTTGAAAAAACTGGATGATCGAGCAACACTGGCCCACCTTCTTGCGCTGTAACCATCAGCTAGAGCTAAGAAGTGCTGTCCCCTTCAGACCAGGCAATCAACCCCAGTTCTCTGCAGACCCATACACTCTCTAATGCCTCCCCGCTGCTCACAGCCTCACTCTCACCTGGCTCCCTCACTCACACATGTTACCTGCCTGGCCCCTGTAAGGCATCCGAGTTCGAAAGTCCCCTGCGAAAGAGCAACTAACTGGAAGTGGTCTATGCCTACAAAAATGAGGGCTCCCCCTCAGAACTTGGAAATAAATCAGGACGAAGGATTGCCCTTGGGAGTTACACTGTGAAATAATACATGATAGTCCAGGTCCAAAACAGAAATATGCAAGGTCATTGCAAGCAGAAAGAAAAAAAGGCTCCAGACCAGCAGTACTCAACCATAACCTGGCTGAAGATAGCCACAGCTATTATAGAAGATGGTGTCACTCAGCAGAAACTCGGCTGTGCATACCCAAGCTCCTCCTAGGGACAGGGTGCTCCTGCTCAGTGTCTCAAGGGAGGAAAGGACAGCCCAGGGATGTCCCACTGCTCCTGTAATGCCCCCACCACCCTCCAGCTCAGCCTTAATGTGAGCTGAGTGGCTGCCTCCTTCCCCAGCTAAACTATGAGCTCCTGGAGGCTGAGGACCTGTCTGCTCCTTTCCTTGGACCCTGGGAGCCTGAGCTGACCTCACCATAGACATTCAGTTCCTCTTTTTGACAGTTTCATGATGGATTCCCAGAAAGTAGAAAATGGTCAGCAGCAGGTAACAAATGCTCTGCCCACCTTGGTATTAGCAGACGGCTGCTGATGGGCACAGATGGGTGGCACATTACAAGTGGACCCAGCAGACACAGCTTGGGTGTCAGAGGGCAGGCCCCTCTTCTGCCAGGGAGCCCTCATGTATCCCACACAATGCCTGAAGCATGCTGGACAGCAACCACAGGAATCTCAGACTTGATCCGGTGCCCAGCGCTCTTACAGCTCTCCCTGAATTCTCTACGAACCACAGGGAGGCAAAGAAATCGGCAGCAAAAGCCCAGGGCCCCTGATTCCTGGAGTGGCCTCCAGGCCCAGAGACAACACAGCACAGCTGCCTCTGCCTTTGCTTGGAGGACCCGAGGGAGGGAAACTCCTGCTCAAAGGCAGCTGCCCTTTGACCTTTCCTAAAGCAGGAAAGCAAATCATCAATATTGTATTCCCCACAGATTGTTGGTTTCCAAACTATTTTCCTCTAATATCATACTTGTTTTTCAAATGAAATTATAAACGACTCCCCCCAAATATATAAAAGATAATAAATACCTGTGTTTATTGAGAATTTAGTATGTGCCGGCCCCTGTGCTAAATGCTTGTCATATATTAATTTAATCCTCAAGATCATCCTATAATGTAGGCATTATTTTTGTCCCCCTTGTACAAATTAGGAAACTGAGGACACGAAGGGTTGCTCAAGGTCACCTGGCTAGGAAGAGGCTGGCTCAGAACTGAAACCTGGACAGAATGGCTCCAAGACATGGATACTCTGACCAAAGAGAGTGAGGGTCCCAGAGCTCCACTCCCTCAATGTGCCAGCCCTTGCCCAACATCCCCCATAAGCTGCTAGACCCTGTCGTCCCTCCTGGAGTGGGCATTGGAAACTGCTCCAGATCAAGCCTTTGGGTCCTGTCCAGGGTGCCAGAAGTTATGTACTCTCCAGGGAGTCCGAAGTCATTTAGGGAGGTCTGGAGGGTGGCACTGGGCCTCATGCCCCTGGAGTCTGCACAGCTCAGCATTGTCCTTCCTGCCAGTCAGCTCTTAATAACCCTGCGGCTGCAGTTAGGCAGAGCATGCATCACCACCCCCTGTTACCCTCCCATATGGGGACCCTGGAACAGTATGCCAGTGGCCCAGTGACAGGGCAGGATGATGACCCAGGCATCTGACTCCAATCCTGAGCATTTGCCCTGGACTAGCAATATCTCAGATTCCCACTCCTTGTGGCATGAACCAATGAGTCACTGAACGTTGCCCCCAGGTTGAGCTGAGATAGGGTAGGAGCTCTGAGGAAGGGGGAAAGGGACGGATGAGACAGGTGCAGTCCTTTTGAGCTGCAAAGGCTTCTTCTGGTTAGAGGGTATGAGAAAGCCAAGCTCTGCAGGCCACACATATTTGCAAGCCATATCCACTACCTTGTAGAACATAAAGCCCGATTACAGAGGCCTCCCACAACAGATTGCCAAGCCAGAGACAAGACCTCTTGGCCAAGGCCACATAGAAGGTTCAGGTATGGTTTCCTAGGGTTGGTTTCCCCAGTTACTTCTCTCTGGAACATGATCAAGTAATTGGGAAAACAGGCAGCCAGAAAAATCTAAGTTCCAGTTAATTCCATCAGGAACCCACTCTAGTGTGCGTGCTTGAGAACAGGGACCTTTTCGTTTTTCCCATCATTGTATTTCCAGGACCTGGTATGAAGTGGGCAATCAACAGAAGCCGGAAGGGAGGACTGTGGGCTCCCTCCGAGAGGCCCATGGTGGGCCTCTGTGACCTAAGAGCTCCTCCCACAGGCTAGTCTGGGACAGCTGCAGTGAGGAAGGACTCCCAGGTGCAGCCAGATGCCTTGCAGCAGAGAGCCCACAGGGGGCAGCTCCTGATGGCTGTTCTAATTAGTCCATCAGAGTCTTTGGTCTCTACTTCCCATTATTTCTGTGGTTAATTTCACCCACTAGAGCATGGTAGCAGCAGATAACCTCTTCACACACACAGCAGGAGAAGTCTGTAGCCAGATACAACCGCAGGGAGCAGGCTGAGTGGTTAACTGGCAGATAATTAACTGAGAAATCCCCCACAGCCATCTGCAAACTACACTGAGACATGGAGAAGGAGGGGATATAAGGCCAGAAAGGAGCCTCCCATAGCCTCAACTGTCACTGGATTTCACCCAGAATCCTAGAAGCTTAGAAGTAAAAAGACCTTACAAAGTATCGAGTCAAGTGTTGGAGAGGATGTGGAGCAACTGGAGTCCTCAAACACTGCTCATGGGAATGTCAGATGGTGCAGCTGCTGTGGAAAACCATATGGAATGGTTTGCAATTTCTTGAACCATTAAACATAAACCTTATGACCCAACAATTCCACTCCAGGTATATACCTGAGAAAAATGAAAACACATGTCTACATAAAAACTTGCACACAAATGTTTTTAGTACCATTATTAATAATAGCCAAAAGGTAAAATCTACACAAACATCCATCAACTGATGACTGGATAACAAAATATGAACTATGCATGCAATGGAATATTACTCAGCCATTAGAAGGAATAAAGTACTGATCCACGCTACCACATGGATGAACCTTGAAAATACAAAGCTAAATGAAAGAAGCCAGTCACAGAAGATCACATAAGATTTCATTAATATGAAATGTCCAGAATAGACACATCTAGAGAGACAAAAAGTAGAATGGTGTTTGCTTACAACTGAGGCAGGAAGGAGGCAGGGAGACAAGGGGGTGATAGCTAAAGGGTTTCTTTTAGAGGTGATGAAGGTGGTAAAGGTCACACATATCTATAATTAGACTGAAAACCATTTAATTGTATATTTTAAATGTGTAAATTATAAAATATATAAATCGAATCTGAATAAAGCTGTTAAAAAAGTAATGTACATGGATTGGCCCCATGATTATTGACTTGGGTTGGAATCTCTGGCTTAGTAGCTTGGAGGCCTCTCCAAAAAAACCATAGTTGTTAGAATCATCTAGGACCAAATGAATAAAAGAACATCAATGACAAGCCTTAAAACGCCGGGCGCAGGGGCTCACGCCTGTAATCCCAGCACTTTGGGAGGCCGAGGTGGGCAGATCACAAGGTCAGGAGATCGAGACCATCCTGGCTAACACTGTGAAACCCCGTCTCTACTAAAAATATACAAAAAATTAGGCAGGCATGGTGGCAGGCGCCTGTAGTCCCAGCTAATCGGGAGGCTGAGGCAGGAGAATGGCCTGAATCCAGAAGGCAGAGCTTGCAGTGAGCCAAGATCACACCACTGCACTCCAGCCCTGGGGAACAGAGCGAGACCCGTCTCAAAAAAAAAAAAAAAAAAAAAAAAAACCCTTAAAAAAAAAATCACGGAGTCAGCGGGGTGTGGTGGTTCACACCTGTAATCCCAACACTTTGGGAGGCCGAGGTGGGCAGATTGCCTGAGCTCAGGAGTTCAGCTCATGGGCAACATGGTGAAACCCCATCTCTACTAAAATACAAAAATTAGCCAGGCATGGCGGCATGTGCCTGTAGTCCCAGCTACTCGAGAGGCTGAGGCAGGAGAATTGCTTGAATCTGGGAGGCGGAGGTTGCAGTGAGCCAAGATTGCGCCTCTGCTCTCCAGCCTGGGCAACAGTGAGACTCCATCTCAAAAAAAAAAAAAAAAAAATTTCACTGAGTCTAGGCTCCCACTGAATCTGGAGAACTTGTTTGAAGCTTCCTGGAAGGGTATCTGTTGCCTCACCAAAGATGAGGATGCATCTCATGGTGCAGCTCCAGCCAGCCAGCAAGCCAGCCACCCATCTATATCTATTCATCCATCCATCCACCCAGCAATCCACCCACCTACCCACCATTCATCCATTCATCCATCCATCCATCCATCCATCCTTCCATCCATCCACCCACCCACCCATTCATCCATCTATCCACCCAGCCAGCCATCCACCCCCCCATTTATCCATCCATCCATCCACACATTCATCCATCTATCCATCCATCCATCCATCCATCCATCCACCCACCCACCCACCCACCCACCCATCTAGCCATCCATTCACTCACCTATCCATCCATTCATCCACCCATCTAGCCATCCATCCATCAATCCACTCATTCACATATCCATCCATCCATCCATCCATCCATCTACCCACCTATCTAGCCGTCCATCCCAATCCACCCATTCATGTATCCATCCAACCATCCATCTACCCATCCATCCACCCACCCATCGGTCCACCCACCTGCCCTGCATCCATCCATCCATTCATCCATCCATCAATCTACCCACCCACCCATTCATCCATCTGTCCATCCACCCACCTATCCACCCACCCATCTATCCATCCAACCATCCATCCATCCATCCATCCATCCACTATCTAGCCATCCATTCATCCATCCATTCACCCACCCACCCATCTAGCCATCCATCCATCCATCCATCCACCCATTCTTATCCATCCATACATCCATCTATCCATCCATCCACCCATCTATTCATCTACCCATTCATTCATCCACCCATCCATTCATCTACCCATTCATCCATCCATCCATCCACTCATCTAACTGTCCATTCACCCACCCACCTGTCTAGCCATCCACCCATCCATCCACCCATTCTTATCCATCCATCCATCCATCCATCCATCCATCCATCCATTCATCCATCCATCCATCCATTCATCCACCCATTCATCCATTCGTTCACCCACCCATCCATCCACCCATATGTCCATTTAAAAAACACTAACTCAAGCTTGGTATTGAATGTTACGGACACAAAACGAAGGGCAGAGAAGCGATCACACAGTTATGACATCAAGGGTCAAGTGCTACAGGGGCCCAGAGAAGCAGCACCAACATAGGAGAGAAACACCAAAAACGTTATTTTTGATCTGCTTGCTCCACTTGACAGAAAAATGAAAACACAACTATTAGACATTAGAACTAGAAGAGATCTTAGAAAGCAAAGTCATCAACTGTAAGGCTCACCATTATTTTATGAACCACAGAGAAAATATGCTGTCAATTAAGCTATGCCATAATGCCTTCATGATAGTCTTACATGTAGACAAATTGCTCACGCAGGCCTCACCTGGCTCTGAGACTGTTTCATCTCTTCTGAGTCAACTTCTGGCAATTTCTTCCACCTTTCGTGGCATTGTTTAGCATGCATGAGACTGACAATTCTTACTGTTTTATGAGATTGCAGTCTTTCCTCCAACAATATTTGCTTCTCTAATATTAAATTGGTGCCCCACTGCTCTGTCTTCTGGCCCTTCTGCTAATAAATCATGATGAGACCCTTTTGTAGACACCTTTAACGACATTCATACTCAATACATGGCTAATCAACAACAAACCTCTTTTAATGGAGGATGTGACACTATGAACAGTAGGCCCATGTTCACACAGGCTCAGGCCATGACGACTATGTCCTGCCTGTCATCTGGCAACAGCAAGGGTGCTATGCCAGCGATAGTAAGATGCAGCCTGATTTAAGAAACATTAAGATGTGAAATGAACATGCCTCCTAGCATCAGTGAAACGAGCAAGCCAATTCTTCATATTATAGGTGAGGAAACATACCCACAGAGCTATGATATGACACACCCCAAATCCCAGAGCCTGGACTAAAATTCTTGCTTCCTGAGATTTGTGCCAATGTCTTTTATTTCTCATCCCTCAGGCTGCCTCCAGGAAACTGCCATCCCTAAGCTTGTCTTCCATTTTCTTGCTTCAAAACAAAAGTGTTTTAGAGCATACAAGACAGTGAGTTGAACATATCAGTATATGCAGTCTTGGTCCAAGAAGCCAGTGAGGGTGGGTGATGGGGGCCCTTGTCTCAATGCCATCTCAGAACCCTGCTTCAATGTGTCAGTAAGCAAAGAAAGACCATTAGTTTATAGCTGTCCTGAGACTGCATTTCCACTCCCCACAGGCTGGTCCCCAGGCTGTCATTCAATAATATTGTGCCATGTTTACAGATGAGGCTGGCCAGATGTTTTCTCAGACTCATATAACTCTCCCTACAGGAAGGACCCTCGGGGGGACAGCTTTCCCATCAGATCGCCTATGAGAAAGTCTGGCAACGCCCTTGCCAAACCCAGTGTTAAAAATCATTATTCCTGTTGTGCACGCACAGAATATATAGAGATCAGAAGGCTGCTAAATTGATTCTCAGTGTCTAAACATGCGGTCAGTACATCTACCTCACAGAGCAGTAGATCAAGGTGGGGGAAAACACATTTTTCTTTTGGGAGCCTGGAATCGCCGGGCTGGACCCTTGAAATTAACACAGATTAACACGATCAGGTCCTCTTTGCTTCTACAAAAGCTCTTTTTACTTTTCCTATAGCTAGATAAAGAACGGGCCTAACACCTTAGTGGTGAGGGCAGATCTCAGTTCAGCTGAGCTGAGATACCCTTCTCCGCAGGCCAGACCAAAGCCTGAAAGGACCATCATCCAAATTGGAAATGTGTCTACCCAACACGTAGGAGAGCAGTGGCCTAAGGAAACACAGTGTCTACGTGGCTGAGAGAGCAAGGAGGCGCCTCTCAGATTTCAACAAGCTTAACATTCTCACCAGGGACATGCCAATGTAAAATGTCACCAGTATGAGACAGGCTGCACTGGGATTGATGTAGCAGGAGGCTACTCAGGGCTGGCTGGGAATATTGCAGGGAAAGGGAAGAACTGGTTTGGCTGCAAAAGATAATGAAGAATTTGTCTATCTCATCCAGCACTATTCAGGAGAGGGGATGGAGAGACTGCCAGGAAAAACCCCAGCATTCCAGTCTGATTTATAGTGACAAGCCAAGAACAGAGCTGGGGACACCGAGATATCAGAGCTCAGAAGAAATATCCCTTCAGCTCACCCAGTAGCCTTTGCTCTGGCTCTGTCCTTGACTCAAAGCGCAACAAACGCCTGTCACTTCCTCAGTGTCTGCCAGGCACTGTGCTAGACCTTGGGATACCAAGGCGAATGAGAGATGGGCTCTGCTCAAGGACATCCCCAGAGTGGCAAGGAGAAGACAGAGTATGAAGTGACAAGGACAGCATAGGAAATCCTGCCCAGAGCCACATCTGCTTGCTCCAACTGACAGAAAATTAAAAACACAACAGTTACAAAGGTGCCCATGGGGAGTGACACACAAATGAAGCACATACAGACACAGGCTTCGGAGCTCATCGCCACCGCCACATGACCTTCAGGAAGTTCCTGAACTCTTGAGGCCTCAGTCTCCCCAGCGCCAAGTCACTCTTGTTACTTCCTGTGTCAGCCCCAGCTCCCCACCCTGGGAGCTCCCTAGAAGCAAGCAATGATGGGGCGCATCTATTGCATGCCTCGGGGGTTGGGGGCAGACTCTGCACACACTCAGGTTTGATTGCTTTTAGTGCTCTCAACCCCATGGGGTGCATGCTATTAGTCTCTCCAATTGACAGTGAGGAATCAGAGGCATGGAGATTATTAGACACATTGGTTGGCAGCTAGGTGAGTTGTCCCTTCTCACCTCACACCCTCAAAGTGGATTGGCCACTTGGAGGGTGTCACAGGTAGGAAAGCTTTGAGGTCACTGGGCTGGCTCAGGGAAGCCCCGTGACAGGCCAGGTAAGGCTGGGTCACGGCACCCTCTGTTAGGGCTCATCACATCACACTGGGGGCCTTGTCCATCTACGCAAGACACAGGGGTCACCCTTTCGCCTCCTAACTCCAGCACATGGTACCCACCCTGTCGCTAGAGGAGATCTCCTTCTAATCCTCTGGATCCTGTGAGCACAGCCAGGTGCCTGTGGACATGGGCAGTGCAGAGGCCAGCTGAGCAGGAAGGTGCTGGCATGAGGGGGACAGTCTGGTGGGCACTAAGACGTGCCCACACTCAGCTACAGACATGGCTTGCTAGCTTATTCAGCCCTCAGGAATTGTTTACGAAGGGCTGTAATAACCCGGGATTGCTCATGACACCATGATATGTAGGAAAGAAAACACAATTTTTAATAGACCCTGAAATCTCAACTACATGAAAATACATAGAAATAGGACTGTAAACTACAAATATCCAAAGACATCTTTCAGAGGTGGTATTAGGACTAACTTTTCTCCTTTTGCTGTTTCTGTATTTTCTTTTTATCTCCCCAAAATGAGATTTTGGCATTTTTATGAACAAGAAAAAAAAAAACCTTTAAGAGGAAAAATGTAAAGGTTGGCTGTTGACCCCCCTGGCTAGAACACTGGTTCTGAGGAGTCTGTGTCCTTTCAGATCCGGTCACATGCTGGACATACGGAGGGCATGCCTATCAGTGTGAGGCCCCGGCCACACCCTGGGCCAATAGAACCATCTGCTCAGACTCCTCCAGCAACACTGCTTTACAGTTCGCCAGGCCTTTCCAACACCCATGAGCTGATCGGCAGAGAGGAGATTTTCTGCTCTGTTAAAGCTCTCAGGCCCCCGTCGGGTGGGCAGTCCTCCCACGCAGAGAGGTCTAAAGTCTTCAGGTCAAAGGTGGCGGCATCCTATCCATTGATCACTCCATGCACCACTATTGAATCTGGAATCTGCTCCACTCGTATAGGGGCAGGGGTGAGAAAGAGTCTTGCTGGGATTGTCCCCTGCCCTTTCTCCAGGAAAAAGGCTGGGGTTGGAGGTGGAGACTAATCACAGTGTCTCCGTTCTGGGTCTCTTGCAAGGAAGATAGTCCCCATAAAGTACTTTTGGCCCATGCTGAATACTTCACTACATTCAAGAAATGCTGATGTCCTTATTGGTGCTATCATGCTCATTCTTGCCCTGCGTGCTGTTATAGAACCCTCTCTGTTGACCACAATGGTAAGTACAGGAGCCTGCCCGCCCACACCACCATGCCGTTTCACCGTTTCATGGCCCTCTGAGCTGCAGATCCTTCTGGCTGGCAAATACCAAAGGGTTCCCAAGTTCTGACCTTAAATTTTAAATGCACAGAGATGATACCTGCCATGAGCTTATTGCTGGCTCCCCTCAACCTCAGCAGGCCCTGCTGCATATATTCTGAGTCTGTGTATTGCTGGAGGCAGGACAGGCTTCATGCACTCCTGAGCATCCTTGGAAGGTGCTACCTTGGCCTCAGAGCGGAGAGGTGCCTGCCACACCTTCTCTCCTTGCTAATGACAGCACACTTCCAACTTCCTTCAGGCTGAGCCTCTGAAAACTTAAATATGAATGAGCAGAAGTTCACAGGCTAAGTTAGGTGGTTTTGATTGTTCGTTTGTGACTTATAAAGCAACTATGGTTCAGGGGATGCCTGTGATGTTCCTTAGGTTGCCAAGTAGGAAAAATCTGGAGCCCTGGTAAGACCATCAGAGCCTCCGCCAACTCCCCATTACCCTCAGCTGGGGTTTCCCTGCCCACCCAGGCCATCTACCCACTGTTTCAGAGTCTGGAGCTTACTGCAGGCCCACTGGAAGTCTAAGGGTTTGGCTTCAGGGTGCCGCAGCCAGAAGATGAGCTGGAAAGGCTGAAAGGGCATTGGAATAGAGGGTGATAGAGGCTCCATCCTAGGCCCTGCTGCAGGCAGAGATCCGTCCCCTGCACTGGCCACTGGGTCTCCTCATCTGAAACAGCCAAGTTCTCAGGCTGGAAAAGAGAACACCCAGCGTTGGCCCTCCTCCAGACAAGAGGGCTGGAGCTGCATGCCAGCACACAGGCTGCTTCCTCAGCCCATTCTGCCCAGACAACTGCTATCCACCTGTGTTAGGCCATTCTCACATTGCTATAAAGGAATACCTGAGGCTGGGTAATTTATAAAGAAAAAAGGCTTCATTGGTTCATGGTTCTGCAGGCTGTACAAGCATTGCACCAGCATCTACTTGGCTGCTGGGGAGGCTTCAGGGAGCTTTCACTCATGGCAGAAGGCAAAGTGAAAGCAGGCACGTCACATGGCCAGGGCAGGAGCAAGGCAGGGGTGGGGCGGGGGGAGGGTACCACACACTTTTAAACCAGGTCTCACGTGAACTCAGGGAGAGAGTTCGCTTATCACCAAGGGGATGGCACCAAGCCATTCATGAAGGATCCATCTCCATGATCCAAACACCTCCCACCAGGCCCCACCTCCAACACTGGAGATCATATTTCAACATGAGATTGAGAGGGGACACATATTCAACACATATCACTACCCTTCAAGTCCCAGCCTGCATGCCTTCCTTCCCAGGGCTGGCTTTCTGGTGACTGTTAGCTGACTGGTCATCTATCCAGTCACAGGTCTGTCTCCCGCTGGAGGCTGTGGTTCCCTTAACTCTATGTCTTCCTCCTTTTCCTGCTGCCTCATGCAAGGTAGGCAGTCAGCAAATCGATGATAAATGAATGAGGCAGTGAACGAAGAGGCCAGTTGATGTTACACTTCTTCGTTCACTGTTCTATCCTATGTTGCACTAGAACTTTATCCTCCAACATTTGCCCCTTATTCCACCCACTCAGCATCCCCAGGAGACCAGGAATTTGGGGCAGGGCCCACATGATGCAGTGGAGGTGGAAGATATGGCTTTACACCTTCAGGTTGAGGAGCCATTAAAAACAGCAGTCACTGCTAGTTGAATCTGGAAAATCCATTCTCTCCTTCCTTATTAACAGAATCCTTATAACACTGGGGGAGAAAATGTACCTAGAGAAAAACTACATTTTGCAGCCTCCCTCACAGATAGGAGTGACCAATGAGGTGTAAAGGGAAGTTACTGAACCCTTTAAAGGAACTGATTCCAGACATGTGCGGTGGCTCACGCCTGTAATCCCAGCACTTTGGGAGGCCGAGGTGGGCGGATCACAAGATCAGAAGATGGAGACCATCCTGGCTAACACAGTGAAACCCAATCTCTACTAAAATACAAAAAATTAGCCAGGTGTGTTAGCACACACCTGTTGTCCCAGCTACTCGGGAGGCTGAGGCAGGAGAATCGTTTGAACCCGGGAGGCAGAGGTAGTGAGCCAAGGTCCCGCCACTGCATTCCAGCCTGGGTGACAGAGCAAGACTCTGTCTCCCAAAAAGAAAAAAAAAAAAAGAAAGAAAGAAAAGAAAAGGAAAAGGGACTGATTCCATTGGCACATGCCTTTTGCTCTTCCCACTTTCTCTTTCTTGTCTGGATTGTGGATGTGATGAATGGAGTTCCAGCAACTCTCTTGGGCCATGAGACAACTTTGAAGATAGCGGTCAACTATTACACAGGGCAAAGCAGAAAGATAGAAAGAGCTTGGGCCCCTGTGATCACAGAGCCCTCACACGAGGCCTGAGCTGCCTGCCTGTAGACGTAAGAAAGAAATAAAGGAGTATGTTGTTTAAACCTCTGTTCTTTGGATTTTCTGTTCTATGTCACCGTGGTAAGCAGCTTTCTAAGATGGTGTTGAATAATCCTTGCCTCCTCCCATTCATGATCTGTGTAATCTCCTCCCTTGACTGTAGGCTGAACCTGGTGACTTGCTTCTAACAAATAGAGTATGACAAAGGTGATAGGATGTCACTTCTGTGATTCAGTTACAAAAGACCATGACTGCCACCTTGTTGACTCTACTGCCTCCTCAGCTTGCACGATTTGATGAACCAGCTGCCATGCTGGAGAGGAACTGTGGACAACTCAGTCCAACAGGCTGCAAGGAACTGAATCCTGTCACCACCCACACACATGAGCTTGGAAGTGGCTCTTCCCGCAGTTGAATATTGCCTCAGCTGACACCTTGATTGCAGCCTCGGAGAGATCCCAGAGCAAGGGATTCAGCTAAGCAGAGCTCCAATTCTTTACCAGCATAAACCATGAAATAACAAATGTATGTAGTTTAAGGCTGGGCACAGCACTTTGGGAGACCAATGTGGGAGGATCGCTTGAGTCCAGGAGTTCGAGACCAGCATGGGCAACATACAGAGACCCCAACCCTACAAAAAAATAAAATATTAGCCTAGTGTGGTGGTGTGCACCGCTGGTCCCAGCCATTTGGGAGGCTGAGGCAGGAGGATTACTTGAGACTGGGAGGTTGAAGCTGCAGTGAGCTGTGATCACACCACTGCACTCCAGCCTGGGTGACAGACTGAGACCCTGTCTCTCTAAAAAAAATTAATTAATTAAAAAATAAATGTACGTAGTTTCAGCTAAGTTTTGGGGTAATTTGAGGGGTAATTTATTACACAGCAATAGACAGCACAACCAACAATCCTAATCCTAACTGAGACCTGGAAGGGAGCCGCTCCCACTCTCCCCTTTGCTCTCAGTCCCCTCGTCTGGATAAGAGGCTGGGCTGGGTGAGCTCTAAGGTGCCTGCCACCTTTAAAATCCTAGAATCCTATGACTTACCCAAGGATAGGCCACAAGAAGCCCAGGTGCCAGGTCCCCTGACCCCATCCCTTGGGTGGCCAGGCTCGGGGGTCCATTTCCTCATGCCTGCTTAGTGCTGATTCTTTTGTTCATTGTGACTTGATGCTTCGAGACAGGGAAGGGAAGACGGATGTCAAGATGACCTTTCCAATGCCTGGCACCGGAGACTTGGCACCACTCAGCTCACGGCCACCTCCCTCTTGGCAGACTGGAGGCCTTCAGGGCCCAGCAGGCCCTGACAGCAACTCCTGCAGTTCATCAAGACAAGGGCCTCAGCTCTCTCAGCCTGGCCCCAGGGACTTGCAGCACATCCTCAGGGCATGCTGCAGCCTGACTGAACGCACCAGGTGAGGAGGAGGCCCAAGCGGGGCAGTTCTCGTTCCTTGGATAGTTCTAGTCTTCTCGATCTATCAAAAATAAACTCCTGTGGGGAGCTCAGATTGGGCCAGCTTCAGGATGGGCACAGGAGGGGGACAGTTATCTGCTGTGGGTGCATGGATTTCCGGCACCTTGCTTTTTGCCAACAAGGTCACAACGTGCACCTGGTGTTTCCAAGTGAGGAGGGAAGGGGCAGAGGCCGGGATGGAGGGAGGGTTGGAAAGTGGTGGCTGGAGAATGTGTGAGGACTCATTCCAGAAATCCCTACGCTGCCCTAAATGCCAGGCCCCACAAACAGCTCAGGCCTCAGCCCCTGGGCCTCTGCCGGCTACTCCATAGCCATTAGGCCAGCTCACAGACCTGCCACGTGGCAGTCAGGAGCACAGATCCATGCTTCAACAACTGTGGGGCCTGGAGCAAGCAGGACTGGCTATATAATTTTCGAGGCCCAGTTGGGGCGGGGTGGGGTGGGGGTGGGGAAGAATGAAGGGCTTCTTGCTCAAAATAAAAATTTCAAAACAGTGACTATGGAGTATTAACCAAACATGAACCCTTCTGAGTGTGGGACCCCGTGCATCCGCATGGGGTGCAGGCTCAGGAAGCCAGCCGGTGAGCAAGGCATCCCCCAGGACCCGCCGGAAAAGGGTAGGCCAGACTGCAGCCACAGTTCACGACACCAAAGAAACTGTCTGCTGCACATTGCAGGAGTGGGGGAAGGGGGCAGATAGGAGGGGGGGCTTGTGTTCATAGGAGGGATCTGTGGCACAGGAGAGGTAAAAATTCACCTCTTTGGTCCATGTCATCTGGTTGATAGGAAACAGTCCTCTAAGAAATTGTTCAGGAGCCTCTATCACACAGTGCATAACTAAATGCCAGATATTCTGAAAGAAAAGGATCTGAATGGGTTCCCAGCATCACTGGGCCTGGCCCTAACCCCACCTGAGGCAAAGGTATATCCTCACCTTGGCCTGCTCACCTCAGCCAGCCACCTTCATCTATAGGCCTCATTCCTATATCTATAAATAAGAATAATATCTTAAAAAAAAAAACAAACAAAAAACCTCCCAGAGTTTAAGAACATAAAAGTCAGCTTTAAAATACAAAAGAATTCGAATTGGCCGGGTGTGGTGGCTCACACCTGTAATCCCAGCACTTTGGGAGGCTGAGGCGGGCGGATCACGAGGTCAGGAGATCGAGACCATCCTGGCTAATACGGTGAAACCCCGTCTCTACTAAAAATACAAAAAAATTAGCCGGGCATTGTGGCAGGCGCCTGTAGTCCCAGCTACTCGGGGAGGCGGAGGCAGGAGAATGGCATGAACCCGGGAGGCAGAGCTTGCAGTGAGCCGAGATCGCGCCACTGCACTCTGGCCTGGGCGACAGAGCGAGAGTCCGTCTCAAAAAAAAAAAAGAAAAAAAAAAGATTTCTAGTTACATATTATTAATATCAATAATGATGACAATAATGAGGATAATTTTGCTTTAATTCAACCAAGTCCTTCAAATGCACTACAAACTTGCCCTTTTCTGCGAAGTCTTAAGAATCCCAGCGGAGGTGTTGACGCCCCTGCTCTCCATCTTGGGTGCGTTCCCCAGCTGAGGGTCTCCCGGGCATTTCTGCCAACTGTACACTGACCAGAGGGAATCTCCGCCTGAGCTTCCTCCTGCACCTTGAATGCTGCCATGCTCCCACCAGATACAGAGCCCCCTGATGATGCCCAGGGTGAGAGGAACAGGAGAAAACTTCACAGGCATCCTCTAAAAATGTTCCTGCTCATCTGAAGGCAGGACATGGGCTGTATAGACACCAGCCCAGCTGTGGTTCCACTGCTTCTGGGCCTCCCAGATCCCCGCTGCCTCCATTCCCTGATCCGCGGCAGCCTGCCTCTCCGGAACAAGAGGAAGCCCCCAGATGTTTTGCAGCGATTCCCTTTGTTCCTCTTTCCCTGGGGCCCAAGGAGCTAAAGGCCACCTGTGAACGGCAGGCAGGCTTGGATTCTTCCCGGCTGATGAGAGCGATTAGTCCCCGCCACTCCCTGCTAATCGCTATCCTCAGCACTGCCAGGCAGAGGCCTGCACACAGTCTCCAACTGTTAACAATGACAAAAGTTGCGTGTCATGGGAATGACAGTGGCCGAGGCAGGCTCGCGCTGGTTATTAATCCACTCACTGCACTTGAGTGGTTGCCCACGCACAGCTTCTCCCATGAGGCCAAGCCCCAGCATCCACTCCTTGCCCACATGGGAACGGAAGGCCAGGGAGAGCTGTTTTCTTTTTCTTTTTCTTTTTTTTTTTTTTTTGAGACAGGGTTTCACTCTTGTTCCCCAAGCTGGAGTTCAATGGCGCAATCTCGGCTCACCACAACCTCTGCCTCCTGGGTTCAAGCGATTCTCTTGCCTCAGCCTCCCGAGTAGCTGGGATTACAGGCATGCGCCACCACACCCAGCTAATTTTGTAGTTTTTAGTAGGTTTCTCCATGTTGGTCAGGCTGGTCTCAAACTCCCAACCTCAGTTGATCCGCCCACCTCAGTCTCCCAAAGTGCTGGGATTACAGGTAGGTGTGAGCCACTGCACCCAGCCAGGAGAGCTATTTTCAAACCAACCCAGGAAGCTGGGGTCTCTCGGCAGCTAGAGAGCTTTACAATAAGGTATTCACTGGTATCTAGGTTAATTGGGTCAAGGGTGAGAACTGCTCCTAAAACCCACAGATAATACCGGGGTGTTTCAGTAGAAAAAGCACAGCACTGACCAGGCATAGTGGCTCACACCTGTAATCCCAGCGCTTTCCGAAGCAGAGGCAGGAGGATCACTTGCAGCCAGGAACTTGAGACCAGCTGGGGCAGCAAAGTGAGATCCCATCTCTACAAAAAAAGAATTTTTAAACTAGCTGGGCATGGTGGTGCATGCCTGCAGTACCAGCTGCTTAGGAGGCTGAGGTGGGAGGATTGCTTGAGCCCAGGAGCTGGAGGCTACAATGAGCTATGATTGTGCTACTGCACCCCAGCCTGGGCCACAGAGCGAGACCCTGTCTCTAAGAAAAAAGAAAAGAAAAGAAAAAGTGCAGCACCAGAAATGCAAAGGGCTGGGTAGGTCCATTACTTACTCTAACTATCAATTTCCAAGTCTGTAAAATGGGGTTACAAGTACTGGCCCTGCCTACCTGCCAGGGTTGCATGAGGAAATGCGCACCACAATGATAGCTATGTGAGTGGCTACTGGGAGCTAAGCCTTTAGCTGCACTCTCTTCAGTTCTGCCTCTAATCTGAAGAATGGATCCCTAGAAATGAGGAAACTGAGGCTCAGAAAGGTTCAGACACCAAGGTCACACAGCAGGTAAGGGCACATACTGGACGTGGGGCCAGGGACCTGCCAGGCTGGTGTTGACCTTTTCTTGATGCTGAGTCTGTCTTCTCCCATGTGTCCTGCTCAGAGCTCCAGGCCAGCCTGTTCTGTCCTTGTGGGCAGCCATTGCCTGGAGCGGTGGGTACCACATCAGAGGGTGGCCCATCCACAGCCAGCCTGGGACCCACAAGGTGGGGTGATGGGAAGACTGCCTTAGAAGAGTCAGGGTAATTATAATGAGTGAGGCCATCGGACTGCCTCCTGAGTAGATCTGAGCTATAGAACATGAGATGGGTCAGCCAGTCTCCATGGACAAGGGAGATGGATCAGTCACTAGACAGGAGCTGAGACGTGCTAGGAGCATCTTCCCACACTTCCCAGGTTGGTTTGGAAATAGCTCTCCCTGGCCTTCCCTTCCTGAGAGAGCAGGTCCCAGGGGCTTCCTCCATTTCTGAGATCTGCCTGTTTCAGTCCATATGCACCTTGCAACATGTCCCGTAATGCTGTGTCTGGCTGTGTCTGGCTGACTCCAACTCTCACTCCATGGCTGTTGTCCAAGTTCCTCTGGGAGAGGACTGATATTCACACTATGGGGTAAATGACTAACATAATAAGCAGGTCTCAGTGGTGGGGGCGGGGTGGAGGGTGAGGAGTGGCAGAAGCCAGTGGAGCCTGGGAAGTAGCACAGAAAGAGGGGCAGGAAGTCATCCGAAATGGATGTCTGCTTTTTCCCAATTTGCGTGCTCCCGAGGGTGTGGCCATCCTCTTCTGGTCTCTGGCGAAGGTGGTGCCTGGAGGGAGTCCCACCCTGATAACGGCCTGGCCTCCTGGGCAGCATGGTTCCAGGGAAGGGCAAAGGATTTGATGTCCAGAAGCCCAAATCTAGTGGCTCTGCCATTAACTGTGTGACCTTGGGCAAGTCACCGCCCTGGGCCACCCCAGTCTTTCTTCTCTGCAGAAAGGGTGCACTGGACTATGTCACTCCGAGGCCCTGTCCAGTTCTGATCCTTCCAATTCTGAGGTGTTTGCTCACTTTCTTCCCAGCCCCCTTTCCCACAGGCCTCCTGGTTGACACAAAGGCAGGGGCAGGCCAGTTCCGGGCAGGCCCAGCAAGGTCCATGCCCCTTGGGCACCAGCTGCGCTGCACAGCAGGCCCTGCTGTCCTAGCTCTGGCTCCGGGCCAGTGTTCTGCCCTTTCTGGCATCCAGTGTGGCCCCAGAGCAGCAGCTGAGGCTGGATTCCAGACTAAATATGGAGCCCCAGAGCCAGGCTTCTGCCTCATGAGGCTTGGGTCCCAAACTTCCACGGCTATGGACTCGCATACCACCACGCCCCCGCACCCCTGAAATGCTGATCCACAAACTCTGCACATGGGCAAAGGCCAGACACAGGTCAGGAGGGCCAGAGCAACAATGAACTTCCAGAGCAATCAGAAAAACAGCAGCACGAGGCACTCGCCTGTAAAGGAAAGCAGGGGCAGGCCTACCAGCTCAACCCAGCAGTGAGGGACGCATGACCGCACGTCCCAGAGCACGAACAAGCTTAGTTTCCAAAGGGGAAAATGACAAAAAGTGAAAGAATAAAAGTGATGCTTCCGTGAGGTGGCTCTGCCCCACCCTAGGCTGAAATGTATAATCTCACCTGGAAAGATGGCCCAGGTGACCTCTGTCCTCCATCTCCCAGCTCCCCCCACACAAAGAAGCATCCAAGACTAGCAAAATGTTTATTAATGATACAGGTCTTACAAATACAATGCTGAGAACTTTCAACCTCAAAGGCCAGCTAAATCCACCCACAAGGTGAACCAGTGTGACCCACACCTCACGGTCCCTCTCTAGCACCACAAAAACAAGTGACATGGACCACACTGCATTAGCTCAGCTGTGTCCTCCCTCCTAAAAGGCATGTTGGACCCCTAGTCCCTAGGACCTGTGAATGTGGCCTTATTTGGAAATAGGGTCTTTATAGATGTAAACAAGTTAG
This sequence comes from Homo sapiens, assembly GCF_000001405.40. Taxonomy (NCBI): domain Eukaryota; kingdom Metazoa; phylum Chordata; class Mammalia; order Primates; family Hominidae; genus Homo; species Homo sapiens. The sequence continues at coordinate 74,491 of NW_013171814.1, read as the reverse complement.
GATGGGGTCATACTGGAACCCTAATCCAGGGACTGGGGTCCTTATAAGAAGAGGGAAATTTGGACACAGACACACAAGAGGAGAGTACATGTGAAGATGGAGGCAGGCAGGGGACCGGCATAGCCCTGGATCTGCCAGCCCTAACATGCCAAGGACTGTTGGGAGCTGCCTCGAGCCAGGAGAAAAGCTGGAACAGACTCCCCCTGACGGCCCTCAGAAGGAAACAGCCCTACAGATACCTTCATTCTGGACTTCCAGCCTCCAGGACTAAAAGAATGAGTTTCTGCTGTCTTAAGCCCCCCAGGTTGTGATAATTCGTGACAATAGTCCTGGGAAACTCATACACGCAGGCATGAGAGTCCCTGCCACAAACCTCCAACGACGTGACCCAGCATTTGCCCCTTCCCAGAGCCCTGGTTTTCTTAAAAAGTTGGGCTGGATTTGCTCCGACATGCAGCCCAAGGGTCTTGGATCTACTTAACCTCTGGAGGATTATGGGAGACAGGGGCGCCGGGTACATGTAGAGAGGGAGGGGAAAGGGAAAAGTCCGGTGCCCTCAGCCACTGTGTGGCTGAGGAGGTGGCAGAACAATCAGAGGGAAAAGTCTGACCTTGATCAAGGATAAGTCCAGTTCAGCTGCGCAAGCCTGCATTGGGCCCCTCCTGAGATGGGGAAGGGTAAAGAGACAGCAGTGACTCCCGCAGGGAGCCCGCCACAGGACAGCGGTGTTCTTTGTTTTAAATTTGGATCAAAGCAATAAAGGAAGACTGGGAGCAGGAGAGACTGTAGGAGGCCAGACCTCAGAAGATGCAGCCAGGAGAAGGAAGGACGGATGTGGAGCGAGCCGGGCAGGGGCAGGACAGACAGGTCAGGGAGGGTGGGGGCAGGGGTCAGGAGAGGCAGGATGCCATGTGTTTGGGGGATCAGCTAGGTGACAGGAAAGCCAGACAGGGACTGTGGATGAGGATCGCGAGCTAGATTTGGGACCACATGGTCTGAGACATCTGAGGTCCAGAGGTCCCTAAGGCAGCCAAGTGGGAGCTGGATTGGGCTCAGAAGACAGGCCTGGTGTGGAGCACACAGGTGCCAGGCAGGGCCACCTGAGAGGGCCAGAGGGTCTAGGAAGAGAGCAAGTGGAGAAGTGGCTGGGATGAAACCCCACCTTTGACAGGCCACAGAGAATGGGTTCTGGGGAATGCTGGAAAGCATGAAAGGCCTGGGGTGGTAGAGAAAGTGGAATCAGGGAGAGTGGGCTGGGGGGTGTCCTCTGTGGGAGAGGCCATGAGGATGCGAGCAAGGAAGAATGCCCATGGAGCTGCCACTTAGGAGGGTCCCAGTAATTCCCGGCTCCCCACAAGGCACAGAGGTCCTCGAAGGGTTGCTCAGTTCTGAGCCTCCCCGGGGAGATGCCCCATAAACAGTTACTGAGAAAGGAGAGAAGGAAAAGGTGGGATGAGCCAAGAGAGTAATTTAACCACATTTTCCCACTGTCAAGCACATCCATGCCTTCTCTCAGTGACTCCACAGACCCCAAGATGCCTTTGGTAAAATGGAGAAAGGCGATTGGCTGTGTGTAAGTAATCCTCTTTTCAGACACACGTAAAACAGCATAAATCAGGTAGAAATTTGATGGAATGCAAAAACGTCAAAATGGATTTTGTTTTTCATAACCCAGATGCTAAAGAAAAAATCTAAAACTAACCTGTCTTACAGGTGTCATAATCTTTTGGGGGAAAAAAGAAAAATACAGCTAAAACTCGAACTTGCAGATATTTAGAGCTGAGAATGACCTGGAAGTTTACTTAGTCACAGCCTCTCCTTTTACAGATGAGAAAAGTGAGGCCCCAAAAAGCTGGCTTGCCCACAGTCATGCCATGCATTAGTAACACAGCCAGGACTAGAACCCAGGCCTCTGAACTCCCTCCCAGGCCTCTGCTATCCGGCATGCCACAGCACAGACCAGACCAATGCCAAGCAAAATCAGATTCCATGCAGAACACCATGATGCCCACAGTGGTAGCTGGGAGGTTTAATTGTATTAAAAATTGTACCCTCAATGGCTTGGAGTTTTCGTTATTATTTTTAAAAGTGGCAGCCAGGCGCGGTGGCTCATGCCTGTAATCCCAGCACTCTGGGAGGCCGAGGTGGATGGATCATGAGGTCAGGAGTTCGAGACCAGCCTGGCCAACATAGTGAAACCCCATCTCTACTAAAAATACAAAAATTAGCCGGGCATGGTGGTGCGCACCTGTAGTTCCAGCTACTCAGGAGGCTGAGGCAGGAGAATCGCCTGAACCTGAGAGGTGGAGGTTGTGGTGAGCTGAGATCATGCCACGGCATTCCAGTCTGAGCAACAGAGCAAGACTCCGTCTCAATTAAAAAAAAAAAAAAAAAAAAGAATGTGGCTTAGTTCACTTTTTACAACACTAGAGTGGCCACAGTGGGTTGTGTAGGTTGTACAGCTGTGTTCTGAACAGGGGAGCCTGGCTAAGGGACCCAGGACAGGTTGAACTTACCTGGGTGCCACTCACTAAGCCCTAAACTTAGGATGGTGCTGTATGAGACAGGGAAGAAGCAGTTTTTCTAATGTTCCCAAAGACACTGTGTAGGAGTGGTGGCCTGATACCGCTTTGGAGTGAATCTGTTCCAAGCCTCTGAGTCTGGGTAGAGATAATATTTTTTGAAAACTGGAAACTAAGGAGGTACCCTATAAATTAAGACTCTAACTAAAATAAAAGAAAGACATAAATACATCAAAAATAGCAAAATGAGCAGAGCATAAAAAGCAAATTTATAAAGGAAGCAACAGAAACAGGTTATAAATTCCTGAAAAATCTTCGCAGTGACTAACCAAAGAAATGCAAAGGAAACTTTGGTACAATTTTACATCTATCAAATTTAAGGCCGGGCGTGGTGGCTCACGCCTATAATCCCAGCACTTTGGGAGGCCGAGGTGGGCAGATCACTTGAGGTCAGGAGTTTGAGACCAGCCTGGCCAACATGGTGAAATCCTGTCTCTACTAAAGATATGAAAATTAGCCGGGCATGGTGGCATACGCCTGTAATCCCAGTTACTTGGGAGGCTGAGACAGGAGAATCGCTTGAATCAAGGAGGTTGTGGTGAGCTAAGATTGAGCCACTGCACTCCAGCCTGGGCAACAGAGCGAGTCTCTGTCTCAAAAAAAAAAAAAAAAAAGTAAAAGTGTGGAAAGGAATGCTGATCGCCATTGTTGGGGAAACAAGTGCTCTCTGTCCGCTAACGGTAGTGAAAACATGTGCAACCTATCTTCTGCTGGGCAATTTGGCACGAGTATTTTAAAACTCGTTAAATATATGTAGAACCTAGAAATAACCAAAGATGCCTTTGACATTTCACTTACAAATATGTCTCTAGGAAAAGTGAGGGCAGAGGCCACCACCCCTGCGACAGGCATCCTCATCGCATATTTAGCTCTTGGAATCAGCATCGCCACCATCACAACACACAGAAGCAAGAGTTCACCCAAAGGGAAAACATTTGCAAGTTATTTTTTAAAACTCAACTATAAAGATTTATGAAATTGAGGCAGGAAAACAAAGCATCAGAAAAGAATCTATATGAAACAGAAAGGGAGGCACATCTGTGAGTAGCAGGCGTGCTCAGTGGCTGGGTCGACGGCTGAAACGCTCTGAGCCGATTCTGTCCCTGGGAGGTGGGAACAGTGGTCAATGCCCCTTAACAAAGTCCCAGAGAACCTCTTCAGGCTGGAGTATATTGCAGTGCTTGGATGCTCTAGCCCCTCCTAGGGATGGGATGAAAATGCCAAGTGTCCCTGTCCACAGCTTCATGTCTTAAAAATGTAGATTCTTCAAAGAGTTTTGGAGGATGCGCCACCTGCCAAGTCTCCAGGGGAAACAGTACTGTCATCCTTCCCAGCAGGTCACCCCCAGTGTGTGGATGGTGTGGGTGTCCAGGCTGTATTCCCAGGCCCTATCTCAATCACACAGAACACCATGGGATCCTCTGAATGGCTTCAGCAATGAATGCCACACACTGGCACTTCTCAAACTCTCCTTAAGGCTAGGACAGGGCAGGAGCAAGACTGCTACCCTTGGGGATCCAGAGGTAGGGTTAAGAGAAGCCCACTTTCCCCACTTTCTAAAAGGTGAATGTTTTGTCGTCAATATCCAAATGAGTTTTACATTCTGCTCTCTATCCATCCCTATATTTCAACATAAAGATAGATTTTCTTGCACGATCTTCAAATGGTGTTAACACCCCAAGAAGATGCAGCACTTTTACCCGGCAGCTTGGTCTGCCCTGGCACATGACAATGCTCTGGGTTTGAGAAATGTGGCTACACATTGTTCCCACTGCTCCTCCACCTCTGCCCCATCCGCAGGCCTCACCCTTCCAAGGAAGATTACAGAAAACCCAAAGACACACGCATGGAACAAACAGAAGTGATCTCTGTCCCCCAATAGGTGCCTCTGTCCTTTCAGAACAACTGATGGCCTTCTGGGGCAATGGAAATCACCTTTACTTGGATCTGGGGCAATGATTATAGGGGTATAAACATTTGTCAAAATCCCTCAGGCTGTGCACTTAAGATTAATGCATTTTACTGTATGTGAATTATGCTTCAGTAAAGTACTGATAATACACTAAGAGGGGACAAAACATTGATGGCTAAAGGAAGCACAGTTTGTAAACAAAATGGCACAGAGCCAGGTTCCTGGCCTTGGAGATCGTCAGAGATGGGAGAGCTTGGAGAGGACTGGGTTCAGCATGGTGGGCAGACAGTCAGAGGAGGCCTGCACTGAACATCGCCAAACTCAGGTCTCCTCTCCAGTTTGGGATGGCCTGGGCAAGTCACCAAACCTCTCTGGGCTTCTGTTTCCTTGTCTAGAAGTGGGTTAGATCTGTGGTGTGCAACTGGAGAGCTTATGAAAATGCAGGTTCTTGGACTCTGTCCTAGCTCCTACATCACACACAATGGGATTTTGGGGTACAGAAATCAGCGTTTTGATAAGCTCCTGGGTGATGGCAATGTTCAGGGCCCAGGACATTTGGGAACTGTGGACAATGTGCTTATAAAGGTCCTGACCTCCAGTAGTAATAGTCCCTGGTTTCTTGTGCAAAGAACAGCAACATATGGCTAACAGAATTGTGTAAGTAAATAAGACAATCAGAGTTGGGTGACACAGAAAGGCTTCCCATCTTATACTATCTCCAATCAGAAGCCTAAATCTAGACCATAAATCTCAAAGGGTGATCATATACAGTCGCGCAGCTTGTGTACTGCTCAAAAATATCCATCCTAGAGAGCAAGTGAGGGCCAAGAGCCAGCTCAAACCCTATTTGTTAAGCCTTGTGCCCTGGTACAAGGCTGCAGCCAGCTGGGTGGGAAGAGGGGAGGCAGGGGCCGCTTTCTTCAAAATTCATCCACCAAGATAAGAGATGTCTATTTCCGATTCTCACAAAGGTGCTGTAAGGGTTATAGAGGCCCTGTCTGATAAAAGACAAGAATCATGAAACCGTTCCTGTTCTTTCTACAAAGTATGTGTTTTCAGCCCTGTCTCCCTAAACACAAGAGAAGTGAGTGACTTAATATTCAAGGCACTTCCTGTCCTGCTTCTTCCCATCATTCCCCAACTTCATCCCAGGATCCTTGGCACTTGCTTTCCCCAGACATGACATACCTTCTGTCCATCCATGCTCAGTTCAGGCTGCCCCTGCCACCTGCTCAACTTCCCACTGGTCGACTGCCCAGTTGTTGGCACCTCCTACAAGCCCTCATGGTGGAATCGATCCTCCCTCCCTGCTCATATGCCCAGCATGGAGGACGGGGTAGTGAAGAAGACAGGCATGTTGCAGGCCCTTGCGGACCTGAGGATCTTGTAGAAGATGATTAAAACACTAATTACAGCAAAGTGTGAGTGAGGAGAGTGCATAGCAGGAGGGCACACTGTCTGTTAATTACAAACCGAGATCGGCGCCCTCTAAAAATAGTCCGACTCCTTTCCCCACCAAACTACAAATCTAAGAATAATGCGACCTGAACTCAAAGCTCTCCTGGGTTTGGTAACACTCTCATCCTCATGATGCCTAAACACTTCACACTCTGAGAAAATTAAGATAACAGGGCATTCATTAACATTTTCTGCAGCATCTAATTTCACGAACTGTGAATTCCTTTCCCCTGCTCTGCCTCCTTGTCCTTCCTCACTCTTTGGGAAGCCTAAGACTCTTAGGGCCAAAGCACTGTTGGCCCCACCCAGACAGGGCCAGATTTCCCCATGGCCAGGTCATGTGTGGGGGTCACACCAGGTGCAACTGGGGCTGTGCTCAGGCTTTGTCCAGTCCAATGGCCCAGCTGGCCCCCTGAAGGCCAGCAGTTCCCATCTGGGCACTCCCCCATCATCCTCCTCCCTCCCCTCCACCACAGCAGACATGGGGCAGAGAGGTGGGGCACACCCTGGGCATACCAGAGGTGCTGACCCTCAGCTGCCCATTTCTAAATGGCATGATGAAAGCGATTCTGCAGTGCTGGCCTGCTCTGCTGAGGAGGAAGAGTGCCCAGGAGCATGGAGTCTGGAGCCATGTGCTGGGGGTTCAGTCCAGGCTCTGCCCCTCACTAGATGTGGCACTTCAGGCAATTGCTGAAGTCTCTATGCCTCAGTTTCCTTATCTGTATGACCGGCCAACCCCACAGGGTTGTTCTAAGGACTAAACGAACTAGAGGTAATAAAACGTTTATTAGCGCAGAGCAGCAGCTCTAACCCCGTTATTACCACCACCACTACTACTACCGCAAGCACTCCCACCACCACCTCTGCACCACCACTAACCTATGCTAGCAGGGAAGCCAGGAAGGTCACAGCCGTCTCTGGGCCCAGGCACCACAGCACATAGGGGGAAGGTCAGTGCAGTGCAATGTGCCTCAGGAGCCCACGTGAAACACAGAGGGGACCCTGAGGCAGGAGGGCATGACGTGGTCCTATGCAGGCAACAAAGACGCCCTCATGTGCATGAGGCCCCCAGAAAGCCAGACAGAATCAACCCCATTCCCAGGCACCTCCTTTATCCCCAGAAGCCTGTCTTTAGGCCCTGAGGGACCTTTTATGAAAATGTCTCCCTCTCCCCTTCTTCTCTGTTCCCACGGGTGTGTCCACACCATGCGTGGTCCATGACCTCCCTGCCCTGCCCCATGGAAGCCAGCTTCTCATGCCTCCTGCCCCCTGCCGCCTTGCCAAGCCTCTACTCTCCGGCCCAGGACCCTTCCTCTGACACTGGCAGCTGTCTCGGCCAAGTCTTGCCATGCTTCCTTGCTGGCCAGAGGGTGATTACAGCACCACACTCTCAGGGTACCCAGCCCCCACACCCCACCACGCCTCCCACTTCTTGAAACAGACGGCCCCTCAGACACCAAATCGCACAGGAGGTCCCTCAGGGAGAATACAGTGACATCCTCCCTGTCCAATAAGGGTCCCTCTCCACCCAACTCCAAACCCATCATCCTTCTGGGTCTACTCACTCTCCTCAGACAGAAGGTCTGCCCCGCTTTGGCCCATATGACCTCCCCTTCCCCTGAAAGCCCCCAGCACTTATTTCCAAACCATTCCCTTTGCCACTTAATCACACTTTTCCTTGTGGAGAACTTTAACTCCTTCCCGTCTGCTGTCCCTCCCTGCCTTGCTATGACCGATAATAACACCTCCCTGGTGCCACGTGTATAAGCAGGGCTTAATAAGCTCTTGCAGGACAGATACTCATGCTAGCTCTCCAGTCCTGTGCAGGCAACAAAAAGAAAGAAATGAGGTGGAAGGGGTCACTGGCTGCCCGACCCCTGGGGCACACTGGACAGGGGTGGGGGGACCCTTCTCCCAGACATCTTTACCAGCAGAGAAAGCACTCGCTTCCCTAGCCAAGTGGCTCTTCCTCTCTCTCCCCTCAGATGAAGTGCAGTGGTTAAGGCAGTGCCAGAAAGAGACTCTGCAGGGACACAGCAAGAAGAGGAGAACCTGCCAACCCAACTCAGGCATGGGCCATGGAAAAAAAGAGAAATGGGAAAAAAGCTCTTGGAACCCAGAGATAAGATGAGGGCAGAGCCAAAACACAGCCTGAAAACCTAAGAGGGTGTCAAGAATTATTTCTGAAAATACAGGAGCAAAGTCTAATTTTCGACACAGGGCAGATAAGTTACACAATTCATGCTGGGACGTGGTACGTCTCAGGAATCTAACAACAACAACAAAAAAAACCCAAAAAAAAACAAAAACAAAAAAAAACATCAAACTCAGTCATCAGCCCCTGCATTTGCGAAAACAGTATTTGCTGTCTCACCTTCTCTCACTGTGAAATGGAAAATCTATAAAAAGGGATATTAGAGAGCTGATGCTGGAATGACGCTGAAGGAAAAATGTGTAATGGCACAGCAAAATTGTGGCATCGCATTGCTAAATGGAGAGAAGACAGCCCCCGGGCAGTACTGCAGAATGCTCTCATCTCTGGAAAGCAATACATGCGAAAGCAGTGTCAGCTGGGTGGGGCCGCGATGCCTGCAGCTAGTGGAATAGTTGATATCCAATCCCGTGCCCCCGGCCCTGGTGAATCCACATCCTGCCAGGCAGGGGACTTGTCCTCCTCTGAGGTTCAGGTCAGAACTCTAATCCTTGAGGTGGGAGTGGAAACCAAGCTGCAGGGCGGGGGAGCCAAAATTCCAAGAAAGAACTCCTCAGGATGGGAGGAGGAGCCCTGCACACTGGGACAGGCAGGACAGAGTACCCAGAAAGACGACGGTCCGGTAAACAGGGGAATGACAGTCCCAGTCAGAGAGGGTCCCGAACGGTGGTCCACAGTCAAAAACCCCACTTTCTAAGTAGTAGTGTGGTGCTCCCACCAATGGGTCATGGGGCCCAAAGGTGTCCAGGTTAAGTTAAACTTCAGGATGTGTAGAAAGCAACACAGGTGAGGTGTGATGGAAACAAAGGTGACAAGGATGTTACCACTGAAGGCGGGTGGTTGGCACAGGGCCCCCGAGAGTTAGAATGTTTCCCCAGCCTCCACCTTCATTCTTCAGTACTAAATTCTAATGCGCAGTATCTAGACAGAGATATCTTGGAACGGAGGAAGGGGCCCTGAGGCTACACTATCCCTCTGCTCTAACTCTTGTTTGCTGATTGGAGATGTGTCATTGACCCTCCTGAGGGGACCCACTCACTAAAAAGGCCTCAGTGCCAGTGACCCGCACCAAGCACTCTACCCGTGACGACAGCCACAGTAACCACAGACTCTGGCTTTCTGGTAAATTGGCTTCCACTTGGATGGGCAGCTAACCTGAGCCTCTAACAACATACAAACCTGTAGCAGAACTCTGACCCAGCCGGCAGACAGGGACCAAGCAACCAGCTCTTTTATTTCTCAGTAGATGAATGGGTGGACAGACTGATTGATGGACAGATGAACGGACGGATGGATGGATGGAGTACCACTTGAGTGAATCACTTGTCCATCAGAGACATCGTAGTTCCTTCATTTAATTATCTAACTTGTGAACATTTTTTGTACGAATGGATGAGGGTCTCCAAGAGGGTCATGACTAGGAAAGTTTACACCTGATTTGGGAGTCAGAAATATAGGCATGAAAAAATATACACACACACTAATGTGGGGTTTTTTGATCCCATGCAGCTCCTCCTTCATTCCCTTTCCCTGAAGCAGATGAATGCTAGCATCCAGAGAGACTAATAAAGACACAAAGAGACCTGGGTACACCAAGATCCATCTGAGAAAGGGACCTGGGAGTTAGGGTCAAGGTTCTGGGCTGGCAATGCAGGCCTTCCTAGAGCAGCAGGGATGCCTGGTACTTTGAGGCAGGCTAGCAGATGTGTGTGTGTGGGCTTGGGGGGAAGAAAAGGAGAGAACTAAGTTACTTTTTAGTAGGAAAGAGGCATATAAGAAAAACAAAAGGCAATTCAATGGAAAAAACATTTTCAACAAATATTGCTGAGACAACTGGGTATCTACATGTAAAACAGTAAAGATGGCCAGGCACAGTGGCTCACACCTGTCATCCCAGCACTTTGGGAAGCCGAGGCAGGCAGGTCACTTGAGGTCAGGAGTGCGAGACCAGCCTGGCCAACATGGAGAAACCCCTTCTCTACTAAAAATACAAAAATTAGCCAGGCATGGTAGCATGCACTGTAGTCCCAGCTACTCAGGAGGCTCAGGCAGGAGAATCACTTGAATTTGGGAGAATCACTTGAACCTGGGAGGCGGAGGTTGCAGTGAGCCAAGGCTGCACCACTGCACTCCAGCCTGGGCAAGAGAGCAAGACCCCATGTCAAAATAATAATAATAATAATAAGCTATGAGTATACCACTGCACTCCTGCCTGGGTGACAGAGTGAGACACTGTCTCTAACAAAATGAAACAAAACAATGAAGCTGAACCTCTAGCTCACAACATATACAAAAATTAACTCAAACTGCACCACAGACCTAAATGTCAGAGCGTTGTACAACCATGAACCTCTTAGAAGAAAACAAAAGTAAATTGTTGTGACCTTGGAATAGCCAACAATTTCTTGGATATGACACCAAAAGCACACCAATGAAACAGTAAGTAAAAGAGATAAATTGCACTTCACCAAAATTAAAAATATGTATGCTTCAAAGCAAATCATCAAGTAAAAAGACAATGCACGGAATGGGAGAAAATATTTGCAAATTCTGGTAAGGGTCTAGTATTTAGAGTATACGAAGAACTCTTACAATTCAACAATAAAAAGACAAATAACCAAACTAAAAGTTGGGCAAACAATTGATAGACATTTTTCCAAAGATATACACTTGGATAAACATCTAAACCTGAGCTTTTAACACTAAAAAGCACATGAAAAGATGTTCAACGTCATTAGTCATCAGGGAAATGCAAATCAAAACCACAATGAGATACCACTTTACACCCACTAGGATGACTATAATCAAAAAGACATAATAACAAGTGTTGGTGAGGATGTAGAGAAACTGGAACCCTCAAGCATTGCTAAAGCGATTGTAAAGTGGTGCAGCCATTTTGAAATACAACCTGGCGTTCTTCAAAAGGTTAATATAGAGTCACTATACCACCCAGCAATTCCAATCCTAGGTATATACCCAAGAGAATTAGAAACATACATCCACACAAAGACCTGTACTTGAACATTCAGAGCAGCATTATTCATAATAGCCAAAATATGGAAACAACCCCCAAAGCTCCATCCATTGACAAAGGAATACATAAAATGTAGAGTAACCACCTAATGGAACATTACTCAGTGATAAAAAAAAAATGAAGAGCTGAGATATGCCACAACATGGATGAACCTTGAAACTATTACACTAAGTGAAAGAAGCCAGTTACAAAAGAGAACATATTGTATAACTCCATGTTTATAAAATGTCCAGAATAGACAAATCTATAGAGAAAGCACATAAGTGGTTGCCTAGGGCTGAGGAAGCTGGGGAAAAATGAGAGTTATGGTAATGGGCGTAAAAGGTGAGGAAATGTCCTGGGGTTAGATAGTGTTGAGGGTTGCACAACATCGTCAATATATTTAAAACCATCCACTTTAGGCTGGACATAGTGGCTCATACCTGTAATCCCAGCACTCTGGGAGGCCCAGATGGGCGGATCACTTGAGCCCAGGAGTTCGAGGCCAGACTGGGCAACATGGTGAAATGCCTTCTCTACAAAAACTACAAAAAAATTAGCCAGGCATGGTGGTGTGTACCTGTGGTCCCAGTTACTTGGGAGGCTGAGGCAAGAGGATTGCTTCATCCTGGGAGATAGAGGCTGCAGTAAGCCATGATTGCACTACTGCACTCCAGCCTGGGTGACAAAGCGAGACTATCTCAAACAAACAAACAAAAGAAACAAGAAGACAAAAAAAATCCACTTCAAAAGGGTGAATGTTATGTTATATGAATTTTTTATCTCAAAAAAGCTTTTATCTAAAATAGGTACTAGAGAAAGAGCTGAAGATGAGGGCCACGCAGGGGCTATGGCACTATCCTTCAGTGTCCTGGCCAAAGACAAACAAAATATGGCAGAAGGGAAGTCCAGGTGTGAGAGAAGCCGGGGAAGGAACGGCGCATCTCAGCAGCAGGATCCTACACACCGTCTCTGGATTAAATCTCTTAGGGTGAAAGAATAGGGCCAACAAGACTATTTTCTTCTGGACATGGCTTTTGACATCACCCACCTTAAAAACCTAAATACCGTTGCTACCACCTGGTCCTGGGGCGGAAACACAGGTCAGATTCCAATCTACCCAAACTCCCCGCCTCAGGTGGATGAGGCAGCATTTGTCTAGAGCCACAATTTCTGTTTGTGATTTTCTCCTCACGTCTCCAACCTCAAGTCCTGGCTCCCCCAGGCCAGCCTGTGAAACTCAGTCAGTATCACACCCTGACACCAGGGCTCTGGGCAGACCCTGTCCCCGCAGATCATCCCAGGGGAATGGAGGCCACGACTTGCAATATCAAGGTGCTCTCATAGGACATATTCCACATAAGCAGCTCTCAAAGTTTTAAGAATAATTAACAATTTCACCCTTCTAGAATGTTCTCTCCTCAGTGGCGAAGCCCAGAAAACCAAAACCACACAAAAGACAAGCCCTAAACCACCAAAACAAGTTAATGGAGGAGAATAGGGAATTACGGTGTAAATAGGAGAATTTTAAAAGTGCATTTGAGCAGACCGAATCCTCCCTGCGTCCTTTTATTCTCTGCTTTCTTAGTGTCATACTCAAATCCTGTACTCAGGGCACCATGGAACCTTGTTTCATTTGGTATTACGGAGAGACTTAGTGTCAGCAATTAAACGGTTACGCCCCGGCTGGCACAGCGAATCTGGAAAAAGAACCTCCATTCAGAGGTGGCTTCTCCCGGCTTATTTCTGCTGTTTGTGTTGGCTGAAGCAGAGAACCGCATAGAAAGAGGACTCTCAACGTGAGCAGAGTGGCAAGTGGGACCCAGGGTGAGGGCAGCGCCTAAATGGGCAGACAGCAAGGTCCGCAGATGAACCAAAAGGCCATCTCAAGAAGGGACTTCACTGGCACCAGTACCCCGCCTCCCTTCCCCAGCTACCGCAAATTCTTCTATCTCTTCAGCTTTGCAATGACAATGGCCAGGCCAGAGGACAGGGGAACACATCACGCGACACTGAGTGTTCCTCCCTTGGGTCAGCAGCTGGCCTGGGCAAAGCCCAGAAGGCCACATATTTGATCTTCCAAAGGTCAACCCTGCCCCGGGCAGCCTCAGTGCAAGTGACCATACACCCCCAAAACACAGGCCCCATCCTCGGCGCCTCTCGGGCCAGGGCAAGGGGGCACACCTGGGTGCTCTGTACACAGGCGCCGCTGCCCGAGGACCGGGAGGGACAATCCACAAGCCTGCATTGTTCTTCGGCGGCTCTCTGAGGCCGATTGTTCCACAGTGCACGTTTCTGCAGCACAGGCCCTGCCTGGCATGTGTGGGTCTCCACAAATGTTTGTGGTTGGCTCCCCAGGGTGAAAAGCAAGAGTTAGAGTCAGCAAAGCACTCTCATTGACTAGGCCTTCGTCCAGGCAAAAGCCCTTACTCCAACAGTTTACCTTGGAGAGAGAAGGCTGCACGGGGTGGTTGCTGTTCTGTGTTTACTGTGGATAACTAGGGCTTGGGGTTGCGGCCACAGCCCAGCACATGTGTGTGCACAAAGCAGCCTTCATCAAAAGGCATCCGGGGCAGGGAGGCTTTAGGACGGCCCCGGTCTGAGCCTGAGGGCAGAGACCCTCCCGGGAGAGCAAAGCTGCATCTCCACGGACCTTCCATCCCCTCAGAGGGTGAGGGAGCCTCTCAATGGGGGTGCATAGATAAATAAAGCCTGTGCTGGGGGTTGCAGGGCTTGGAGGTCCTGACACCGCAACTCTGTTCCACTCACAGTGCGCTGCTGTAATCCAGCTGGGTCAGCTTTAAACCCCTGAAGGCAAAAGAAAATCGAAAATTAATCTAATTAAAGTCGGCAGTGTTCACAGTAAGGAAAATTCTGGTATTTTGCCAAGAGTCTCTGTCACTGGCCAGCTTTGTGGGAAAAAGGCACGGGGTCTGGATCCCAGTGGGTTGAAGATGGAGTTCTGGTTCTGTTACTCGGCCGTGTTGCCATAGAACAGCTGTCGGGGGGCAAAGCATCACCTGCATTACAGAACTGTTTTGAGGGTACATGAGAAAAGATGTAAAAGATGTAAAGTCCCTGGTAAATTTTAAACACTCAACAAAAGTGGCTGGACTCAAGGCCTACGTGCTGACCTGACGGCGGCCTGCTTGGCCACCTCAAAAGGGGAAGCTGGGACCTTTCCCCTGCACCCTGGACCCTGCCCCCAGGAGTCCTGGCAGAGGCGGGGCTCCCTGTGTCTGGAACTGGGAGCTCCAAGGAGCAAAATTCTGAAAACCTGGTCATACCCAGTTCCCAACACCTGTCATCACTATTACTCTTTATCTCATTTGGCCCTCCAAGCAGCCCCTTGAGGTAGACATGTGGCTAGCCCATATTTCTATTCTCCCCATTTTAAAGATTCAGAGAGGGAGTGAGTCTTGGGCCAGGTCACACAGGAAGTCACCTACCTCAAGAGCTGGGTCTCTGACAGTCCAGGGCTGTGTCTAATGAAAGAGCTAACATTGATCGAGTGTCCCAGCATTTCACACCACACTCCTAGGGGACGAGATAGTCGCCACACTTCCCAGTGTGTGGCTGGATGCTCAGAAACGTAGCGCAAGTGACTCCGGGTCTAGCAGCTTTTGCTTTTCTGTTCTGAGGGAAGCCAGTCACCTTTCAATAAAGCCAACAACACCATGCTGAAAGGAGGCCCAAGCTAACCACACACAGACACCACGCAGAGAAGAATGGAGGGTCCCAAGCGGCCCTGGGCTGAACCACAAGGAACAGAGATGCCCTGACCTTTTCCCAGCCCACTCTCTACCCCCTAAAACTCCTGCCCAAAGTGCAGAACTCTGAGCAAATAATAAAAGGATGGTCGTTTTAAGACATTAATTTTGTTTCCTTTTTTAATGCAATATTATGCACTCGTTTTTATGCACAGGATAATGCAGGCTATGGAGAAAAATAAAACAGAGGAGGCAAAGAACTGGGGGAGAGGGAGCAAATTTAAACAGGATAGTCAGGGAATTATTTAAGCCCATTCACCACAAAGCCACTTGGAAAGAAAAATAAATTTATCCCCAAATGGGTGCAACTCCGGGCAGCTGGCATCTGTCTGAACTGAAGAGCGGCAGGAACAGAGACCCTCCCTCTTCAGAGTGACAGCAGGAAGCCGCCCCGGCAGGAAGGAGGAGCTGGAAGACAGTTTCAGGAAAGAAGAGGTGAGGGGAGGTCTTGCTGAGAGGAGGTGAGACCTGGTGAGATGACTGCAAATCAGACCTGAGGGTGCCCGGTGACACCAGACTCCACTCCGTGGAAGGTGACCTGTATGGCCAAGCACTGCTGGGGATGCGACTGCCTTCCCCCTGGGTAATGACACCAGCCACCAGGGGTGTCAGAGGGCCCAGGACAGCACCTGATACAGAGGCGGCCAGAGGCATGGTGAGCAGGATGTCCTCAGATATACTTGCACATTCACAGTGCAGTGTGCTGCCTTCCCGTCCCCGCACAGTGATGGCACACTGCGAATGGCCAGCGTGGGTGGCTGGATATGGCCCTTGTCCGCTGACCTGACCTAACCACACCCCTCTCAAGCTCCGCCCTGCCACCATGTGTCAACCTGGAGCTTTTGTCACAGAAACCACCTGGAGCTTTTGTCACAGAAACCTGCCTTCATTAACTCCCCATCATCTAATTAGAGGGATTCAAAAGTGGGGTGCCTGAGTGATCACTGGGTCAT
Source organism: Homo sapiens (assembly GCF_000001405.40). NCBI lineage: Eukaryota > Metazoa > Chordata > Mammalia > Primates > Hominidae > Homo > Homo sapiens. Next base: position 58,591 of record NW_013171814.1, on the reverse strand, counting down.
AGAAAGAAAATATTAGAATGCTTACTTTTTGAAACTTATCTTGTTAAATTTCTTTGTTGGTATGTTTTTAAAATGTACACACTGTACATCAGTGCAACATTACACATGTACAAAAATAAACAGACAATGAGCCAAGTGTACACATTTGTCTTTTCCTGCAAAGTAAGCCATTTTGGAGACCCCTGGCCTGGGTCACATGGAGGACACAGGGCCAGGCAGGTGACTGGAATAAATGGGGAGGGGGAGGTCATGAAACACAGGGATGTCCCGTGCTCTGCTGGCCTTCCAAGCCCTGCACGTAGTGTTTTAAAGCTGCTCTGACCCCAGCAGCTCTGTGGGCTGAGCCAGACCTGGCTGGAGGCTGCCGTTTTGTGACTTTAGGCCCTGAAATGAAGCCCAAATGCCTCTTAGTGCAGTCCAGGGCAGCCTTCCTGATCCAGACGCAAGGGCTCTTGTCCTTAAAGACTGCTTCAGCCACATGTTGGCTACCTCCGAGACGGCTCACTTCCCGCACTGGCCTTTGCACAGCCAGTTCTCTGAGCTGAAAATGCCAATTGCCCTTCTTTTTGCTTGTTTTTTTAAGACAGGGTCTTGCTCTTTTGCCCAGGCTGGAGTACAGTGGTATGATCATGACTCACTGCAGCCTCAACCTCCTGGGCTCAATTAATCCTCCCACCTCGGCCTCCTGAGTAGCTAGGACTACAGGCACACACTAATGGTAGTGGCCTGGCTAGGTTTTGTATTTTTTGAAGAGTTGGGGTTTCTTCATGTTGCCCAAGCTGGTCTCGAACTCCTGGGGTCAAGCAATCCACCCGCCTCACCCTCCCAAAGTGCTGGGATTACAGGTGTGAGCCACTGCATCCAGCTTCCAATCACTCTTCTTTATCTACCTCATCAACACCTTCTTCTTCCGGGGCCAGATCAAATTTCTCCTCCAGGATGACACACACCCCACGTATGAAGCAGCATTAACTCCCATGGGGTTAGGATGTGAGTTTTGTACTGGACTAGCCCAGGCCAGATTCTGCTTCTAGCTCCTACTAGCTGTGTAATCTTGGGCAATTTAATTTACCTCTCTGAGCCGGAGTTTCCTCAGTTATAAAAAGAGAGGACTCATCTTTACCTCCGATAGCCACACAGGCAACCCAGGCTCCTCTCCTCTGCATTCCCAGGGTCTTTTTACCCTCATCCTTCTTGGATCTGTGATGGTTAATTCTACGTATTGACTTGGGGAGGCTATGGTGCCCAGCTGCTTGCTCAAACACTCATCTAGATGTTGCTTTGAAGGTATTTTTCAGATGTGATTAACATTTATAATAAATTGATTTTGAGGAAAACAGAGTACCATCTGTAATGTTGGTGGGCCTCCTCCAATCAGTTGAAGGCCCCACGAGCAAAGACTGAGGTTTCAAGAAGAAAGGAAGGAAGGAGGAAGGAAGAAAGAGGAAGGAGAAAGGAGGGAGGGGAAGGAGGAGAAGGAGGAGGAGGAGGAGGAGGAACGGTGAGGGGGAAGGAGAAGGAGAAAGAGAAGGAAGAAATAATTCTGGCTTAAGACTACAACATAAAAATTCTGCCTGAGTTTCCAGTCTGCTGCCTTGCAGATTTTGGATTTAAGACTGCAATATCAACTTTTACTTGAATTCCCAGGCTGCCAGCCTGCCCTACAGATCTCAGACTTGCCAGCTCTCACAATCACATGAGCCAATTTCTCCAAATCTCTTTCTCTCTCTCTCTCATGGTTCTGTTTCTCTGGAGACCCTGACTAATCCAGGCTCCCTGAGGCCAGGAGCCAAGAGTGATTTGCCTTTGACTACACAGTATACAGTGTCCAAGCAAAAGACTGGGAACCACCCAAACATCCAGAAATAGGGGGTGGATGAATAAAGCATGGTATAGCCATACTATAGAATATTATATACCCAGGAAAAAAATAAGGAGGATCACTATGTGCTGGCATGGAAGACACTGATGGAATATTCTCTTAGATGAAAAAAGCAAGGTACAAAATAGCATTTTCAGAATGGCACCTTTGATATAAGAAAGAATAAGAATATATTCCTTGTCATGCATGAAGAAACACTGAAAGGGGAAACAAAATATTTTTAAAAGTGCTACCTGGCCGAGTGTGGTGGCTCACGCCTGTAATCCCAACACTTTGGGAGGCCGAGGAGGGTGGATCACGAGGTCAGGGGTTTGAGACCAGCCTGACCAACACGGTGAAACCCCCATCTCTACCAAAAATACAAAAATTAGCCGGGCGTGGTGGCGCCTGCCTGTAATCCCAGCTACTCAGGAGGCTGAGGCAGGAGAATTGCTTGAACCTGGGAGGCAGAGGTTGCAGTGAGCCAGTATCATACCACTGCACTCCAGCCTGGGCAAACAAACAAACAAACAAACAAACAAAAACAAACCCAAACTGTTACCTCCAGGAGGGCATAAGGCAAGACGGAAGGGGGTAGGTGGGGACAGGGTGAAAACAATACTTCCATACTTTGCAGATCATATCTTTCTTTTTAATTATTAAAGTGAAATTCATGTAACATGAAATTAACTACTTTAGGCATCTTAAAGTATACAATCCACTGGCATTTAGTACATTCGCACTGTTGTGCAGCCAGCACCTCTATCCAGCTCCAGAACATTTTCAACACACCAAAAGAAAATCCTGGGACAAGGTCTGGATCCCTCATCTCCACACATGTGGCCTTCTCACTCTGGTCCCCGCTCCACTCTCCAGCCCTGTCCCTCACCTCCCTCCACCCTCCTCAAAGTCTGGGTCCCTATAACCTGAGTCACCCCTACCCCCTGCACTCACTCTCTCACCTCCAGGCCTCTGCATATAAAGTTCCGTCTGCCTTAAGCACGCCTCTCCCACCTCTTGGCCACAGTAACTCCCCTTCGACTTTTGATTTTGTTCTCAACTTACTCAATCATCACTTCCCTAAGAAACCTTTCCTGATTCCCCAGGCACCACTGCTCCCCCCACCCCCCAGGGACTCCCCAGTGCCCTGTGATTCTCTTTTTCTGGCAGCCTCAGTGTGTGCGTGGATGTCTGTCTCCTCCGTTAGCCTGTGCGTCACGCCAGGGCAGGGACTAAGGCTTCCATGCTAGAAGGCTCTCTCTGACCAGAGGGACTGTTAGTGCCCTCAATATATAGCACAGTTCCTGGCATGCAGTAGGTTCTTAATAAGTACTGATGATGGAAGGACAGGACTCAGACTCTGGCACCCAAACAGCAACTGGCTTTATTAAAGCCCCATTTCCTCGGTCCCAGATGACAAGAGTTCTTCCTCCTAATCACTGTTGGCTTTTACCCGCTGAGAATCATGACCTGCTTCTCTGCAAATGAACCAGCCTCATGTGTGCTTTTCTGATTATACACATTCTGCCCATTCAGCCTCTCCACAGCTCTGGGAGTGGTTATTGTCTACCTCTTTTTACAAGGGGTTTGGATCTCTGCTCTTCCACTCACAGGGAGGACTGGAAGTAAACCAATCAACGTGGCCACGTGTTTGCAGCTCTGGTGAGGGAGGTAAAATGTTTGCAGGTTGAAATTGCTAACATGAAGTTCGGACAAAAGTCACTATTCATTTGTCTATGTCTGCCTGCCCCTAACTGAGGAGACCAATGTCACTGGCCCTAGAAACAGAGATAAAGAAGGACAAGGTAAGATTGCTGCTGGAATAGATCGAAGCCAATGCTGTGTCCTAGGACAGCAGGAGGGGTATGCCAGCCCCAGGCAGGGGGCCAGGGGCTGGTGCTGACACCCCCAAGACTGGTCTCATCCCTGTGCACACTGACCTAGAGCAAAGACACTGGGGAGCAAAGTTGAAGTGCCTCGGCTGCTTTCACCATCAACCTCTGCGAACTGAACTGGTCTTTGGAGGAGGAGGGTTCAGCAAAATTTTAATTACAGGTTGTCTGTCCTGCTTTTAATGGCTAGGCTCTGCAAACGTAGTACTTTAATCACATGGTATTAAATCAAATCACTTGTTAAGTATACTGGTGCGGCTGGGTATTTAAAGGAACCCTGTTATGAAATCTTTTTATAAAGCAAGTTAATAGAAATTTTTTGAAACCCAAGTTTTTTTTTTGTTTTTTTGTTTTTTTTTCATTTATGAATTTCTTGAAGTAAATCTATTCTAAGTTTGCTGGGTGCACCGAATCACTTGCTGATCTTTGTTCACCTTGTCATCTTTCTCAGTGGGGCCCCACCTCCCCCAGATCAAGTCTATGACAGCTTGCTGGAATTTTCCAGTTCTCTCCTTTTCCTCCAGCAGTGCGTTTTTCTGCTCAAAACTGTGCACGCTCTGGAAATCCTGAAGAAATGTGTTACAGGCTGAACTGTGAACTCACCAAATTCGTAAGTTGAAGCCCTAACCCTCAGTACTTCAGAACATGACTGCATCTGAAGAAAAGACTTTAGAGTGGTAATTAAGGTAAAATGAGGTCATGTCAGTGGACCCTAATTCAGTTTGAATGGTGTCCTTATGAGAGGAGGAGGCTGGGACACAGACAGAGCCAGAGGAAAAATCACATGAGGGCACTGCAAGAAGGTGACCATCAGCAGGCCAAGGAGAGAGGCCTCAGAAGAGAGCAACTGATCTGGGTTGGCTATGTCCCCACCCAAATCTCATCTTCAATTGAAGCTCCCACAATCCCCACTTGTCATGGGAGGGACCCTCCTGGTGGGAGATAATTGAATCGTGGGGGTGGGTTTTTCCTGTGCTATTCTTGTGACAGTGAATAAGTCTCACGAGATCTGATGGTTTTATAAAGGGCAGTTCCTCTGCACACACTCTTTTGCCTGCCGCCATGTAAGATGTGCCTTTGCTCATCCTTTGCCTTCTGCCACGATTGTGAGGCCTCCCCAGACATGTGGAACTGTGAGTCCATTAAACCTCTTTTTTTTTTTTTTTTTTTTTTTTTTTTTTTTTTTACAAATTGCCCAGTCTCAGGTATTTCTTCATAGTGATATAAAAATGGACTATTACACCAACCCTGCTGACACCTTGATCTTGGACATCCAACTTCCAGAATTATGAGAAAATAAATGTTCATTGTTTAAGCCACCCAGTTTGTGGGATTTTGTCATGGCAGCCCAGGCACACTACTACAGAAGGAGTGCCTGTCAGGGCCCTGTCTCACCAACTAGCTAAGTGACCTTGGGTGGGGGCCGCAGCTGTTCATCTCCGATTCCCAATGTTTCCCCACCTCATGGGGCTGCTGGGAGGATTAAATGCAAATGGCAGACATCAATGCTTGTGAGCTCACTGACCATCCTCCCTGGTCCTCTGGTGTTTCGATAATGTCATGTACTCACAGGAATATGAGATTTCTCCCCTACTTTTTGCTATCTCATAGGTACAGGAAGCCAATGTGAGAAGGGGATCCTGACACCAACAGCTGAGATTTTTCTTGAATTTACACTTTACTTTTTTTTTTCCTAAAGCATTGTCACATATATTCTTAAAGTTAAGACTCACAAAGAATCTATGAAATAGGATTTGAAATCTTATTTTCATTTTGTAGATGAGGTGAACTGAGGCTCAGAAAGCATGAGTGATTTATTCACAACCCTGTGACTTGCCAGGCAGGAGCCTGTTTCTCTAGAGCCACATTCAGCTGTTCTCTCCAGCATCACTTGCTATACCTGCCCTCCCAGCTCGCTCCACCTCGCTGACACCCTAAGTACAACCAGCACCAGGGTACTGCTCTGCTGCAAAACCTTCAATGGCTCACAGCTGCAGAGTGTGTCAAGCCCCCCACTGGTCTCCACTGTCCCCTGCCCTCTAACCTCTAGCCCCTCATTGCCAACCCCACTGTGACAGAGCAGTCACTCTGTCCCATGAGCACAAGCCATGCTCCCCTGTTACTAACTCCCTGAGAACACGTTCCCCACTTCTTTCTGACTAGCATGGAGACACCTCCTCCAGGAAGCCTTCTCTGACTGCTCTTACTGAGTTATTTCCATAGTGATCTCAGGCCCTGCCATAGAAAGTGGCTCTCAATAGACTTGCCCTTGTTTTATTTGCTAATTACTCAACTATCGTCGTCCCTGGGGCAAAGAACACATCTTTCCATGGGCACCATGTACCCAGGCACAAAGAAAATACTCAATGACATTTGCTGCTCTATTAGAAGACCAGTCAAGTATAAGTTACCTCCTCAACATAATAAACATGTTCCAATATGGCTATTTATAAGCTCAACTTTTTAAACAGAATATCGTTCTTCCCTGACTTCTGCCACATCATGAGGGTGCTGGACGTCCACCCATCTGACTGGTCACCAGTGACACTGCTTCTGTTTCCTTCTGTCCCTGGACATCCCAGCTAACCCCACTGTCCCTGTGCCTCTGTCACGATGCCTACGTGAACTCCAGGAGTTAATATTTAAAGATTCCAGGGATCTTTCTTTAAAGAAAGACTTCTGCTATCATAAGGCTAGACTATGAGGGCAAGATTTATTGTCTCTTCTGTTCACCTGCTATATCCCCAACTCCTAGAAAAAAGCCAGGTACATAAGTTGTTGCTGAAAAATATCTGGTGAATAAATGAGACTACTAACCCTTTGACTATTAGCTTCACAGAATTTTTTAAAAATTTAATGGTTGAATGAAAATCCAAATCCACAGTCTGTTAGACAGGCTGAGATGAAGGGCCCTGCCTGTGGGGTATTGCAAGTCATGTAGGAGTGCCCAGGAAGTGCTGTCATTTAGACATGACTCAGCATTCTTTACCCCTTCCAATGGCCCCACTCATGTTATCCACCCAGAGCCCAAAGGGGTTTCCACAGCCTTTCCAAAGCATCCCTTCCTTCCCATGAGACAACAAATGGGAACCCCCACCCCAAAGGCAATGGATGCTTTTCTAGCTGTCACCTCTGCAACAGAGGTGTCAAATATGACAGGTACCCAGAGCATGGGAGGGACATCGGCAGCAAGCTGTGGTTGGTGCCAGCCCTGATGCCACCACAGGACCTTGGATTCATGACTAATGTCATGCAGACCCCCTGTAAGGGCAATCCCCCCTAGACAACAGGACTTAGCCATGAAAATCTCCACCCTTGCCCCTCGAAAGGCCTCCCCTGAGGTGCTGGCCAGTCACAGAACCTATTTTGGGTTTTACCTTCTCTCTCTTCCCCACCAACTTTGGGGAGGCCCAGTATGTCCCACTCACTCATTTTCATAGCATGCACCTGTGTCATGGTCTTGTCTGTAAGCTCCATGAGGGCAGGGCCTGCCCTGATCGCCACTGCACCCCAGCAGCTAGAACAGGACTTGGCACACTGTAGTCAACACTGGCTGAATGAATGAATGAATGAATGACTCCCTTTCCCTTACACACCACACTTTCTCTTGTTGATGGTTTTATTCTTTTGCGTGCGTGTTTACTCACTGACACTCACTGAGAAAGTAGTGAGTGGGGCAAGGCTGAGAAGCAGAATGCCCAGACACTGCAGCCAGCCGGGGACTGTACAATGGGCTGGCAGAACTTGTTGCCTGTTAAGAAGCCCACAGAGTATGCCAGCATCCCTGAGTGAAGGGTGCTGTGCCCTGCAAACTATCATCAGCTCAGCTTTGTAAGCAGCCTCATGCCCACCCTCAGCCTCTTGGGCAACTCACTCTGGCAAAGGAAAGGGCACAAGTTCAGGAGGCCGGACCCCAAGATGCCTAGCACAGGACAGCAAGAAGGCACACGCTAGAGCCCCACCTTCCCATCCCACATGACCGTTATCTGGGCATGGATTTATCTGCATGGCAGGGTGGGGCGCCCAAGCCAGATGATCTGTCTGTCCCCCACATAACAAGATTGGAGGTACGGGGCACTACCCTCCTGAGAGCTTGCATGGTTGTGTGCCAGGCACTGTCCCAGGCATGTGGCAGCTCATCTAAACTTCATAGTGACCCTACAAAATAGGTACTATTATGATCCCTTATTTTACAGATCAGGGAACTAAAGCACAGAGGCCCTGCCCCTGGTTTCCATGGCTGGTTCTGGGGCTGCTGGAAAGAACATAAGATGGAGGGTCAGAGGATGTGACCTCCTGTCCTGGTGTCAGCAGCAAAATCCAAGAGACTTGCAGTCTCTCGGGGGATCTTTGTAAAACGGAAATGATAATACCTTCCTTCCCACATGCCCCAAGGCAGGAGAGCACTTGGAAAACTCATGAAAGACAACACAACTGAGTGGCAGGTGCTGTTATTTAAGGCTACAGCACACCAGCGATTTCTCAGCTGTTTCCTGTAGAAGGGAAGGCAAGGCCCTTGACAGCCAGGAAGCACAAACTACAACTAGATCCTCTCCGCCAAGAACGCGTCACTGATGAAGGCAGTGCCACAGCAGGGCTGTGGGGCTTGGACTCCGTGGAAAACAGCTTGCAAAGTCTCCACATCACAAGACACACACAGACGGTGACATCAGTAATAAACAGGACCGGAGACAAATCAAGACCCGAGTTAATTAAATATGCAAAATTATTTAACATGACCATGGATCAACCAATTGCCATTAAAGGAGGAAATTGACTTAATATGCAAAAATTAACACAGTATTCAAGTAATGAGAAAGAGGTGATTCTTCCCTTAAAATTTATCTCAATATCAGGGTGGCATCATATTTTCAATAACATTAAGTTGTTTAAAACAAGCCGACCAGGCTTGGTGGCTCACATCTGTAATCCCACCACTTTGGGAGGCTGAGGCAGGAGGATTGCTGGGGCCCAGGGGTTCAAGACCAGCCTAGGGAACAAGGTGAGACCCCCCATCTCTACAAAAAAATAAAATTAGCTGGGTATGGTGGTGTGCGCCTGTGGTCCCAGCTCCTCGGGAGGCTGAGGTGGAAGTATTACTTGACCCCAGGAAGTCGAGGCTGCAGTAAGCTGTGTTCGCACCACTGCACTCCTGCCTGGGTGACAGAACAAGACCCTGTCTCAAAACAAAACAAAACAAAAACCTACACAACCACCTACACCAAGAAGGTAACCTCAATGAGAACTAAGCTTCTGTTTTCCAAAATATCTCCCCAAACTAAACAGCTTCATTTTATTCAAGTACCTAATGTTCTGTCAATAGTTAACTATTAGATGAAAGAGGGCAAATATTCTCCCAGGATAAGCCACAGGAGAGCCAGGCTTTGGGGACCTTCACAGAGGCCTAGCGAAGGCCGCCTGCAGCAGGTGGGGCTGTCCCCGGGCTGTGACACGGAGCTGTACTCATCTACCCTTCCCCAGCAAGGCCTCCATCCACACATGGGAAGCTCCCTCCACCACCCACAGAGGTCCGGTCCTGCTTGCACCCAGGTGGCAGGCAACACGTCTGGGTACCACCTACGGCCACAAAACCACTTTTCTCTGTAGAACAATCTTCTAGCCTCTAGGACACCCGATGCCTAAGTCCTTGCCCCTAAGATAGACAGGACCATGGGGAATGCAGCTGCCAGGAAGGAACACTTCAGAAAAGCTGGCTCCTGAAAATGAGGAAAACCCCAATTTGGCTAAACCAAGGGAGAGCCAAGTGTGGTCTGAAAGCAGCCATATAGAGAGCAGCCTTTCCCCCAGATCAAAAATCTCCAGCAGAGATGAAACTGAGATTCCGGGTTCTCAGGAAGTCTTTGAGCCTTTTGAGGGGGTAGGGGACTGGTGCTGATGGCTGGGGCGGGGAACAGGGCCAGAGACCACAAGCAAGAGGGAAGCACCTGGGAAGACCCCACCCCACTCAATCTCAGGGGTCCCAAATCTTACTGTGTCAGGCACAGGCCAACCAAGGAGAAAACAGAGACAGCAAAAACCTTAGAACAGGGCCAGGCACGGTGGCTCACGCCTGTAATCCCAGCACTTTGGAAGGCTGAGGCAGGCAGATCACCTGAAGTTAGGAGTTCAAGACCAGCCTGGCCAACATGGCCAAACCCTGTCTCTACTGAAAATACAAAAATTAGCCAGGTGTGGTGGTGTGCACCTATAATCCCAGCTATTCAGGAGACTGAGGCAGGAGAATTGCTTGAACCCAGGAGGTGGAGGTTGCAGTGAGTCAAGATCGCGCCACTGCACTCCAGCCTGGGTGACAGAGTAAGAATCTGTCCAAAAAACAAAACAAAACAAAACAAAAAAAACCTTAGAACAGGAGACCCTTCTGTACAGGGCAGAGGAGCTGCAGGCCAGAGTGGGGTCCCATAGGGAAACTGAGTAGATACCATAGTTGAAACTGTCTCCCAAGATCCCAGAGAGATGAATACAAAAGTCACCTTCAAACCACTACCAAGATTGAGGTCAGCTTTTCACTGGCAGGAAAGTGAGTCACCCCAGCCTTTCCTGCTCCTAGTACAGTTTACATCCCCAAGGGTGGAGGAGGCTGGGTGTCATCCCTGCAGACTAACCAGTCCCTTATGGGAATGGTGGGGGTGGAGGAGGGGCCAATCAAGTCACTAATCTGCAAACAGGGAGCATCCTAAGAAAGGGCCGGTCTGCAGCCCCAGGCTCCCACCTGCCCAAGAGGCGGGTGCTATGCTAAAGCTCCTAAATGCCCCCCAGGCTATGTGGGGTCATTTGCAGGAGGAAGCAGGGAAGGTGACATTCAGCGTGAATCTCCTTTCAGCGTCAATATCTTTTCAGTGTGAAGTGTCATTTCAGTGTGCAGTCTCCTTTGCTGATTTTTATGACAAGAGTCTAAGGCAAATCACTCTGGCCCAGGGAACTGGTTCCAATAGATTACTGGTTTTCATATTTGTGTGGGGCATGGCAACTATTGAAATATGTCTTCCTTTCAGTTACGGTTTTGAAATGTGGACCTAAGTCTCTAGCACTCATTTTTATCAGGCATAATTATGATCATGCTCGATAAAAATGAGTCTATTTGTCTGGAGTCCTCAGTCCCAGAGAACAGTGCTTTCTACAGTTCTTGGCCTGCATAAGTTCCCAACAACCAGGATCAATTCCTCTTGTAGCAACCAAAACAAACTGATGTCCCCTCTCCAAGCTTAGAAGCCTAATTTGCCAGATGTTATAGCCTCCAGAGGTTGCCAGAGATGGCCCTGAGATCCCGGGGGGCTGCAGAAAGAAGAGTCAACAGGCAAGGGGGAGATGCTGACCATGCCACATCAGTTCTAGTTAGTGGGGCCTGCTCCACCCAGTTTTTATATAAGGCCACCAGTGAGAGGCAGCATGGCCCAGTGGATAAGAAGGCAAACTCTAGAGCAGGACTCCTGAATTCAAATTTTGCCTTTGCCACTTAGTAGCTGTGTGACCTGAGGCAAGTTACTTAACCTCTCTGTTAACTCTGCCTCAGTTTTCTCCTCTCTAAAATGTGGGTGATGATACTACTGCTCATCTCATAATGTTTTCATAAGGATTAAGCAGTAAGTTAACAGTTTTAAAGCACTTGGTACAGTGCCAGGCACATGCCAAGTGCTGTGAGAATTGCTTTTATTGTTAAAAATAAAGAAGAGTTGTTTCCAGAAAAAAAACAGTATGGCTAAAATGAAGTTGAAAACCATTGTTTTAGATCAGGGGTGAGCAAGTGTTTTCTGTAAATGGCCAGACAGTAAATATGTTAGGCCTTGTGAGCCATATGTTCTTTTTTTTGTAACCAGCCAAAAGCAACCGTAGATGTACGTGAAGAAACAGGCATGACTGTGTTCCAGTAAAACTTTCATTTAGAAAAACAGGCATTGGGCTGGAGTTAGTCTGCAAGTTGTAGTTTGCCAACCCCCAGCCTAGACCAAATTCCCTATTTTACCGATGAGAAAAATAGAGTGGGGGTAATTATCTGACACAGCTGGAAGCCAGGTCTTGGTCCTCCTAGACCAGGGCACTTTCTAAAATCAAGTGCCCCAGGAAGGAAAAGAGAAGTAGTCAACAGTTCATTCAGAATATAGACACACTTCCACTGTGTTCTGCCAGGGGACAAGGACACCCTGAGAAAAAGTGACACTGAGGCCATTGCTTTCCATCAGTGATACTTTGGGCTTCCTGAAAGTGGGGCACAGGGATGGAGTGTCCCCTGATCCATCTCTGCAGCCCCCAGCAGCCAGCACAGGGTCTTGCCACAGTGGAGTTTCTCTGAGAAGGGTCTTAACTGTGGATGGTCTTGCTGCGAAAGACTCCGTTGCTGCAAAGCCAAGAGCCTGCACTTCCCAGTCTCAGCAATTTCTGGGAATGGCTGAAGAAATAAAGCTCCACTATATGCCCAGGACAAGGGGGAGCCACTTTTAAATTATTAGCCACTTTTAAAGAATTAGCATATAAAAGGGGCTTCAAGCAAAACATTTACTAACTATAACTGAGCTCAAATGATACAAGCAAGTTTTTATAAACACTCCTTTTTTTTTTTTTTTTTTTTGAGACAGAGTCTCACTGTCGCCCAAGCTGAAATGCAGTGGCACAATCTTGGCTCACTGCAACCTCCACACGCCAGGTTCAAGTGATTTCCTGCCTCAGCCTCCCATGTAGCTGGGATTACTAGCATGTGCTACCACACCCGGCTAATTTTTGTATTTTTAGTAGAGATGGGGTTTGGCCATGTTGGCCAGGCTGGTCTCGAACTCCTGACCTCAAGTGATCTGCCTGCCTTAGCTTCCCAAAGTGCTAGGATTACAGGCGTGAGCCACTGCACCCAGCCAAACATTTCTTTTTCACTCCTCCACAAAAGACTGCAAGTAGAAGATGAATCTAAACCTCAGGGAAGGTCTGTAATAAGGAAGGATAGGCCGGGCAGTGGTTCATCCCTAGAATCCCAGCACTTTGGGAGGCCAAGGTGGGAGGATCACTGGAGCCTAGGAGATCGTGACCAGCCTGGGCAACGTGGTGGAACCCTGTCTCTACAAAAAATACAACAAATTTTGTGGGGTACAGTGGTGTGAGCCTGAAGACCCAGCTCCTCAGGAGGCTGAGGAGGGAGGATGGCTTGAGGCCAAGAGGCGGAGGTTGCAGTGAGCTGAGGTCACACCACTGTACTCCAGCCTGGGCATCAGAACAAGATTCTGTCTCAAAGAAAAAGAAGGAAGGATATTCCTTTTTGTGAGACCAGTTGTTATGGTTAAAACAGCCTCCAAGCCGGGCGTGGTGGCTCACGCCTGTAATCCCAGCACTTTGGGAGGCCGAGGTGGGCAGATCACAAGGTCAGGAGATCGAGACCATCCTGCCTAACACAGTGAAACCCCATCTCTACTAAAAATACAAAAAATTAGCCGGGTGTGGTGGTGGGTGCCTGTAGTCCCAGCTACTCCAGAGGCTGAGGCAGGAGAATGGCGTGAACCTGGGAGGCGAGCTTGCAGTGAGCCGAGATCACACCACTTCACTCCGGCCTGGGCAACAGAGCGAGACTCTGTCTCAAAAAAAAAAAAAAAAAATAGCCTCCAAATTCTATGAAATTCCTCCTAACAAGAAGTAGGGTCTGTGTCCCCACCGTCTTGAATCTGGACTCTGTGACTGCTTGACCAGTAGTATATGGAAGTGACACTCCAGAGACTGTTAGATAACTGGCATTTCTATGCCAGCCCTTAAGAAATTAGCCGTCTCTCCTTCCTGTTTCTTGGGCCATTCACTTTTGTGGTTTGGTTTTTTTCATATTCTTGGGATAAACTCCACTTGGTCATAATATATAATTATTTTGTTTGGTTTATTTGTATTTATTTAGGGGGTACATGTGCAGGTTTCCTACATGCATATATTGCATAGTGGTTAAGTCTGGGCTTTTAGTGTACTCATGCCTGAATAGTGAACACTGTACCCAACAGGTCGTTTTTTGATCTTCACCCGCCTCTCACCTTCCCACCTTTCACAGTCTCCAATGTCTATTACTCCACTCTACATTGGGATTAACTTTTCAAACCCAGCCACCATGCTTTGAGGAAGCCCAAGCAGCCTTGTGGAGAAACCTGCATGGAGAAGAACCAACAGCCAGCACAACTTGCCAGCCATGAGAATGTGCCATTTTGGAAGTGGATCTTCCAGCTCTGATTGCAGCCCAGCTGATGCCATGTGGAATAGATGCAAACTGTAGCTCTTGAGCCCTGCCCAAATTACAGACTCATGAGCAGGACAAAGGATTATTGCTGTTTAAGCCACTAAGTTTTGGGGTGGTTTTTCACACAGCCTACAGTAACTAGAATACCTAAAACTAGGCTCTTAAATTCTAATCATTTATTCAGCCCACCAAGCTATCTGCTTCCACAGGTAACATTAGAAAATATTCTTTTGTTTGTTAGGATTGGGGGGGGTGGTAGGACTACAGACCTCATTTAACATTCTATCATATTAATAAACGAGCTAAGATATTCGGGGAAAACTAGGATGAGGAAATAAGTCTCAGGATGGTCTGAAGGTAGGGCCAATTTTTTAAGTAAAAAAAAAAACAACAACAAACTTTTTTAAAATTTGTATGAGCACATAAACAAATTTGACAATGAGACTCCAGAGTCCCCATCTAGATAAAAGATGATAGTTAGGAGAAGTTCTGATTTCAAATATCCAAATACTCATCCTGATTTTTGATTCAGAAAATATGATCACCATCACTCAACAAGACGGGAGAGGATATTCTAGTCTAAAAATGCTGAGTCCAGTGCTACAGGTGATTATCTCTCCTACAACATAACTCTTACAGATTCTGAAAAAGATCTGCAAACGCTTATCAGGTTTTCCAGTATGAGTTTACCAGGATGGGTTAGCTCTCAAATACACCCCTTACTTAACTTTTGAATAAGTGTATTTATTATTGGTTGGAGAATGGATGTCAAAGAGAACACTTTTTATTGCAGCATGTTTGATGCTAAGATGATCATTTGAACAATTAAATATATCAACTGTCACTGTGCTGATGTTTTTCAGGTGCCAGCTGAGAAGTTTCTGATGACCAAAATCCTAGATAACAAGTTGCTGTTTAAGAATCTAAATTTGCAAAACAGATGCATTTGAAACAAACCAGATACTATAAAAAAGGATTCTTTACAAAAATATTTACTACAGTTGTCTTTAGGTGCTGACCACTTTTTGTGACTCGAAATTACAATTATATGTATAAAGGTTTTATGTAAATAAACATTTAGGAACCCATATTTGTTACATGAAAAGAGGTAGCCTTAGGCTGAAATTGA
Organism: Homo sapiens; assembly: GCF_000001405.40. Lineage (NCBI taxonomy): Eukaryota > Metazoa > Chordata > Mammalia > Primates > Hominidae > Homo > Homo sapiens. The sequence goes on along the minus strand of NW_013171814.1, from coordinate 43,499 downwards.
ACATGTATTATTCAAAACTCTACCAGTGCCAAGTGACACAAACCCAACCCAAACTAGTTCATGCAACATTACCCAGAATTCACTACCTTGGAGTTTTCTGTCATACCCGTGTACCAACTGTAACATTACTATTGACCTTGTACTGACTTTTTATTAAACTCAGCCTCCTGCAGAGCAATACTGAATACTCCCTTCACTTGTGAACATCACAAATTCTATGTACTAGTTGTGTTTGTCATTCTTTAATGCACACATAGATGAATACATGGCTTATATTTTGTACCAGTCCATAAGTATCTAACTGAAAATCATTGTGTGTTCTACCAGTGGTATGAATGCCATTCCTTAAGGCACAGAAAGGGAATATACTCCAGCCTGAGCAACAAGAGTGAAACTCCATCTCAAAAGAAAAGAGAAGAAAAGAAAAGAAAAAGAAAGGGAATCTACTGAATAGAGAAGTGTTACAGACTGAATTATGTCCTCCCAAAATTTACATATTGAATCCCTAATCCCCAGCATAAATATGTTTGGAAACAGGGCCTTTAAGGAGGTCATAAAGGGTAAGTGTGGTCCTAAGGGTGGGGTCTGATTAGGATAGAAGCGGTGTCCTTATAAGAACAGACACCAGACAGCTGTCTCTTCCCATGTGCACAAACACAGAGGAGAGACCGTGTGGGACCCAGCAAGAGGGCAGCTGTCTGCAAGGCAGGAAGAGAGCCCTCACCAGAAACTGAATTTACCAGCACTGTGATCTTGGACTTCCAGCCTCCAGAACTGTGAAGAAATAAAATGTCTGTTGTTTAAGCCACCCAGTCTGTGGAGTTTCATTATGGCAGCCTGTACGGACTAATACAGAGACTATAGAAACTAACAAATTCAGCACCAAGCCAGAGGAAGACAAATCGAGCAGAGGTATTGGTTCTCTTAAGTTTCCAGCTCTGCTTCTCTTCAGCTGCTAGTGCTGTGCTGTCTCCCCAGGACAGGTCTCTCCACGGCAGTGGATGTGGCCAAAGCTGCCAGGCTTCTTTCATGCCATGCCCTCAAGAAGAAAAGGACTTTCTCTCCCAGCTTCCATTCAGAAAACTCCAGGGAAGGTTCCTGGTTGGCCTGGCTCTGGTCACGTGCCTATCCCTCATCCAAAAGCTCTGGCTGGGACAATGGGGGCACAAAATGGTTCATGACCAGCCTGAGTTCCAGCCCCCTCTGTAGCCCAAGGGTGACTGACACCTGTGAATTTCCAGGTCTCCAAACAAGTTTTGCAGGGGGCCTTCAAGGTACTGTTTCTGCAGTTCTCTATCTCTTCCCCACCATCCTCCTGTCCCTACCCCCAGGCCACAATCTCCCCTCCTCTGCAATCCCATCTGCTTTTACAGCCCCACCCCTCCTTCAGTCCCTGCTGGACTCTTCTGACCACACTGTATTTGCCTATGATCATAAGAACAGCCATCCTTTCCAGAGACTCAGCTCCATGCCAAGCACTGGGCTAAGTGTATAACATATATTAGTTCTCATTCTAACAGCAGCCTTATGAAGTAGACACTGTTATGCCAATCTCATAGCTGGAGAAGCAGAGCTTTAGAAAATTAACTCTCCTAAGGTCACAATGCCAGTGAGCAGGCTGGACATGGAGGTTCACACCTGTAATCTCAGCACTTTGGGAGGCCAAGGCAGGTGGATCACCTGAGGTCAAGATTTCAAGACCAGCCTGGCCAACATGGTGAAACCCCATCTCTACCAAAAATACAAAAATTAGCCAGGTGTGGTGGTGCGTGCCTGTAATCTCAGCTACTCAGGAGGCTGAAGCACAAGAATCGCTTGAACCTGGGACGAAGAGGTTGCAGTGAGCTGAGACTGCGCCACTGCACTCCAGCCTGGGCAACAGGGTGAGACTCCATCTCAAAAAAACAAACAAACACAATGCCAGTGAGCAGCTGAGTGGGTAACAAGCCAGTTCTCAGCACTCCAGAGTGTGTACTTTGAGGATGTCCCAGCTTGTTCTCTGTGCACCTGTGAATCACTGACATCTCTATTCTTGGGGCGGGGTGCCTGAGCAGACCATCACCTCCCCTTGCATTGGGGCTTTCCAACTCCACTATCAAAGGCAAGGTGAGGAAACCAAGTCACAAAGAGTTTAAGATTCTGTAGTGAGCTTTATGCAGAGCCAAGCCTGGAATCCTGGAAGCTCGTGAGCCTCAAAACTGGAATTCTTCGCTACCACTCCACAGTGATGCCCCCACCTATTGGCATCCTGACCTTCCAGATGGGCAGCTGAGAATCCATCTAAGGCAGAGATGCTGCTGAGACGATCCGGAGCACTCACCACCCACCCTTCACGATCAGATCGATGTGCAGGCAGCTCAGGACAGACAAGACCAACGGGCAGCCCAGGAGTTAAAACTGCAGGCTCAATGTTTAGAATAAAAAGACAAGCTCCAAACCCTCATGCTTCCAGAAATGGCCCAGACTTGGGGAGCTGAAAGTCCTGCCTGCCTCCTCCTGGCAAAAGGAAACTTTTGATACACATTTCCCATCAGCCAGCATGCTCAGGGTTTCTCTCTCCTGCTGGCTGAAGGCTCCCTGAAAGCACAGTTGAGTCTTCCTTTCCTTTGCCCCCTATTCCCCATGCCCAGTGCCCCAAACTGAGCCCTGTGTCACACACACATACCAAGAGACTTCCCTGGGGGCAGACACCACAAGAATGTCTTCAGTTGAAACACAGTTTCCTCCATGGCTCAGCCAGGGAAGTCATCCAATATGTCCATGTCACAGGGTCTCTATGCAACTGGGCAAAGGTGAGCACCAAACCTTATCTCTGCTTCCTGAGCAAAAAAGAAATGAAGCCAGAGGCTGGCAGGCCCAGGGGGAGGTGGCAGTGCTAAGACACAGGAGCTGGTTCCCAGTGGTGAGTGGGTGGCCAGATTTTCAGGGGTAGGAGCCTGCATGAAACATCCCCACCTTCTCCAGGCCTGGAAGCCCATCCACCCCAATCCCCATCACAGTCACTTTGGGCAGAAAGCTCCAGCCTTCCTCTGCAAAGTGGGTCAGGCCTCAATAATCTCACCAGCTTCTGAACACCCTTGACCTTAGCTCCCTGGGCCACTCAAAGGGGACTCAGATGAGGTGGCCTGGGCTACTCATCAGGGCTGTGAACAGTCCAGGCTGGGGAAACAGATCTTTGCCACAGATTATTTTGGCAGGAGCTGTGAAGGAATGGGAATCCCCATATCTAGAAGCTGCCCATGAAGAAAAATTACACAGTCATGGGCTACATTAACAGAAATATAGTGTCCAGATGGAGGGAGGTGACAGCAGCATGATTCCTGCACCACTCAGGTCACACCTCGAACACCGTATTCCATTCCGTGTCCCCATTTTAGGAGAAGCATTGATAAAAGAGATGTACAGAGAAGGGAAGCCAGGAGAGGTTTGGACACCTTATCCAGAGAAACCTTAAGGGAAGAGAGCTTACCTCCAAAAGAAGATTTGGCACTCTGAATACTTGGTCACCCTGGAAGGAGAATGGGATATGCGTTCTGTGTGCCTCTCAGATCACAGCCAGGGCTACTGGGAGGCACACCTTGGTCTAAGATAATGTCTTTAGGCCCGGGCTGCCAAGTAATGGCCTGGGCTGCAAAGCTGTAAGCTTCCAATTCCCGGGAGGCTACAAGGCAGATGCCTGCAGGAGGCCAAGCCTCTCTCAGGTCCTTCTGGGCTTTCAGATCTGTGATTAAGTCATTTAGAGCCTCTCCCATCTTCTAGATTGAAGTGGGAAGGAGAGCCTCAGGGACCTCAGGCAAATCTCAGGAAACCTGGAAGATTCTTTCTCTCCGAAAAGCTGGTGTTAGGCTGACAGAGAGGAGAACTTGGGAAAGGGGCCATGTTCCCAGCCCACCAGAGTACGATAATGCTCCTCCATCGTGGATCCTGCCTTCAGGGGGCTTTCAGCCCTATCCCCACAACCCTACAAAGGCATAACCTCTCCACTGCAGTGCACTGGCAAACACAGTGAAGAGGGTGCCTCCATCGCAGTGCCTGCCTCGGCCTGGGAGGAGACAGACAAGGGCCGCTGGGTACAGGGGCAGCCTGGAGCCAGTTCCTGAGGGAGACACAGGAACCCAGAAATTTCCACACAGTTCATTCTAGAGAGGCAAGAGGGCACAGTTCAGAGAACCAGTCCTCAGTTTGTCTTCTCACTGGCAAGCCTGGTATGCGAACTTGGCCAAGTCACTGGTTTCTCTTGCTTAAATGTTCCCATTGGAAGAAGTGCACTAGCCCTGCCAGCTCCCTAGGCACCTCACAACAATGCCAGGGGTAAGGACCCCTGGTGGCACCAACAACAGCAAGAAATGAGAAGACAACTTAGCTGGTCACACTGGCGGACAGCCACTCCACCACAGCAGCTGGGTGTGCACAGCCTCTTCACCCACTGCAATCTGCAGGCCTCTTCCCATCCACCCAAATACTGGTGTCAGGGAGCTTGGGAGTCTGGAGCTCTGAGGTCATGAGTGGGCCGCAGAGAATCAGGAACTTTGTGGCTCATGCCTGTAATCCCAGCACTTTGGGAGGCCGAGGCAGGCAGATTACGAGGTCAGGAGATTAAGACCATCCTGGCTAACACAGGGAAACCCTGTCTCTACTAAAAAAAAAAATACAAAAAATTAGCCGGGCATGGTGGCGGGCACCTGTAGCCCCAGCTACTCGGGAGGCTGAGGCAGGAGAATAGCATGAACCCGGGAGGCGGAGCTTGCAGTGAGCTGAGATCACGCCACTGCACTCCAGCCTGGGCGGCAGAGCGAGACTTGTCTCAAAAAAAAAAAAAAGGAAAAAGAAAAAGAAAAAGAAAGTCACTCAACCTCTTTTCCAGTTCTAAAATCTACGACAGATACATTAAGTAAACTTTTCTAATGAGGTGAGTAAAATCACGAACGCCTCGTGGGATGAGCCAGGAGCTGGGCGGCTGCAGGTTAACAATCCTTGTTCTGACTGCCCTGGTTACAGTCTGCATTCCGGGAATTACCCCATCACCCGCTCCTCACCGTCATCTGCCAGCCACCTGGGCCTAAAGGCAAACGGAAACAGGATGGAGGGAAAGACACAGAGGTCTTTGGCTCAACTTGGGCCTCCAAGGCTTGCCACGCCCGTGGCTGGCTTCTCTCTGGTGCGAATGAGGCTGCAGGCAACCACGTTTTTGTTTCACCTAGAGGAGGAAATCACAGTGACATCACTTCACCAGCAACCCTCTCCCCACACGCTTTTGTGGACGTCACTCAAAGCCCACACCATCAAAAGCCTAGAACAAACCTGGCACAAGGTGGGGATCATTTCTACCTTGTGCAAAGAGGTAATTTTGTAGGGAAGGAATGAATGGCCAAACCACACTTCCAACTGGCCGTATCAGGAAGATGTGCAACTGTTCCCTCAGGTGTAGGCAAATGTCAAAAACATCTCAGGGATTCTCCCTCCTAATCCCTGTATTATAGAAGGATGGGCACTGGGAACCTCAGAATGAGAGGATCAGAGACTTTAGTATTATATCGTCCAAGCCCTGAGGTCACCGAGGACAAAGCACCCAGATGTGAAGTGACTTCCCTGAGAGCAGCCAGATCACAGGTGGCCAATCTAAGACCAGTGACCTTTTCAGAACATCAGGGGACTACAGGGGAACCTGCCAATCCCTGTGTGTGACAGGCAAAGCTTGAGCAAAACTGGTTATGCCACTTCTTAGCTGTGTGGCCTGGGGTAAAACACTCAACCTCCGCTACTGTCTGAATGTATCCCCCCAAAATTCACAAGTTAGAAATCTAACCACTGACTCGATGGTATTAGGAGGTGGGGCCTTCAGGAGGCAATTAGGTCATGAGGGCAGAGCCTCATGAATGAGGTTAGTGCCCTCATAAAGGACACCCCAGAGAACGTCCTCACCCATTCCATCATGAAAAGAAGCAGTGAGACGGTGCAATCTATGAAAAATTGAGCCTTCACCAGACACTGAATCTGCTGGCACCTTGATCTTGAACTTCCTAGCCCAAGAAATAAGTTTCTCCTGTTCATAAGCTACTCAGTCTATGGTATTTTGCTATAGCAGCCCAAATGGACTAAGACACAGGAATCCAGAAATTTCCACACAGTTCTTTCTAGAGAGCCAAGAGGGCACAGTTCAGAGAACCCGTCCTCAGTTTGTCTTCTCACTGGCAAGCCTGGTATGCAACTTTGGCCAAGTCACTGGCTTTTCTTGCTTAAATGTCCCCGTTGGAAGAAGTGCCCTCATTTTCTCATCTATGAAACAGAAGCTGTAATGGCTAATGAAGACAGCACATGCAAAGTGCTTACTATGACACCACAATACTTAGCAACTGTTAGGCTTTGAAAGTTATTATTAGGCCAGGCACGGTGGCTCACGCCTGTAATCCCAGCACTTTGGGAGGCCTAGGCGGGCGGATCACGAGGTCAGGAGATAGAGACCATCCTGGCTGACACAGTGAAACCCCGTCTCTACTAAAAATACAAAAAAAATAATTAGCTGGGCGTGGTGGCGGGCGCCTGTAGTCCCAGCTACTCGGGAGGCTGAGGCAGGAGAATGGCGTGAACCCAGGAGGCGGAGCTTGCAGTGAGCCGACATCGCGCCACTACACTCCAGCCTGGGTGACAGAGTAAGACTCCGTCTCCAAAAAAAAAAAAGAAAAAGAAAGTTATTATTGGATCACCCAGGTTTCAGGAGAAAGACCACCTGTTCAATCCCTGCGTTTACAGACATCTCCCCACTGCCCAAATGCAACAGCTTGCAGGCCAGAGTCCACACAGGCCTGGGTTTCTAGCCTGGCTTCCCTGTGTGACCTCAGGAGGAATGCTAACTTTTCAGGTGTATCTGCAAAAGAGAAGAATAACAACTACACTCAGAGCTGAAAGATGAAATACACTTAGGGGGTGAAGTCCTAAACACAAGCATAACACACAATGCATGTGTATTAGTATCCATGGCTGCCATAACAGAGGACCACAAATCAGGTGGCTGAAAGCAACAGAAATGTATGATCTCATAATTCTGGGGGCTAGAAGTCCAAAACCAAGGTGTGAGCAGGGCCACACTCCCTCCACAAGCTGCAGGGGAGAATCCTTCCATATTCATTTGCTAGGGCTGCCATAGCAGGCCACCATAGACTGGGTGGCTTCATCAGCAGAAATGTATTTATTCTGGAGACTGGAAGTCCAAGATCAAGGTGTTGGCAGGGCTGGCTTCTTCCAAGGCCTCCGTCTTGACTTGCAGATGGCTGCCTTCTCGTTGCATCCTCACACTGTTGACCCCATCTGTGTCTTATCTGTGTCCTCTTCTTCTTTTAAGGACACCAGTCATACTAGATTAGGGCCCACTCTCATGATCTCATTTTACCTTAATTACCTCTTTAAAGGCCTGGCCACCAATCCAGTTCTGAGGCGCTGGAGTTAGGACTTCAGCATATGAATTTTGAGAGGACACAATTCAGCCCAGAACAGGATAGTTGATTACCTTTCTTCCTCTTAGGGAGGAAAACATGTAGAGATCCGTAAGTTCTCGTCCAGGGCACTGTGCAGTGCCACACGGAACTGGTTTGGAATCTGGACAGATAACCAAATGAACAAGTCCCTTTCTAGAAATATGTATCTTGCCTTAAAAATACTTTTTTTTCCATGAAGCATGGACCCTGTGGCCGGCACCACCCTAGCCCTATAGGAAATGCCCTGATGACTCCCAGGACAGTAGCAAGGTGCTCATGATCCCAGGGGACAGATAGGCAAGTATCCAAGGAATGATGAGGAGGCAGGGAGTGATGGGAAGTGCTAAGTGCTCTAGCAACCCACAGACTGTGCTGTGGGAAGAGGGGGAGGAGGACACAGTGACACCCTGAGCAGAGTGGAGAGGAGCCCAGAGGGGACAGATTTGTCTCTTAGCTTGCATGGTCAGCCCCACGGCCTGGGCTGTTTGCATGTGTATGTATAGAGGGGATAGTGGTTTGGGGAGGGGAAGGTGGCATCCACCACCATCTTCCCACACCCTGCATTCCCTGGGGCCAGGCTTCCCAATCAGCAGGGACAACAGAACTCATTCTGCAGAATGTGCAGGCCACAGCTGAGCACCAATTCCTCTCCCCAACCCACAGCTGCCTGCAAAGGTGACTGCCATCCTCTACCAACCCACTGGAGCCTCAGGCCCTCAGGCCTTTCCAGTCCTGCTGCCTAGGCCACCAGTGACATATGCTCCCTCCCTCTGGACAATTCTGCCTACTGGGGTTCTCCACCTGGCCCCAGTGTCGGGAAAGTGGAGGAGCTGCTGGGAGAACAGACCACAGAACCCATGTCCTGGGACCACAAAAAAGGCATCCATGGAACACCTGGGATCCTATGCACCAGCATTACCTGTGGCTTAAGAAGTAATAATTACCAGAAATGGCAAACCTATAGTGATATAAACCAGGTTGGTGGTTGCCAGAACTAGGGGGTGAGATTTTAAAAAAACAAACAAACAAACAAAAACCTCAACAATATTGAGATATAAAAAAAAGTAAAGCTAATTCACTAACTCCCCCCCAATAAATAAAAACATCTTGAAACTTGGTGAAGTAAATGTTCCTCTTTGCTTAGCCAACCATTGCTCCCTTCCCCACTTCCTTGCAAACACAGCTTGCCTCTTGCTCTAGATGAGGCGAAAGCACCAGGGACTTGCTTTCTCCTCCTCCACTGGAGCGGAGGCATGGGTACTGACCCGTTTCTCTTCAAGGAGCCTTGATAGAATCTTCAGCAGGGGAATTCTGGGAAAGGCTTCCCTTCCTGACAAATTAAGACAGACAAGGAGAATCTAACCTTCCTGCCTGCCTTTGGACGCAGTTATGTGAGAACATGATGCCCGGAGCAGTGGCAGCCATGCTATGACCATAAGGGGACTGGCCTGAGAACAAAGGCCAATGTGCTGAAGATGGCAGCCTAGGTTAGACAGAGTCCTTGAAATGATCGCTGACTCCCTGAATGAACCAACCCTAGAGCTCCTACCTTTAGACTTCTGGCTGAGTTGAAACACCTTGTTTTTAAAGCCATCGTTAGTACACTGTTCTTTTACCTGTAGCCAATAACATCCCACAAGCCCGATGGTTTTCATCTGTCCATACTTCCACCCCAATCCCCAAACTGAGATCATGGTGAGATATAAGATAGAACCCTGTGGCTGTAAACTGAGCCCCATCTGAATTCTGAGTTCAGTCCCCACAGATAATGCTTTCCCCTACGTCCTCTAAGCAAAGGAAGGAAACAGCTGCCAATTCCTCTTGTGCACGAGCACCTCCCCCATCACCCCTATGTGCACCCTGCAGTATAAATGACTGATAACAGTGTCTGATAATAGTGTCAGGTATGACCCACATGCATACGCCCTCCCTGGCCCATGTGTCCATAAGCCCTCACCTACCCAGGACAACCTCAGTTTATATCTGTGTCCCAGCATGATTATCCATTGGAAAAAAAAAAAATTCACAGTCATCCGACTTCTGGCTGCCTTGGCACCCTTTTCATTCTCCTGACCCCATACTTACCACCTTACACTAGCGCAAGGCTATTCTGTCTTCCCCAGCAAGATGGGCAGATGGGCAGCAGGGACCCTGCCAGGCTTACCTCAATTCATCTCACCTCACTCCTAGAGCCAGACCCACTGCAGATACCATGTGTGTCCACTAAACTGAGGCAAAGGTTAACAGCTAAAAGGATTAAGGCAAATCAATAGAATGTGGGCAGAAGAAACCATTTTTAGAGGGAGAAGAGGAGAAACTGGGTGCTTTCTCGGAATCCCTGACCTTCACTATTGGCCTTGTCTGCACAGGGTCCTTCATGCCAGTGGCAGAGCACATCCAGGCACGTCCAGCCATCTGATGCAACCTTGCTGCAAAGGCAACGCATGCTCTTTATTACCCAATCTGCTGAATATGTGACCCACACAGATGCCAAGCATCAAGGAGATGGAGGAACAGAAAGACATTTTGCTTCCTGAGAGTGCCCAGGGTACTGTAGGTAGATACCGGAGACAGATAAACCGCATGCTGTAAAAAATACTTTGCTTGTAAACACCAGCCTGTTTGGTGACATGCCAAGATGTGAATTCTCTAGCAGGTCACTTTCTTGATCTCATGGTTCAAACGTGTAAGTATCTCAGCAAATGCCCCAAGAGTGTGGGACAGGCCTGTGTGTTCCCAGCTACTGGTGAGATCATGATACTGCCTACCCCAGGGGAAGGCCCTATAAGGGAACAGCATGGGGAATGTGTCAGCTCCACCCACTCTGGATGGAACCACACACATTCTTTCTGAATCCCTTCAGGGCTCAATTGTCATAACTACAGTTAGGCATTACCATATCTCTGCCTCTCTGTCTCCCTCAGAGAGGTTACTTTCATTTAGCGAGGCACACAGAGAGCGCCCAGCATTGTGCCTGGCATTTAACAGGCACTCAATAAACTCCCTGCACTCAATAAATTCCACACAGCTCCCTGCATGGGATTCCCAAGTTACTTACTTATAAGCTGAAATGTATTCTGGGCGTCGGAGGAAGGAACTTGCAGCAGGTGCTGCTGCCTCTCTCATGATCATCCGAAAAGCACCGAGCCAAAGCTTCTCAGAACTCCCCCATCACAGACTGCGCCTATGCAGCCGGCTCAGCTACCCTCACATCTATCTTCAAAAGCTGCCTCTGTGTGAAGTAAGTTAGGACAGAAGTTGGCTGGATTCTCACAGAATCTCAGCTTGACAAATGGAGGCCCTTCCAGCAGAAGCAAGCAGGATGGTGAAAGGTCTAGAAACCATCTCTCACAACAGCTGCAGGGGCCATGGGTGAAAATGGCCAGCGAGGAGGGTGGCCAGAGCTCAGTACAAGGCCTTTCCAGCTATAACATAAGGGAAGGCGCTGCCTCCAAGGCAATAAACTCCCGGCCACAAGCAGCAAGCACATTGGAACCAAGCGCTGCTGCAGTCAGGATTCCCACACCAGGTGGAGGGTTGACCAGATGACCTCTAAGATGTCTCCTGAGTTTGAAACTGTAGGAACTAAAGACTCTGAGCATGGGAAGACAATGTAGTGCCCAGTCTAGAGGACCAGTAGCAACTGCAATCTGCACAGGGCACCCTTAAGGGGACCCTGGAAAGAAACCTTATCTGTAAGAACCTGACCTGAGTATGCAGTAGGGAGAATGTTCTGGGCTTCCTAGACGGGGCTCATCTGAAGTTTTTTCCTAAGAGATGAAGGCTTGGATGGAACTGTCCTTCTCTGCCATCCTGCACATGCCTCCCCGAGTTGTGCAGCTGTCTCCAAGGCCCTTTTAAAAGGTTCCTACCGAGGGGCACCTCTGCCCTTTCTCTTCTCTCTCCTCCCTCACTTACCCTGCCCTGATCGCAAAGCATCTCCCAAGGTGGAGATTTAAGTCAGCAAAGGGCAAAGAGCCCCAGACTCTCCCCAGGCCCCTGATGCCCTAGAGCTCACAGTCAGGAAGACACTGGCCCCCAAGTCTTTACATGCTAATTTCTCTCTTGAGGGCCTCCTGGACCACATGTGTAGTGGACATTCAAAGCTCTAACAGGCCTGAGGTCTCACATTTCTAGGGAAGATTTTTCTCCACCTCACATCCAGGTCAAGACAAAAAGCAGCACACCCACTTTCCATCCCCCATGCGGACGGGCTGCTGTCTAGTCCATCCTTTCTCCCAGCATGCAAACTTTTACCAGGTCCTGTTTTAGGCAGGGCTCTTGATTCCTGGTATCATCTCTAGTCTCGGAGGAGATGCAGTCACGACTCAAACCCTTGGGCTTTGAGGCCAGGAAGCACCCCTCAACACCTCTCCCAACCCCCAGGCCTAGACGAGCCTCAGCTGGAGCTCACCGTCCACACTGCCTGAGATCCCTGGGGATTTCCCTTACATTCCATGAGCTTAGCTCTTCTTTGAAAGGACGCTAGCTACAGCTTACACAGCCTTTCTAGGTGCTCTGTCATTGGAAGGTTTTCAAGATTTTTACTCCACTGTGGTACTAAAAGTATTCTAAATCAGTCTTGGGATGCCCCTTTTGGACGTGCTTATGGAAACCTTCCCTGACTGACCTCCCACCCCAGACGACTAACTCTGGGTACATCCCTGCAGATCCACAAACATAGACTGAACACACACTTACAATGTGCCAGGCACTATTGTCGGTTCTGAGAATTCAAACATGCAAAGACTGGACGTTTGCCTAAAACACATCAGCTCTATAAAAATGAAGTATGGCAGGAAGAGAGGGATCTGCAACACTCTATTTAAGTTGCATTCCACTCTTCCCTGGGGTTGTTACAGCTTTTTAGTGGCTTCATATGTTCATATCTTCTCTCCCCAACAAAACTACCTGCTCCTGGAAGCAGGTTCCAGGGCTTCCCCACTCTGTACACTCCAAGGGGCTGGGACAGGGCTCTGCTCACTGTGGATGTTAAAAAGCGAAATGCCTCTCCCCTAACTCACTCTAATGCTTCCAGCTGAAACACGCTCTTGGCTGTCGCTGGATTCTGCCAGCTGGGCCTCCAGCATGACACAGCATCCCCGCCTGGCTTCCCTGACGACAGCGGCCGGCATGACAAAGGATTATCTGACAATGGGAGGAAGAGGTCTGCTCTCATTGTCTACAGCAGCCCTCACCGTGGTTACGCTCAGTGGCCAATGCTTCCCCGCTCCCAGGGCTCAGCTTGGGCACACACTTCTGCAGCCTCTAGCTTGCACAGTGCATTGTCTGTAGGGCAGCACCACCCCACTATCCTACCAGCAATTCCAATTCAATACCGGAGCACTGAACTCACCATGATCTTCCCTCCCACCCCAACCCCAGCAGACCCTGCTCCAGCAACCAGAAGTTCGCACCTGAGTTAAGAGCTGCCGTCCATCTAGTCAGTGAGGCCACAAACCTGGGAGCCACTGAGATGATTCCCTTATCCCCCAAGTCTAAGTAATCACTGCGGACTTTACTCCCAACTAATTTTAATGTATGACCTTTGGTCCATCCTTAGATGCATGGCCCTTGTTCCAGGTCTCACCCCCTATGACCTGGATGCCGTGGAGAGCCTGTTACTGCCTCACCAGTCCCATGGCCGCCTGGCTCCCAGTCCTGTTCCCTTCCGATCCAAGCAAGGCTGTACACCTCTCTGATTAAAGTCCTTCCTCTATGCCTTACCTGCAGGCTAAAAGCCAAGGTCTGAAACCAGGCTTACAAAGCTCCTCCACTCTGAGCGCTGTCTGCATCTCCGCCTTTGCATTTGACCTCACTGCTTGCGGTTCCTTCCTACACCCAGGCAGCCTCATGCCTCCACACCCTGCGCACGCCATGCCTTCTCCCTGAATGCCCGTCTCCCATCTCCTTTCCTGGCCAGTTCCTTTTCATCCATTAAGATTCAGCTCCTGAGCCGTCTCCTTTAGGAAGCCCTCCCTGACATCTGAGGCCGGAGCAGGTGGCTGCCCCTTGTCTGTGCCGCTGTAAGGGCCTTGGGCTTCTCTCTACCTAGACTTCCCACATGACGTTGAATGGAACTGTTTATGCATCTGTCTCTCCCACTAGAAAGCTGGCTGCTTGAAGGCAGGGGGCTGTACCTGTTCACTGTCATAGCCCCAGGGCCTAGCACAAAGACAGGCATAGAAAAGCAGCCCGACAACTACTGTGAAGCTCGCACCGACTGCAGGATGATCAAGTAAACCTCTTAGGTCTGTTCTACCCACCCCAAGCACCTAGTTGCCCCCTAACCATTTTTGGGCCATTGCCCCAGCCTAAAACCTCCTCCACCATTACCCAGGCCTACTCCCAAATTCACCTCATCCATGAAACCATCCCAAACTGGCTCCACTCTACAGATCGTTGCTATGGTAACTGCCTCCCATACTTTATCTCCCCTACCCCTTGGGTAAGTGAGCATTTGGGTCTGGCTCTGTGGCCGAATATGAGTGAACAGTAGGCATTAAGAAGCTCTGGGAAGTTCAAGGCTTTCTGTTCATCATAATGATGTCAGACAGCAAGCCACCTCAGCCCTGAGCACTGGACCTGAAGTCTGAAGTCAGGGTTCATATCCCTGCTCTACTGCTTACTCGTGACTTGGGCATGCCACTAACCATGAAGGCTCAGCTTCCTGCTCTGCAAAATGGGTATAACAACAACTGCCTCACAGGCTGATAACGATAACCACCTATTATAAAAGGCAGATGGGATAATTTGTGTGAAATAGTTTGCAAACTGTAAAGCCAAATCAAGTGCAGCGTATTAAAGTAGCCCCAGTGTCAACCAACCACTATCCAACCTTTCTGTCCTTCTCCCTACCAGTAGTTTTGTCCTTACTTGAGTCAGTTGAGAATCAAATGAAATCTGTAGATTCTCTTCCTAGAAAAGTACACACGCATCCCAGCTTTGCAAACACTTCCAAAAGGTTCCTGAGGACCCTGCCTCAGGGCCAGAAAGCCACAGACCAAGCTTAAGAGCACTGTAGGACACCAAGACACCCTATATTTCCCAAATACAGACCTTCATTTGCTCATGAATGCCAAAGATGAAGATAAGGCAGGAAGGGCCAGTTGTGAAGGAAAGAGAAGTCAAATGAATTTCAGAGCCCTTCCCAGAACCAGAAGACAGGAGAGAAGAAGATAAAGAGTTCTCACTCTTTGGGAAGAACCTAACTTTTTTCCAGAAAGCATTACGGTACATAGAAAGAAGATTGGATGAAATCTCAAATTCCAGGATTTTTTACCCACTCTGCTAAGGGCTCACCATGACCTTAGGCAAGTCATTCCACTTCCCTAGGCTTCAGGTCTTCACGTGAAGATCAGATCATCTTCAAAGTCCTCCCCAGCTCTGGGTGCCGGAGATCCAAGGATGTGTCTGTTCTCACCCCGTTGTGAACCACAGCTCTGGCCTTAATTCCAAAGTCAGAGGCATGCTGAGAGCACGGTGCTAACACAGGGAGAAGGCCACCATTATAGCAAGGTTCTAAATTAAACCGCACACAGCGGGAGGCAGGGGCAAAAGAAAACCCAAACCTGAAAGGAAGCAGCTGAGCTCAGGGTGCCGGTGAGTCAGCAGTGAGGCCCAGAGGTAGACGCCCCCTCCCCCTGCCAAGCCAAGGACATCAAATGGGGCTGTGTTATCAGGTAAGTTATGCAGAAATGCCACCACGTGTGGAGAATTCTCAGAAACTGCAATTTGCCTGCATGTTTGTACCTCCTGTTCTCTATCTGGGCTCAGGATTCTCTCTCCAACCTAACCACCCATCTCCTGCCTCCTCCTTCATGACCTGAGCTGCAAACAACATAACCTTAAAACAAGGGCAATGGAGCCCAAAACAGAAATGAAATTAGAGGACAATATCTGGGACCAGACGGTGAGTTTGGGATTAGATAAAAAGCAGACTTGTATTAACACACCTACACAGACCTGTAAGGCAGAAACTCCTACACCCAGGCAGGGCCTGAGTGAGACCTTGACCAAAGCCACAGCCTGTCCCTGAGTCACAGCACATCTGAGCTGGGGCGGGACCACGGAGAACATCTCCTTAGCTCCGTGTCGCCAGAAACCTGTTGGTTGGCTTCAGGGTAATTTCCATCAGCTGCCTAACTTCCACAGAAGAACATACCTCTGGGCCCTCCCGGGAGGTTGCAAACAGCCTGAAGTTCAGGGTAACAAGGCTATCAAGGTGTTTTTTCCCCATCGCTTCCTTCTGCATTTGCTCTAGAATAAGAACTGGCATCTTGGGCCCCTTGAAACCAACATATGTGAAACTAAGTTCCAGGGTGACTGCTCTAAAATATTTATGATTTGTTCCCTCCTGTAGGCTGTGTTATTGCATTGCAACTTAACTATCTCTGCTCTACTATCTTTGTAGAGAAGCAGAGTATCTGGCCTAAGTGAGGCTGGTGCTTCATAAACATTTGCTGGACTTAATTAACATTTGTTAAGTTTTCTTTGTATGCACTTCTAGATACACAAACATGTAGGTGCCCAGTACATATTGAGTGAATGGTTAATTAATTGATTAGTTGGCTAAACTTAATAACCCTCCAGGCTGTCTGACAGCCTTCACATGCATGAATTCTGAGAAATCCATGCAGGCATGTATAAGTTCTTTGCTCCTTGAATTCAATAAAGACTCAATGAACACAGCCATACAAACACAGGTAAGTGTTACATGAACAGGCATACCATATACATTTATTATATGCACATATGATTCTGGTAGAAACTGGATGTATCACAGCTGCTATCCATTCACCAACAGCAAATTATTAAATGCGTGGTAATAACAGCAATGCAGACTTCCGTTCTTTAGTGGCTGCTCTCATTAGGAATGGTTAACAAATCAAGAGTGTTTTGAGAAAGAATATGTGTCAGCATAATATACTCTATTTTTTAGCTTCAGTATTTCCTGAGGTGTCAAGAATCCATACTCAGAAAAAAAGTGGCCACTATTAATTAAATGCCATAAGCTGAGAAAAGGGGGAATGTGGCCCTTCCCCCACCCAGAGGCCTTATGCAAGCCACATTTTTGAGCCTCAGTGTGTTCATCCGTAAAATGGGGCTAATACTCTCCTACCTCACAGGACCCTCTTAATAAATGCTATGATATCTGGCGGGGGAGGGGGGAGGTTCTGGGGGAAGAAAACCTGCCCTGTAAGGTCATACAAACATATTATTATTCTAGCAAGCTGTTAATCACTGATGACACTGTGCCCTAGAATGTGTTACAAAATTGCTGCCTCTGAGCATCCATTATCCAGGACAGATACTTGACACAGATGAGGTGATCTGTGTGTAAATCGAATCCTGTGTCAAACACTCAGGAGTTTCCCCAGACAACCTGAGCGTGTCCTGGCCATCCTCTAGCGTCTGTTCGGTGCATTCTGTTCACGTATAATTGGGTTTTCTTGAAAGCCAGGCCATCTCCTCGCGCAGCCCGAGCCTGCTAGGAGCCTGGATTCCTGAGGTTTTCAGCCCAGATCGGGCCCTGGGCAGGAGGAACTGGGAACGGACAGCCGGCGGCCCCTCCCTGCGCTCTGGGCGGCTCCTTCCTCTCGGCCCTGGCTCCAGCAGCGGCGGCGCTCTCTCGCGCTGTGTCACTTTCGCCCTACGGAGGCTCTAGCCGCGGCCGAGCCGGCGGCTCCAGCGGCTTCCTCCTTGGTCGCGCGGGCCCCTGGACTGGGGGATAATCCTCGGGCCGCAGAGACACAGCGCCGGGCGGGCGGCGGCCTGGGCCGGGCTGGGGCGCGCTGGGCTTGGGCTCCCACTGTCCCCAGACTGAAGAGCCGGGGCTGCGGTTGGCAGTCGCTGACTCTCTCCCCGGTCTGCGAAGGCAGCGGCGGCGAGCGCGGGCACGCACACCCATAGAACGCCTCGGTGCGGGGTCACCCCAGCGTGGACTGGGGGCGGCGCAGCCAAACCAACCCCCCGCGCCGCCGGGTGGACCCCCAGTCTGCCGGGTCACGGGGCGTCGCGGACGCGGAGGGAGGGGCTGTGTGACTCCGGCCGCACAGCGGACCTGGGACTCCTGCACCGAAGACCAGCACACGCGACCCTACGGTCTTCCCCGGCCCACAGCCGCACGGTCCCCTCTCCAAGTAACTCGGGCGCGCGCGCGCGGGGACACACGACCCCGACTTAGACAAGGAGGGGGCTGGCGGGACAGGTCGCGCGGAGGATCGGGGCCCACGCTTGTCCCCACTACGCCGCGGTCTGCGGTCCCCGCCCCCCACACACACCGGAGCCGTGTGTACACACAAACAGCCGGGCGGGGGAGGCGACGCCTCACTCCTCGGGGTGGAGACGCACGCGGCGCCGCCAGTCAGCCCTCCCCTCTACACGCCGCACACCCCGCGGTGCTCACACCCCCCAGCCCCAACCCTGAAAACTCCGCGGAACCAAACAGAGCCAACGCCGCCCAGATAACGGGCTCGGACCACCCCCCTCCCGATTGTCTTTTACCATCAATAGAGAAACACTCGGCTCAGGCGCGCGGTGTCCCGGACGCCCCCTCCGGCCACATCCAGGCACCGGCACGCGGCCCTCCGAGGCCCCAGACCTTCGCCGCAGCCCAAGCCATCGCCCCCCCGCCCGCCCTCCCCCATGACCGGCGCCCGGGACAGTTACCTGCTCGTCGTCCTGATGAACCCGAGCCGGAGCCCACCCCACGGCCTCTCGGGTCACTCGCCACCCAGAGGTGGCTTTTCAGAGCCTGTCAAGTGAACCCCTCTCCGCCGGGCGTATCTATTCCCCAGGCCCGATTGCACCGCAGCGACAGGAATAATAAAAAAAGCCAACAGAACCACAACCGTTGGGAATAACCAAAGGGGAGACCGCAACGGGTCCACCGATTTGGTTTCTTCCTCTGCTCCCATCCCCCGCTCCCCCCGCGGCCCGCGGGCTCACCGGGGACGCAGGGAGGGGGCTGCGCCCTGTCTAGACGACAGCCATCCACAGACATCCCCGAGCCCGCGGGGACGGGCGCGCACACTCACACACGCCCGCTGCCACAGACACAATCAGTCACCGGGGAAGGGAGGGGCGGCGTGGCGACACACTCTCGGGGTCCCTCCCGCAGCCCCGAGTGCCGCAGCCCCCGGCCCCCAAACGCCACCCCGAGACGGGCTCCCTACCTCGGCGGAGCGCGGTCTGAACAGCTGCAAGTTTGGCTGATACTAAACCAACTGCTCGATGCAGCAAATGCGGGCTTCAAAACAAAAGGGAGAGGAATCGCGCTCGCTCTTTTCCTCCTCCCAGGTCGGAACCCGGCACATGACAGCGGCTACACCGCGCAGCTCCAAAGCGAGCCGGGCTCCAGCCGTGCGTCCCCCAAGAGCCCCCCTTGGCGCCGGAGCTCCAGGGCCACGACACCCCGCGGGGCGGGGAACCCGGCAGGGAATGGGACAAACCCAGGGAGGGGGCGACACTGTGGAGTGCAGTTCCCCACCGAGGGGGAGGAGGGGATGGTAGATGGGTGCGGACACCCCGCTGGCCCAGGAGCAGGGATGGGGGGAAGGGGGCTGATTGTTTGGGGCGGTTTTCCCGGATTTATCTATAAGCACGCCCACGTCACGCAGCCCTCCTCCCGGGTCCCCGAATCGATCAGCAAGCTGAGATGACTATAAGAGGAGGACGGGCGAGGAGATGCTCACCTCGGGGTTCCTCTGGCCGCCGCGCCAAGCCCGAGTCGGGGGTGGGGGAAGGGGGCAGGGAAGGGGAAGGGAGGGACGAGGCTCCGGAGAGCCGACTCCTGCCTCGAGTTCGGAGCGTCCCAGCTGCGGAGGGGATCGGGCGCCCCAGCGCACAGACCCAGCAGAGAGGGGAGGGAGGGAGGGAAGGGAAACAGGGAGGGAGGGGCGGGTAGGGGGGAGGGAGTAGAGGAAGGAAAAAAAATGATCCCTGATCTGACACAGGGAAAGAGAATGTAGGAGAGTGACGTTCAGGCCCCGCCCTCCCCTCCGGCCACGTGCAAAGACTTGAAAGGAAAGAGGGCGGCTGGAGGCCTGCTGGGTAATGTAGTTCGCCTTTCTTTTCCAGGATGGCGGGCCCTGGAGAGCAGGGTGGCCCCAGGACGCTCGGGATGTCGCCTTAGCTGCCAAGACAGCCCAGTCTAGCGACGCCAAAACCCGCCGCCCAGCGACCCCACGGCGCTGGCGCAGCCCTGGGTGGGGGCCTCTGCGGTGGGAGAACTGGGGGCTTAGGCGCAGTCCAGGCTTACAGGGAAACGTTGGTTTTAGAGTCCGAAAGGCTTTAAGGATGAGAACGTCCGTGCCGAAAGTGCAAAGTCTGTGCTAATGGCAGATGAAAAGGAGCTTTGTGTATGCACTGGGGGGCCCAAGTGGCGTGATTAATGCTGCACTAAATGCCACCGTCGGTTATTGAGATGCATATGTTATAATTAACATTTGAGCATCTCTGTGTCGGGGGCTGGCTGTTGTAATTAGATACGCACTTTGCAACCAATTAATTTTCCTTCGGCCAAGCTAAGGGCTGGGACGGGGTGGTTGGGAGAATTCAACGTAGTGGATAATTCAGTAATGACTTAACCAGATCACCAATGTTTTGGTTAAAACTGAGCTTGGCACAGAGAGGCCTTCAGGAGAAATACTGAATAAAATACTGTATGCCCCAACAGGGAAGGGGGCTAGAAATTCATTAGAGGAACTGTGTGATGCAGTATAAACTGCTGTAGAAACCCATTTATTCATTAGTTTATATTCACATTTAGTGAGCACTTTCCACAGACCAGGTGTGTCTAGGAATGCCAAAACAGGTAAGACTCACAGTCTCTGCGCTCAAGGAGCTCAGTCCAGTATTAGGGACTACAGTCAATGAAAGTATTATACAAGGGATAAGTCAGCGCTTAACACAAAGTGCTGTGAAATTCCCCCCACCACACAACCTGGAGCAGCCAACTGGATGGAGGGTGGGTGGGGTCTGGGAGAGGGTCAGGAAGACTTCCTGGAGGAAGTGATACTTGAGCAAAGAATTTCTAAGTTTTTTTTTCTTTTTTTTTTTTTTTGGAGACTGAGTCTCTCTTTGTTGCCCTGGCTGGAGTGCAGTGGCGTGATCTTGGCTCACTGCAAGCTCTGCCTCCCTGGTTCATGCCATTCTCCTGCCTCAGCCTCCCAAGTAGCTGGGACTTCAGGCGCCCGCCACCACACCTGGCCAATTTTTTTTTTTTTTTTTTTTTTTTTGTATTTTTAGTAGAGATGGGGTTTCACTGTGTTAGCCAGGATGGTCTCCATCTCCTGACCTCGTGATCCACCACCTGAGCTTCCTAAAGTGCTGTAATTACAGGCTTGAGCCACCGTGCCCGGCAAGAATTTCTAAGATTTTTAACAAAGAGAGAGGAAAGGATAAGCACCTGATTAAGGTTAAAGGGTACAAAGGCTTCAGATGAGAGAAGAGAGCTAATTCGAAAGGTCCCAGGCCTACAATCCCAGCAGTTTTGGAGCCTGAGGAGCTCAAGACCAGCCTGGGCAACATAGCATGATTCCTTCTCTACAAAAAATTTAAAAAATTAGCCATGGAGAGTGGCATGGGCCTTGAAGGATGGGTGGGATTTTGTTTTGTGTGGAGAACTTGTCTCCCGGGCTTGAGACACAGAACAGCATAGACATTCACATCCTATAGAACAACTCATTTGATTCTTGTACCAAAGGCCATGGTGGCTGTCATTCCCTCCCTTCAGGAGGGAGGCAACAGGCCCAGAGAGTTAAGCAACTCATGCCCAGCCATGATTCGGTACAGAGTGGGTACTAGAGGCCAGTTGTCTGGGTGGCAGGCAACCGTCGTCCACTCCAAAGCAACAGGTTTAAGCACACCTGACTCTTCCCGTTGGTTTGTCCCTCTTAGCATTTATGCCTCATTGGCTCAGCAGTGAGTTATTTGTATGCTTTAACATCTGGACAATTTCCTGGGTTTACAAAATATTATATAATAATACTGGAATATACACATTCAGCAAATTCCCATTTACTTACCCTGTTGTCATTGTTGGTTTTTACATATTGTGTGACAGGCATGCCACCTGCAAAGGAAATAAGAATAAAATTGTCTGGGTTTTGGCTTTGCTTTTGCTTAAATCGCACCCTCAGGTGAGGAGAGGCTAGAGGTTGAGCAACATGTGGAACGTGAAGCTTCCACGGAGAGCACACACCTCCGTTTGGGGTATGCACCTAGGGTGAGGGGGCAGTGGGAACCACAGGCTCTGGTGTCAGTGTGACCCCTGGGTTTGAATCCCAGGCATGATACGTCCTGGCTCTGTGACCTTGGGCAGCTTACTTAACATTCATAAGGGATGACCTTGGGCCACTTACTCAACAACTTTTCTTGGCCTTGTGAGAACCAGTGGTGATCGTGGGTTTATGCTGACTGTGTCACATGGAAAGTGCTCAAAGATGGCTGATGCCCTTTCTTGTCCTGAGTCTTTCTGGCCCTCAAAAATGATCCCTGAATTTTTCTTTCTGCAGACTCACACCAGCAGAGCTAGTAGTGCAGGAAGGATTCCTGAGGGTGACACATCTTAATATGTGAAATCAGTTAGGTTTGTCTTCAAGGAACCTGGACCCAATTCTAACCTTCCCCTGCTCCTGGCCTAGCTCTCTTAACCCACATCAGCTAAAGTTCTTCATGCTCCTCTGCTCCCTACCCTGCTGCCCCACCTAATGCTGCCTCCTCTGGGCAGTGCCTGGGGCTTTGCATTGCTGCTGCCTGCCCACCCAAACTTCCCTCCTGTTTTCCACATCCTCAGTGCCTGGCTCTGGGCTCTACCTCCAGTCTAATAAACTGTCATTAACATATAAGATATTCTTCTGATTCTCTCCTCTAACTCTGACACTTTTGTCTTCTTATTGAGCGCTCTCTTCAGTGGCCTCTGATGATGGGCATTTCAGGCTGGAATGGGGATCTTTGAGGGGAAGGCCTTGTAGATGCCTCAGACCAGAGTTCCCCCAGGTGGGAGGCCTGGGGCTTATGTGGCCCGTTGTCTGTTGTTCCTTCTCTGCTCTGGGATTGATTTCATGCCCAACCTGCAGGCTTGGGTCGGAAGAGCTAATGGGTGCAGAGTGAAGGAACTGGAGATTCCTGAAGCAAATGATGCTAGCATTGGTTTAATTGTGACCGATTTTGAGTGGCCAGGAGTTTCCCTGTCTGCCTAGAAATGAAAAGTCAGAATGTTTCTGTTTGTTTTAAGGAGTTGCTTCTCCTCATTCACACTTGCCTAAGATAATAGCAAAAAGTACTAGTTCTCCTTTCTTGCCATGACTTCTCTCCACTCACCCCCGTAGCCATAGCTGTTCCAGGGAAAAGTTACTGGTCAGTCCACACATTGACTGAAGGCCTGGTGGGAGCCTAGGTAGGTGCTGGGGGAGAGAAGCTACCTACCTTCAGGAGCTGAGACCAGGCTGATGCCCAGCAGATAACAGGAAAATGAATGAAGCGCTCCACTGTGTGAGAGTGATGTCAAATGAACTAAGAGTTCCCAGTCGGCTACAAGGATCAGAGAAGGCTTCTGGGAGGAAGGTGGGGCTACATCCACTTGTTACTTCCCACTGGGAGAAGGTCAGCAGTGGCCAAAATTCCTGTTATGCGGTGTTGGCCCAGGAGGCATTGCAGAACTAGTGACTTACTGTGGGAGCTAGAGAGTGGCTTCATCATGCAGTTTGGAGGCCACTGACAGTGCAGAAGGAAGGAAGTTGGTAGTCTAGTGTCTACGCTCTGTTACCGTGGTGTTGGCCTGGAGAGATAACAGCTTGATAGAACCAGGTGAAATTTCACCCATGCCTCATCTCACCTTCCACTACACAACCCCAAAGACCAACACCTGAAAGGCACATGCAAAGTGATCCCCTAAGATTGAAGTCGGTGGTAGAGAAGGGATGTGAATAGAGAACAATGAGCTTGAGAAAAGCAAAAGCAGAATATGAAATAAAGCAATTGAATATTTGTTGGGACAATGCTGTGCCTAAGACATGGCAAGGTACTCTGGGGAACACAGTGTGTGAAACGGGATCCCGGGTCCCACCTGCCCCTCTCCTGCTGTGTGACGTTTCCTGTCTCTGGGCCTCAGTTTCCACACCTGTAAAATGAGAAGGTTGGCCTCAATGATCTCTAAGATCTTCACCACACCTGAAATTCTCCCTTCAAGAATGTTATAATCTCACTGGCAAAAGAAGCAAGAAAATTAAGTAGCCAAAAGGATGAATTTTAAGCTGTTTAATTCCAGCAGAGCAGGAAAGGTTTGTAATATTTGTTAAACAAAGCCCTGAAGTCCATGAGGGAATATAAAATAAGCAGATTTCCTTTTGCAAGATTTAAGGACATGGACTGATTCAATGTCAGCCTGTGAGTCATCAGACATTCCTCAAGTCTCCCAGAGTTCAAGGTCAGACCTCCTAAGTCGGTGGCGTGAGCACCACAGCCTTGTTCATGGTGAAGGCCTGGACAAAGATACACCCCACATCTCTGCAAGAGACAAGTTTCCTTGTTTGCCAGTCTACACTCTAAAAAAAATGGGAGGGGAAGGCAGTGCTGATCACACCACAGGTATACACCCGATCTATGGGATCTTGGGCTAGGCTGGACTTGAGTGGATGTGGCTCCATCAGAGGAACTGAGCCAATCAGAATTCCTCTTGTAAGAATCTGAAGTAAGAGGCTGAGAAACCTCTCTCTGCTCATTGGTGATGGCTGCTCAGGTCAAGGCTTGTGTTTTAGGTGGGTCGAGTGCAAGATAAGTAAGCAGAAGAAGTGAGTGGAGGGGGGAAAGAGGAGGGAGAGGGAAAGAGACATGTTTAGAGTAGCCTCAGTTCCTTACCTTTTCAGTTCTCCCTCACTATGCCTCTCTTGGACTCCATATACCTCTGCGATATCATTTGGATCTGTGTTCCCTCTGAATCTCATGTGGAATTGTAATCCTCAATGTTGGAGGTGGGGCCTGGTGGGACGTGGTTGGATCATGGAGGTGGATTTCTCATGAATGGTTTAGCACCATTCCGTTGGTGCTATCTTCACAATAGTGAGTGAGTTCATGTGAGATCTGGTCATTCAAAAGTATGTGGCACCTCCCCACCTCTGTCTCTCTCTCTCTCTCTCTCTCTCTCGCTTCTCCTTTCACCATGTTACTTGAAAGCTCTCATTTCACCTTGCACCATGAGTAAAACTTCCTGAGGCCTCCCCAGAAGCAGATGTCAGTGTTATGCTTCCTGTACATCCTGCAGAATCATAAGCCAATTAAACCTCTTTTCTTATAAATCACTTAGCCTTAGATATTTCTTTATAGCAATGCAAGAACAGCCTAATACACTCCATATTCTTGTAGTAATCCCCTTTAATTTGCGCTAGGTTGAGTGACTTCCGATCTTTGTAGTTTGAAGAGCCACATCTAGAACAGCCTGAAAGACAGGAAGTGCAGAGAGAGGAGTTAGGCCAATATGATCCCTCTAGCTGGGACTGTCCCCCTGCTGAAGATGCCCTTCCGTTTTCTATCCCAGGTGTCTCCCTCTTCAGTCAGTTTATAAATCCTGTCTGCTCAAGTCTTGTTCTGAAATATCTGCAAAATAATTGCCCTTGAGCCTTCCAGGATCTCTAAGTCCCCTTTCAAAGAACAATAGCTACTATATTAATTGAGCTATTACTATTTACAGAGCAACAAGCGAAACTTTTTTTGTGTGCTTTGTCTCACTTAGTTGGCAAAGCAACTTTTACAGGGGAACAAACTGAGACCGGAAGGGGTGAAGTAGCTTACCAAGGGGCACGCAGCCAGTGGGTAGGTGGTGGTCTACCCAGAGCTGTGGGCCTCAGAGCCAGTGAGTTAACTACGCCCCTCATCTCAAGACATTAGGATCTACCTTCTCTGAGTCCCTGGTGAGCACCTGTACTCCAGCTGCAGGAAATTTTGGAAACATCATTCTTCCTCAATGGTGCATTTATAATAAAGTGTTCTTTCTTTTAAATTGAGACTTCAGAGATGTGTATGTGTTCATTTATGTTAATGATTCAAAAGATCCTTTGCGCTTAGGGAAGTTTACTCTTTTTGCCTATTTTTGACATAAAAATAAATTTCAGTAAATATCACAATATTTTCTTCAGACATGCTGGTGGCTCATTTTGAGACATACATAGTAGGGGGTCCACATACTACATTCTGGATTTTGAGTGTTTGTCACATTCTCTAATTTGTTAATAAGAAAATGATTGCAGGAAATAATGAAGATGCAGTCACTAAATCTGAATGAGGTTCCATGCCTTTCTTGCCCTATTTATTACCCTGTATATTTTATGTTTCAAATTTTCTACACGTGATTTATCATGTGGAATTATAATAGCTGAGATGGCATTGCTTATGCATGTTTGCATGTTGCTTTTCTCATGTAATAAAATTAAACACATATTTTCTGTGTTATTAAAAACTCTTTATAGATAACATTAAAAAATTATTTAAATGATCCTTTATACCCTAGTATTTATTATATATAACGCATTTGTTCAAAGTTGAATATGAATGACCAGCACACACAAAAGTGGGCATTAATTTAGGCTTACAGAACCTCACAGTTTAGTTCAGATGACATACACATTTTAAACAGAAATGGCAGTAAAATATTAAAATCCAAGGTGTGCCATATGTGTAATATAGACAGAGTGATTGTTCAGGGAAAAGGCAACCCTTGTAAGCTAGAGCAGCAGAGAGACATTCAAGGGAGAAGTGGAACCGAGCCAGGCATGAGTGTGATAGGATGGGACCAGGGCTGGAAAGGGGGCTTTCCCAGTGATAGGCAGGCAGGAGCTTAGAAGTGGGAACTCACATCGGGGAGGGGCTGAGCAATGGGGAGGAGGAGGCACGAAGTCCAGAAAGTTAGTTGTGTGTCATTGGTTCAAGACTGGACTCAGGAGGCAGACACCAGGATTTGCATCCTGCCTTCCCCTTTTATCACCACTTGACCTTGGGCAACTCTAAGCTTCCATTTCCTCTACAAAAGAGAGAAATAATAGAACATATCTCAGTAAGTCATTATAAGGCTTAAAGGAGATGATGTATACAAGGCATTTCACACATAGTAAGGACTTATAGTAACACCAGGTTTTATTTTTTGGTTATTATTGTTATTATTTTTGCTGTTACCCAAGTGATAGGCTGTGTGGGACCAGGAACAAAAGTTTTGACCAATTAGGACTTTATTCTATGACTCAAGAGGGTGAGATTAGATTTTGTTTTTCAGTTATAATGCGGGTAGACAGTAGAGTATGGCCCAGACTGTGGGAGCCACTCCCAGCCTGACCCAGACTGTGAGATCCAACACTGGCTTGTGCCCTAATCCCAGTAATCCTCATCCTCATCTTCAGCAGGGCCTCTGAGGGTTCAGTAGAACTTGCAGAATCAGGATCTGTTCTCATGGTTCTTCATGAGCTGTCATTCTGTCCCTTTCTCACATGCAGATCCACTACCCTCACCCCACCTCTTTTTCCGTTTTGGCAAAATTATCAGATTTGTTTATACTCCACTCTTTCCAGAAATGACTCAAGACAGCTTTTTAAATTCTAAAATGTACCTACTAATATATAAAAATAGAAATTTACACAAAAGACACTTTGTAAGATGGTTATCCCTTTTACAAAAGAAGTAGCCATCATTTCTTTAAGTAGCAGCACGTCTGGTACATGCAATGTCAGACCTGATAGACCAAATTTTGCCTCATCAGCAGCTTTCTGGAATGTGTCTTCAGTATCAGTGTGGTTCACAGCATTACTCCCCATTATCACCTTCACAGGAGTCAGCTGATTTTCAGCAAGTCTGGGACTTGAACAAAGGCAAAGGGTGTGTGAAGCCTTTGAATTTATTTTGTGCAGAGCTAGGTGATTGAATGGGATCTGCTCTAGAAAGCACCAAGCTGCCACTTGGTCAGGGAACCCTGCTTGGGAGAGGTGGCAGAGGAGGTTTTCAGAAAAACAAGGGAGGATGCCTATTAGCTTATGTGGACTGGGAGACCACCCAGGGGAAGGGAGCAGTGTAGGGGAAATGCCGGGCTGCTGTGCTCCCTGTGGGGCAGTGGCAGAGGTGGCAAGCCAGCTTGGGACCTCAGATTGCGCCACAGAAGAGAGGAGAGCTGCCTGGTGACAGTTCACCTGTCCTACCCCTAGAAGAAAATTTTGGCTTGACACAGAGATAAGATGTGAAACATTCTCTCTTTGCTATATCCATATATTTCAGGACTTAGCAATCATGCCCTATGCTATAGTGAATATGTCCCAATGCATTATTTAACACATTTCTTTTTAACAAAAAGCATGTGTTGGGAACTTAATCCCTAATGCAACAGCGTTGGGGGGCAGGGCCTACTAGGAGGTGTTTAGGTCATGATGGCTCCACCCCATAATGGATTAATGCTGATTATGAAAGGGCTTCAGTCTGTGAGTTTGATCTCTTGCTCATGTGTGCTGTCTTGTCCTTCCACCTTCCACTATGGGATGACACAGCAAGAAGGTCCTTGCAAGATGTGGGCCCCTATACCTTAGACTTTCAGCCTCCAGAAAGGTAAGAAATACATATCTTCTCTTTATAAATTACCCAGTCTCAGGTATTCTGTTATAGAAGCACAAAATGGACTAAGACAACCTTTCAGTGGGCATGTTGCTGTGGCAACCTTAAAGTCACTGGAGGGCATCTATAATTGGCAGAAAATGGTATGAATTTAGTTACAGGTTTGTTTTTTTTTTTTCTGGGAGGAGTTTTTTAGTCTTAGGCTACTTAAAGTACTCACATGTGATCTTTTTGCCTGAGCAGACTAATAATCACCTCGCAATTTAATTACTAAGCCAGTACCAGTGAACTCTTCTCCTATCAATTGAGTTGTAATTTTTGAATACCAGCTTCTTGGACAGGGCCCATCTCTGGAAGCTGTGGTTACCCAGACACAAATCACAACCAGTGTTATGCTTTGTGAAACCAGTCGACTGTGGAGTCAGCTGGAGGGATCATTGACAAATGCAAGCATGTTCTGAGTGGCTCATCTGTCAGCTATGACAGGCATTCAGTTCTGCTAAAGAGCATTCTGGGTTGGCCACACTGTCACTTCTCCATTCCCTACAATCTTCTACCACTGGATGTGTTCCCATTTCCTAGGTATAGAAAACTCCTAATCATGGTGGTTATTTTATAATTTTAAAATAGTAAAAATCTTTTTATTAAAAAAAATGGTAAAATACACATGACATAAAATGTACCATCTTAAACATTTAATTGTATGCTTACTGCACACTTAAAATTGGCATTAGTAAATTCACACTGTTATGCTTCCATCACTAGCATTAATCAACAAAACTCTTCATCTTGCAAAACTAAAACTATGTGCTCACCAAAACACAATTCTCCATTCTCTTCTGTCGCCAGCTCCTAGAAACCACTAGTCTACATTTTGTTAATATGAATTTGGCTAATCTAAGTGCCTCATGTAAGTGGAATCATACAGTATTTGTCCTTTTGTGACTGGCTTACATCACTTAGCATAATGCCCTCAAGGTTATTCCCTGTTGTAGCACGTGTCAGAATTTCATTTCTTTTTAAGGCTGAATAATATTCCATTGCATGTATATACCACGTTTTGATTACCCACTTGTGCATGGATGGACACTTGGGTCACTTCCACTTTTTGACTGTTGTGAATCATGCTGTTACAAACGTGGGTCTACAAATACCCCTTTGAGTCCTCGCTTTCATTTCTTTTGAATATATACCCAGAAGGGAAATTGCTGGATTATATGGTAATTCTACTTTTAGTTTTTTGAGGAACTACCATACTGTTTTCCATAGTGGCTACACCATCTTACATTCCCACAACAGTGCACGAGTGTTCCAATTGCTCTGCTTCCTTGCCAATACTTGTTATTTTCCATTTATTTGTTTGCTTGTTTTGGATAGTGGCCATTCTAATGGGTGTGATGCAGTCATAGTTATTTTTTTAAGGGGAGGGCTTGTCTAACCTGAACGTTTAATGATAATACGACTTCGAAAAGCAATTATAATAGCTGACATTAATTGAACACATAACATAGACACTCTATGTTGCCACATTTGATCCTCAAGTCAACCCCATGAGTAATGTGCCATCATCATTCTCATTTTACAGATGAATAAACTGAGACCCAGAGAGTTTATATAATTTGTGATTTGTCCAAGGTCACACAACCAGGTAATCATTCTGTACCATTGAATGTAGACACTGAGGAAGCTATAGGATTCCTCAGCACAGAACAAGACCTGCTTATTGGTGGATAAGACAACCTCTAGTAAGGCAGCTCTTTTCATGTATTTCTAAAATTTGGTGCCTTTCCTGGTGATGACAACAAACAACATTGAAGACAATGATGATGATGATGTTAAAAAAAGAAAAGAGGAATTGAATATAAGCAAACATTCAGCTCTAATCTCCATATGTAAAAAAAACCCTGAAATCCCCATTATTTGAACATTACATATTCATAGAGAACTAAATTAGAGGGTGATTATTCATATAATGGAATTATTTGCCTTATAGAAGGATTCACTGCATTATCCTCTGCTGTGACAAGCTTTCCCAGTTCATTTAAAATAGGAATTAATTTATAACAATGTGATGTATATATAGTTTTCCCCCAGAACACATCTACTGCTCAGCATGAAGCCAAATCAAGTCGCTAAAATGATTTTGATTACTGGATAATGATAATGGGGAATATTTGCTCACTTCAGCATTTGAGGATTCCAACTAGGACAGGATTTGTAGACCCAACTGTCAAACCACTATCCTTAATCTTGGTGGAATTATGAAGACCAGAAAAATGCCAAAAGACAGCGGGAACAGATCATTAAACAAAAAGTTTGCAAGCACTTACGAAGAAGTAATCATGTGGAGACTCCTTAACAGGACCTAAATAAAAAGACAAGCCAATCTTTTCTTATCATCATAATGTTAATAGAAAATTAGAACACAGTCATATCTTTGTTATATATCTGACAATCTTGTCTGACCTCATGAAAAAAAGTAATGCTGATGGGTAAGAACGCATGACTAGATCAGCAGTTACTTCTGACTTTTTAGTGTGTTGGTGTAAGATTTCTGTCCAGCTAATCAGCACTCAGTAACACATTCCCACCCTATCAATTAGGAATTGCATTCAGCTGCTAATAACAGAGATACAAATTACAGCGGCTTAAGGAAGATTTCTCTCCACATTAAGAAAAATGGTACGGCCACTTTGGAAGACAGTTTGGCAGCTTCTTACAGAACTAAACACACTCTTATCATACAATCTAGCAGTAGCTCTCCTTGGTACTCACCCAAATGAGTTGAAAACTTATGTCCACACAAAAACCTACACATAAATGTTTATAGCAGCTTTATTCATAATTGCCAAAGCTTGGAAACAACCAAGATGTCTTTCAATAGGTGAGTGGATAAACAAACTGTGGGACATTCAGACAACGGAAAATTATTTAGCGATGAAAAGAAATGAGTTATCAAGCTACAAAAAGACATGGAAGAATCTGAAATGCATGTTGCTAAGCAAAAGAAGCTAGTCTGAAAAGGCTACATACTGTACGATTCCAACTATATGACACTATGGAAAAGGCAGGGACAGTAAAAAGATCAGTGGTTGCCAGGGATTAGCAGGGAGAGAGGGATGAATAGGCAGAGGATTGTTAGGCAGTGACACTACTCTGTACAATACTATAATCGTGGATAAAAGTCATCATGCCTTCATCAAAACCCATAGAATCTACGCAAGAGTGAACCCTAAGGGAAACTGTGGATTTTAGTTCACAATAACATAACAATATTTGCTCATCAACTGTAATAAATGCACCACACTCATTCATGATGTCAATACTAGGGGAAACGGTGGGGGTGGTGTCGGGGATTTGGGAAGTCTGTACTCTCTGCTCAATTTTTCTATAAACCTGAAACTGCTCATAAGTTTTAAAAAATCTATTAATTAAAAAATACAAAAAGCAAGACTGAGGAAGAAAAATGACCAGAGTTAGGCAGTCTCATGTTGGTGTGATGGCTGCGTGGCCATCAGGGTCCCAGCTCCTCCCATCTTCCCATTTCACCTTCCCCAGTGTGTGGTTTCCGCTGTCAAAGTTTACTCATGGTCACAAAGTGGTGAGTTTGTGAAAGTGGGGACTTGGGCTTGGGCCATCTGAATATCCTGTAACAGCAGAAGGAGAGGGAGAAGGGCAAAGGGCCACCTAGTTTTCTACCAAGTCAGTCCCCTTAAAGAGATTTCTCAATTGAATACAGACTGCATATTAGATGATATTAAGGAATTATTGTTAATTTTGTTAGGTATGATATTAGTATTGTGGTTACATTAAAAAAGAAAGTATCCCTTAGAGAGACACACTGAAATATTTATGGGTGGAGATAATATAATGTCTGGTCTGTGCTTTAAAATAATCTAGAAAAAAAAAAGACAAGTGGAAGGACCGATGAAACAAGAATGGCAAATGTTGATTCCTGCCACACCAAGTTGACAGTTGATAGCTATAAAACTATGTGAAGAGTACATAGAGGTTCTTGCACTATTTTCTGTACTTGTGTGTATGTTTGGGCTTTTTTTATTATAAAAAGTAAAAAAAAAAAAAAGATTAGGTGTAACGGTTCACGCCTGCAATCCTAGTGCTTTGGGAGGCTGAGGTGGGAGGATTGCTTGAGGCTAGGAGTTTGAGACCCGCCCGGGCAACATAGTGAGACCTCATCTCTACAAAAATAAAAATAAACAATTAGCCAGGCATAGTTATACATGCCTGTGGTCCTAGCTTCTCTGGAGGCTGAGGCGGGAGGATCACTTGAGCCTGGGAGGTTGAGACTGCAGTGAGCCGTGATCACTTCACTGCATTTCAGCCTGGGCAACAGAGTGAGATCCTGTCTCAAAACCAAAAAAGTTTAAAAAAAAATCTACACACACTTCACTGTCCATCCCTGTTTGCTGGGGAGAGGCTGGGAAATGGATTTTTACCTGGGCATTTGTCATATTCAAGAATGTGGAGTCCTGTTGGTGAGGAAGAAGGAGCATGGATATTTAGCAGGCAGCCAGCATGCCTGCCACACTCACTAAAGATAAGCCATCAAAAACTGCTGTTCTGACATAGCCTTCATATCAGATGGACCCTGCTCACCAAACCATATTTTCCTCATTATTGCCAGGACAGCCTATGGCTTGCCAGAATACTTAATCCTGCCCTCATTCCTACTACCTGGAATGTTCTCCCTGAGCCAGGATTCATTTCTTCCCTCTCTCCCACTCCTTCACTGGGCTTTACACCCCCTGTTTTTTTAGGACTCCCCTCACAAGCTGCATCCTCCAAAAACTGCCTGCCTCCTCCCCAGCCCCACATGGTGTTAAACTCCCTCCTGGGCTCCCACATCTCCTGTGTTTGCCCCTGCAACAGTACTTATACCTCAAAGTGTGACATCCTTTTACTTATTTCCTTCCACCACCAAACTAAAAATCCCTGAGGACAAGTGCTAGGTCATCTGTGCCTCAGAACCCCCCATACCTGTCAGAGTACCTGAGACACAGCACAAAGTGAAACTCATGAACTGGATTACAGCACTTATCCTTGGAAGAACAACATCAACATCAATAGTCACTAGCCTTTCTTCACATTTAATATGTGCCAAGTTTCACACATGCATTATTTTATTGGATCCTCAGGAAACCCCTGTGTGATGTGTATTATCATTTCCATTTCATAAAAGAGAAAACCAAGGCTCGGAGAGATCATTAATGTGTGGGTTTTGTAAGAGGTGTGTCGTGGATTCCAACCTCCTTCCTGCACCAACCGCAAGTACCCATCACTCCCCTTGGCAGCAGCAGGCCCCATAAGGCAGCGCAATAGACCCAGGAAGTGTATGACCTTGGTGAGGGAGAATTTCCTTAGATGGTCATGGGGGCAGATCCTGGCATGCAGATGTGGCCCCACCCCCTGAGTAAGAGCATAAAAGGGCAATTCCTGCCACACCAAGCAGGTCCTTCCACTTGGTGAATTCATCCCTCCGTGTGGTGTGTGGTGAGGTCTGTGGCGACCAGGATCAGTGACCACTGCACTCCAGGGACAGGCCTGTGAGGAGGCAAGGAGGCAGGAGGCTCACATGGGGCACAGACTCTCTTCCACACCTTTGCCCAGCTTGCCTCCTGGTTGGAGGTGGTGATCCCAGATGAGGGGCTCTCTGAGCCGTGGGTTTTGCCATTCAATCCTGCAAGTTTGCCCTGGTGCAGGGCTCACATGGATGGCAGTGCTTCAGTGCAGGGCTCAGATGTAAGGCAGATTCTATCGTCAGGTCCTCGTCATCCTCTGGCACATGCTTCCTAAAGGAAATGGATGGCAGACACCAAGGAGGTACTCTCTTCCGCTTCTCTCACTCTGAGGCGCCTCTGTTGACCAACACTGGTGATGGGGGAAAGGAAGAGGTAGCTGCAGGATCTCATGGTCTTACTACGTCCTGTCTTCAGTTTAATGTTCCAGCAATATGAAACAATCAGTTCTCCTACTGCCTTACACACACTTAATGGGATGGTTCTTGCCCCTGGTTGTCATAAACCCTGGTTCACCTAGTTTCCTTTGGCTAAAATGCGATCCCCACCCCATCTCTAGCCCTCTGTTCATCTCACACTCAGTTGTCACTTCCTTCAGGAAGTCTTCTTGGGTTTCTTGCTCTGTACTCCCCAAAATACCCTGTCTGTATCTCTACATTGCAGTGGTAAGAATACTATGTAGGGGTTTTTTAAGGGTCTTCCCCCCAATAGATTATGAATCTTAACACCACACATTTGCTTTTTCTCCCTTCATATGCACAGTGCCATGCCAGCCAAAAGATATGTAGGTATTCAATAAATATCAATAATTATGCCTCACTTTTTAATTTTTATTTTTTATTATTTATTATACTTTAAGTTCTGGGATACATGTGCAGAACGTGCAGGTTTGTTACACAGGTATACATGTGCCATGGTGGTTGGCTGCACTTATCAACCCGTCATCTAGATTTTAAGCCCCACATGCATTCGGTATTTGTCCTAATGCTCTCCCTCCCCTTGCCCCCCAACCCCCAACAGGACCCGATGTGTGATGTTCCCCTCCCTGTGTCCATGTGTTCTCATTGTTCAATTCCCACTTATGAGTGAGAACATGCAGTGTTTGGTTTTCTGTTCCTGTGTTAGTTTGCTGAGAATGATGGTTTCCAGCTTCAACCATGTCCTGCAAAGGACGTGAACTCATCCTTTTTATGGCTGCGTAGTATTCCATGGTGTATATGTGCCACATTTTCTTTATCCACTCTATCATTGATGGGCATTTGCGTTGGTTCCAAGTCTTTGCTATTGTGAATAGTGCTGCAATAAACATACATGTGCATGTGTCTTTATAGTAGAATGATTTATAATCATTTGGGTATATACCCAGTAATGGGGTTGCTGGGTCAAATGGTATTTCTGGTTCTAGATCCTTAAGGAATCGCCACACTGTCTTCCACAATGGTTGAACTAATTTACACTCCCACCAACAGTGTAAAAGCATTCCTATTTCTCCACATCCTCTCCAGTATCTGTTGTTTCCTGACTTTTTATGATGGCCATTCTAACTGGCATGAGATGGTATCTCATTGTGGTTTTGATTTGCATTTCTCTAATGACTGTGCCTCACTTTTATCTAGCAATTACCATGTACCAGGGAGCATGCTAAGAATATTACCTGCAGTAAGTCTTTTTGTTGTTGTTGTTTGTTCTGAGACAGTGGATCGCTCTGTTGCCCAGCTGGAGTGCGTTGATACGATAATGGCTAACAGCAGCCTCAATCTCCTGGGCTCAAGTGATCTTCCCACCTCAGCTTTCCAAGTAGCTGGGACCACTGGTCGTTGCCACCATGCCCAGCTAATTTTTTAATTTTTTGTAGAGACAGAGTCTTTCTATATTGCCCAGGCTGGTCTTGAACTCCTGAGCTCGAGTGATTCTCCTGCCTCAGCCTCCCACAGTTCTGGGATTACGGGTGTCAGCCACCCCACCTGGCCTGCGGTACCTATTTTAATCTTCACTGCAACGCAAGGAGCTAGGCACCAATATTATCTTCATTTTACAGATGAGAAACCCAAGACTTGAAAAGATTAAATTACTTGCCCAAAGTAACTCAGGTAGTTAGGACTCAAAATCCAAGCATTAGGACTCCATACTCTTAAATACTGCAGGATACACCCTCCTCTAAATACGTGTAGAATGTAGGGATAAGTGCTTTTCGTGAGCTGTATGTGCATTGCTAAAACTTAAGTGTTTCTAGGGGTGAAAAAGAGGGTGAAATAAAGCCCAGAGATTCACATTTGGAGGCCAGGAAATAGCTTATCTCCCAATATATTAGTGAATTCTATGAATATTTACAGCCTTGGGTTTACTGTGAGCTCAGTACTGTGTTAATTCACGTGGGGAAGCAAAGCTAGACAAGAAGATGGTGTGTTTCCTGCCTTGAGGACTTGCCAGTGTGGCGGACACATGCAGTGACACAAGGGCAAGGACAGAGAACAGCTTCAGGTGGAGTCTGATGACCAGGGAGGACAGTCAGTGCTGCTGAGAGAGGACTTGAGTGGCTCTGGGTGAGGGGTGGTGGTCAGAAAGGAGTTCACAGAGCACAGAGCACGGAACAGCAAGACCTTGCTGTCTTTGATGACAGCAAGACCTCCTGGCTTGGACTTCTCTGTAGGTCTTAACCAATGCTCCACGGAGTTGGCTGGAAGGCAACTCGTGTGATGCTGGATTTCTGCAGCAGTGCTCCCATCTTCATTTCTATGGCTTAAAAAGAAAGCTGGGGTTCTCTGGTTGGGTTGAGACAGGGAGGAAGGCTGTTCTCCCAGCCTGAAAGAGCTGCCTCTGTTGCCCCGTGTCCCTGTGACCTTCTGTGCTGTTTGGAGAAAGGAGGCTGTGTGAGTCTCCGCATAATGGAGACTGAAGGGATGCTGGCTTTTGAAAGCCCTCACCTCTCCATTCTCTCCCTGGGGAAACTGGGGGATAATTGGGGATTATATGCAGCCTCTAGGACACAGGGCCCTTTCAGCATGACTGTCTCCTGGGATTGGCTGTATTTGTGTCGACTGCAATTTTCCCTGGACAAGGGAAGGGAGCAGAGCAGGCCCTGTGCGGCCTTTTCAGAGCTGGGAATTGTACCTGGGCTTGGGGACTGCGGTAACATTGACAGTGATACAAAGCTGGTAACAGTGGAGGCTGCAACAATGACCACAGAGTGTAATCTTAGGACTAAACTAATTTCTTCTTCCCCCAGTACAGGCTGTGCAAATGAATGTGAACATGGTTGCCTGCCAGCATTGCACTCTGCTCTTGTAAAGTGGGGCACACCTGACCGTGGTTTCTCCACCTTGGGTACCTTCTTCCTCCTCTCCTTTTCCCAGGTGTCAGCACCCTTGGACCTTCTCCCCATCCCTTCTCTATGAAAAGCTGCACTCAGGAAGAGCATTCTCATCCATCATTATAGCTGTGCAGTAGAAGGTGGTATTCTGAGCAGGAACCAAGGGGCTGAGGGTCTAGTGCTGGCTTTGGCACTACCTGGCTTTATAAACTTGAGCAAGTTCCTGTCACCCTTCTCTAATTCTCATTTCCTCATGAATAATGTCAAGGAGTGGGGGCAAGGAGGGATTAGGTCAGTGATTCTCAGTCTTGGTTGTACACTGGAACAATCTGGGAAGCTTTAAAACTACCAGTATCCAGGATCCATAACAGCCAGTTAAATAGGAATATCTGGGGGCAGAGCCAAGGCATCAATGTATTTTAAAAGTCTCCCAGGAGGTTCTGATGTGAAGCCAGGCTTGAGAACCCCAGATGTGATGATTTCTAGGATCGTGATTATAGATGACTTTTAGATTACAAATCCCTGGATTAGCCTTACCAATGATATCAGCACTTTATATATTATTTCTAATGGTGGAATTTAAGTACAGTTGACCCTTTAACCATGTGGGGTTCGGCGTGCCAACAGCCTTATGCAGTTGAAAATCTGCGTATAACTTTTGTGTTTTGGGGGGCTTTTTGTTTTTTTGAGACTGAGTCTTGCTCTGTCATTAAGCTGTACTACAGTGGCACAATCAGGGTTCACTGCAGCTTCAACCACTGAGCTTAAGTGATTCTTCCACCTCAGCCTCCCAAGTAGCTGGGACCACAGGTGCGTGCCACCATGCCTGGCTAGTAACTTTTGGCTCCTCAAACACTTAAGTACTAATAGCCTACTGGTGAGTAGAAACCTACTGATAACATAAACTAGCAATTAACACATATTTTGTATGTTATAGGTATTATATACTGTATTCTTACAATAAAGTAAGCTAGAGAAAAGAAAATGTTATTAAGAAAATCGTAAGGAAGAGAAAATATATTCACTATTCGTTAAGTGAAAGTGGATCATCAAAGAGGTCTTTATCCTCATCGTTTTCACATTGAGTGGCTAAAGACAGGGAAAAAGAGAAGGGGTTGGTCTTGCTGTCTCAGGGGTGGCAGAGGTAGAAGAAAATCTGTGCATAAGTGGACCTGCATAGTTGAAACCCATGTTGTTCAAGGGTTAACTGTACTGATTTCTTTTGTAGGCAAAAGGTGGTATCATTTTTGTGAAGCGTCTTTCTAGACATCTAAGAACTGTGACATTCACAGAGTGGCCCTTTCAGAGTGGCTCTGACTACAATCAGCCTCATTAGTTTCAAAACTCCCAGTTGCCTTGCGGGGTAAGGTGAAAGGCACTCAGCATATTCCCCAGCATTCTCTAGGCATGGAAAGAGGAGGTCTTACCTGCAGGCAATAGAGGCACTCACGCAAGTATCATCAGTCACTTGATACTAATCAGCAAGAGATTCTCACACCGATCGACAAGAAAGAGTTGGAAGTAGGTAATTTTAAATATATATATGGAGAGTTTATTTGGGCCAAGTTTGAGGACATCAACCTGGGGACATAGATTTATGCCCTGAATATTTGCTCTAGTGGGTAGATGTGATGGTGAGTGTGGAGAAGTAGGAAATAGGTTCAGGATATGATTCATTGCCCAGGCCGAGTTAGCCAAGGGATACACTGGTATAGAGGCTCTGAGCAGCTGGAAAGAGGGTCTTAGTACCTTAGAATAGCAAAATTCAGAGGGTCCTAGAGGGATGTTAGGATAGCACCAAAGAGACATTCTATTTGTTTCCCTAAGGTCTGGCTCTGGGTGTAAGCTCCTATAAGGTAATCTATGATTTTATATCTTTGTTTCCTCATTAACTAAACTTGTGTTTATGCAACTTGTGTGATGAGCTATGAGGGGCACACAGGTGTGTACCCTAAGGTCTGAGTCACCTGCTTTGACTCAGATCCATAATACCTTTGCTGGTTCTTTGATTGTTTTCTGTAGATTTCCTCCTTTCCCCAGTGGGATTATCAGCTTTGAGCAGGCACGAATCTTCTCTGTTGCTTCTCAGGTGCTAATCAGTGCCCAGCCCAGGATGTTTGATAAATGCTTATTTATTTACTTCGTTGTAGCCCCCAAATGGGAGCCTATATTCTGGACATGATAATCCAAAGCTCCTAATATGAACATTAATTCATTCAACAAATATTTATTGAGTCCCAGGGACTAGACACTATATAACACTTCGGGAAGGGATGGATTCTTGTCATAATTTCAGGTTTGACAACCCCTTTCTTCAACTGAATGTTCTCATAGTCAGGGATTGGATTGTGTATTTCCTTGTATTCTTCACAAAGCCTAGTGTTTCTTTGCATATATGAGGCAGAACCTCAGTAAAAGTTTTTAAATGACTGAAAGAATAAATGAGTTTATTTAGCACTTATTAAATCCTCACAGCCTATGCTATATGCTGTGAGGCATATAAAAAAAAGAATAGACATGGAAGTCCTTAAGGAGTTTAAAATCGCATGGGGGAGTTTGTCAGACCTTCTTATGCATCACTGTAGATCCTCTACGCCTCGCTGCCTCTTATTTTAGCCATTGCTAAAGTGAGCTGTTCTAAAGGGCCTCAGCCAGCTTCCTATGGGACCAACCTAACTGTGGTGCCTCCAACTCATGCCCTATACCTGGTACCACCCTTAGATCCAGGCAAGCAGGACCCAGGCATCGACCTGAGCCTCAGGACCTGCCTACCCCTCCCAACTCCTTCCTTAAAATTTTCTAAGTACTATTGAACCTGGACTGAGACCTGCGTGGACCTAGGTTCCAATTTCTCCCATGGTATGTGCGTGCGCGCACACACACACACACACACACACACACACACACACACACACACAGGTTCATGCACCATACAAGAAGTCAATCAGATATCCCAAAGAGCTCCAGGACTTGGGCATATGGAGCCCAATTGTGGCTGGTTCCAAGAAGGCAATTATCTAGGAATGGCCCTTTTTGTCTCCTCCAAAGGCTTTTAGAACTCTGGTTCCCCTAGCCAGTGGGCTCTTCTGATTGACGTGGTGATTTCATGCTCTCCTGGTCAGTCTGCAGCCCTGCTGAGTGAAGGACAAATGTTCCCTGTGGAAGCTGTTCTGCTCTTCTAGCTCTCCCCAACAGGCCTTTCACCTGTCCTCCATTTTGATGGTGGTGTGTGGAATGCTGGAGTGAAATCGGCATTGAAATAGATCACATTCTAGGATGCAGTGATTACTGTCAAAGGGAAGACATGTTGAAGGGAAGACATGGTTGGAAGACATGCTGTTCAATATTTACATTACAAAATTCAGAAGGGAAAATTTACCATGTATGTTCAGAAAAGAATTCTTATTCACATTCCCCTGCATACTCTGAGTAAGACTTGCATTTATAGTCATCATCAGTGAAGCACATTAACAACCTTTGAGAGAACCATTGGAAACCAGTATCCTATCCACAGGTGGCTTAAAAGATGATGCAGCATTATGGGTAATGATGTAAACATCATTAAATCTATGGTATTAGGGAACTGCAGAGGCAAGAACCATATTATTTCAATACAAATAGGTTCTAAAGAACCACAGCATTGTGAGTAATGACAGTCATTGCTACCTTTTTCTCAGTGGAAGATCTGATTAGTCAGGAATGGTGCATCTAACAGTAATGAGCAGGAAGGGAATACTTCATGGTCCTGGATAGGAAGAGACGGTGCCTGGACACTACAAAAACTCTTCATGTGTATTGATAGGACAACAAAGTCAGTATCTATTGCCTACCCATGACTCTAAAACTTCATTGACAAATCACTCTATCTCATGTAGGCCTATGGAATTTGTTATATATATATTTGTTTGTTTGTTTTGAGATGGAGTCTTACTCTTGTTGCCCTGGCTGGAGTGCAATGGTGCCATCTCAGCTCACTGCAACCTCCGCCTCCTGGGTTCAAGTGATTCTCCTGCCTCAGCCTCCCGAGCAGCTGGGATTACAGGCACCCGCCACCATGCCTGTCTAATTTTTGTATTTTTAGTAGAGACAAGGTTTCACCATGTTGGCCAGGCTGGTCTCGAACTCCTGACCTCAGGTGATCTGCCCGCCTCGGCCTCCCAAAGGGCTGGGATTACAGGCGTGAGCCACCACACCCAGCCGAAATTTGTAATATATTTTTAAATCAGATTGTTTATATATAAAGAATATTTGCCCAAGGCCCTGTATTCCCTGAGGACAGCCCCGCTTGTACTGCTCACTTCCTGCCCAGAGGTTGTTCTGGCACTGCCACGTGGGACTCATGGGAACACATTCAGTGCCCCTGCATACACAGTTAGGAAGTGCAGACAAGTGAACACCCACCCCACAGAGCAAAACTGACCAATGGCGGCTAGGAGCCAGTAAATAAGTGCTTTTCTCCTTTTTCCCCAGGGGAAGATCCTGAATGTGTTTCATATGAGTTCCCAAATGGACCTGTGGGGACAGGCAAGTAATCACCCATAAAAAGGACCACGTCCACCCTGCATCCTTGTATTGGTTCTCCCTCTAGCTCAGCTTTTCTCCCGTCTTTCACTTTTGCTCCCTGTAAGGGATCACTTTCTCCAATAAGATTCTCACACCCAAACCCTTCTTGCAGGTTCTGCTTTCTGGGAACCCAGGCTAAAACAGGGAGACGAATTGAACAGATAGAACTAAATAAATAAACCAGAAGATAAAGAAGTATGTCACAAGTGCTTCACTGTTTGTGTTAAACTGTGTAGCTGTGACTTTCAACGTGGAGGTAGTAAATCAAACTTGGGTAGGGAGTTTTGTCAAAGCATACTTGTCCTTCCTCCTAGATCTGATTCCTCACAGTCGGGAATCATTTCTTATCAGGAACGGCTATTTGAATGGGATAATGTGGGACAGAATTTTCTGTGTGGGTTTCCAGGGACTGCTGCTATAAGGATTTGTTTGATTTTTTTTTTAGAAAACATTAGAGATCTGTCATAATAGTAACCAAATTCATTAAGATATAAAGAAAACTTTCATAGAGGAAATAGGGTTTGTATTAGTTTGCTAGGCCTGCCATAACAAACTATCGGGATTGGGTGTCTTAGACAACAGAACTTTATTTTCCCACTGTTCTGGAGGCTGGAAGTTGGCAGGACCGGGTCCTTCTGAGGCCTCCCTCCTTGGCTTGCAGACAGCTGCCTTCTCACTGCATCCTTACATGGCCTTTCTCTGCACATGTGCATCCCTAGTGTCTCTTCAAGCTCTGTTTACATGGACACCAGTCCTACTGGATAAGGGCCTTCCCACAGGACTTGATTTTAACCAAGTTACCTCTTTAGAGGTGCTTTCTCCAAATACAGTCACATTGAGAGGTGCTGGGGGTTAGAACTTCAACATATGAATTTGGGAGGATGCATTTCAGCCCACAACAGGGCTTGAGGGGCCTTGAGACACCAGATACATTGGGGCAGGGCAAAAGACAAAGGGCAAAGGAGCCTTTCCCTCCAGCATCCTCACTGTGGTGTATTCAGATGCCCTTATGGAGATTCAATATCCTTTTTTCTCTTTTTCAGTGAGAGAAGGGCAGAGAATCACCCTGGTTGACCACAGGAGCACTAATCCCCTCTGAGACAAGGTAAGTGCCCATTATCCCCAACTATATCCCTGAGCTGTGACCCTCTGGGTCCCCTTTGGGGCATTACACGCTGTTCCTCCAGTGTGGATTGACTAGGCTGTTGTGCTTAAGAGTCCAAAGGAGAAGGTGCCAGGTGAGTGGCGCAGCCCCCAGAAGACAACCCAGCCAGGTCCTTTGGGGAGCAGTGGCTTCAGGGGAGTCATCCCACCCTCACCCTAAAAGGCTGAATTGAATGGTGGTCCTGTGGTGCTAACTTGGTAAAAGGAGGAAAGAAGAATGGGAAGAGGTCTCAGGACTAGGTCAAGAGAAGCACCTGGAACAGAAGATCCAGCCCAGCACTGACCACTCCACTATGGGTCATAGGTTGAGCT
Organism: Homo sapiens; assembly: GCF_000001405.40. Taxonomy (NCBI): domain Eukaryota; kingdom Metazoa; phylum Chordata; class Mammalia; order Primates; family Hominidae; genus Homo; species Homo sapiens. The sequence goes on along the minus strand of NW_013171814.1, from coordinate 555 downwards.
GTCCCATAATGATCATCTGGCACCTCTGGTGTTAGAGGACGAGGCTTGAGCTCTGTTCTCTGGGACCTATTGGGGCATGCTGATGCACACGGTCCTGAAGGGAAGAGGGAAGACAGCACCCCTCATTCCCACATGTCCACATTTCTCCCCCATGAATGGAGCCATTGCTTCCTCATCCTGGTGAACTCCCTCCTCCCTTCCCAATACCCTCTCCTCCCTCCCCAGTGTCATCCCCATCAACTTCCTGGTTGTAGCCAAAGCCTGACTTGCAACAGGTCAAACTTTCTGGGGAGGCTTCCTGGAAGAATGGGGTCATTTTCATACGTCAGGGAGATGCTCTGCTTCTGCTACCAAGCAGCGCTGCCTTCCCATCAGACCCAGCTCTGACAGCCTTTTGTCTGCTGCTTTCATTTCTGCCAAGATTTTCCCACATCCTGCTGAGCCTGATTAACAAACCTGGGGCCCACTTTTCGGTTTCTGACCAATAGAGAAAACGCTGACAGCCAGCAAGGACATTGATGCTTTCTTGCCAATGGCGGCGGTGGCAGAGGCAGA